>NC_000008.11:40769193-41072223 GCF_000001405.40 Homo sapiens
TCAACACTTATAGCACCATTTCTAGGTTACATAGTAGGTTTTAATCAAAGGTCATCTGGAGTTTTTTTTGTTTGTTTGTTTGTTTATTTTTGTCTAGAAGATTTTTTAAGAGAAACAGACATGTAGATGTATGTCAGATGAGTCAACATTATTTTGCGGCTTCTACATGTTTTTGAAAATGACAATGCAGGCTTATATTTTTCTCTTTGCAAATAAATTTGCAGCTTACTAACATCTGTACATATTTTCTGCCATTTTGCTGAGGGTATTTTAGAGGTAAGGAAGGAGTCATGGTTATATTGGGACTACTACTACAGTCAAAAGAATAAAAAGGAACATTTAACCTGCAAGATGCTGAATGTGGACAGAGCCTGAGCTGGTGATAAAGCACGCAGACGATAATGGGTGGAAAAATAAGTGGGAACAATGTGAGCTCAAATGTGGCTGAAGTGGATTTTCAATTTTACATTTGTTACCATAGAGGAACTTCTTTTCACATTCCCTGCATTATCAATCTCCTAAAGCTCTGGATTTCCAGAGAATGAAATTATGGCAAAACTGGAAATCTCATCATGCGGCCTGGTTTGTGGCTGTTTTTTTTTTTTCCTCTTAATCTAAAGTATTCCATTTCTTTTAAAAAGACCTTCTAGTAAAGGCAGAGTTCACTGAGTTATTTAATTACAGCTAGACAAACTAGTCAGAACCCATTGGCTGAAAAGGAAAGGAAAATAAATGCCAAGCTCTGATATGAAGCCATTAGTGATGTGAGATGTTGGGATTTGAGGCTTATTAGTGATTTTGATCAGTACAGGCCTGTTTTCCTCCCTCGGGGCCCCCCACCTCCAGTTTTGGCAGGAAAAGGAATGGCTACACCTCAGGCAGTGCCCTTGCCTAGGGTTTCCGGTGAGGAAAATCAGAGCTTTGGCAAATACCACCTGATTCTGGAATGATGGCGGAGGCATCCTAGTTCATTATTTAGCAGCATTCCTTTTCCCTGGGCACCGTTTTTCCCTCTCTTTGCTTTCCCCAAGGTGCCTGGACCAGATTCACTGCTTTCCCTGCCCACAACTTCCAGCAGGAAGTGAAAATCTGCAGACTTCTCAGGGGGAGGAGTGTGGAGTCACATTCCCAATTGGCCTGACTCAAATCCAAAGCTGCTTCCAAATTACGTTGGTTGACAAAGGGAAAGAGGTTCCCTGCAGATCGTTCCTGGGGTTTCTACAGCTTGCCCTGCCTCCAACCTAGGCCTGTGGCACCTGAGGATGGAGACCTGCCAGGGAGCCCCCTCCTTCCTTCCTCCCTCCCTCCTTCCCTCCCTCCCTCCCTTTCTTCCTCCCTTTCTTTCTTTCTCTCTCATTTTTTTTTTTTTTTTGTGACAGAGTCTCGTTCTGTCGCCCAGGCTGGAGTGCAATGGCACAATCTCAGCTCACTGCAACCTCCACCTCCCAGGTTCAAGCAATTATCCTGCCTCAGCCTCCCCAGTAGCTGGGATTATAGGAGCGTGCCACCACGCCTGGCTAGTTTTTGTATTTGTAGTAGAGACAGGGTTTCACCATGTTGGCCAGGCTGGTCTCTAACTCATGGCCTCAAGTGAGCCGCCCACCTCAGCCATCCTTTCCTTTCTTCCTGGCTTTCTCACCCCTCTCTCTAAATGAGACTCTGAGACACTTACAGTGTCTTCCTCTAACTGGCTCCTCTCTACCCTGTACCTACTGGAAATTCTATGAGATTTGGCACAGTAATCTCACTCCTTTCAATTTATTCTAAAAAACAAACAAATGAACAAAAACTTTCCTACAACAAGAAAGTTAAAATTAATTGAAACAAAGATATCCATTGCCGCATTACCTAAATAGGAACAAAAAATTAGGGAGACAATTGCAGATTTAACAACAGAAGGCTGATAAAGCAGCCGTGGCATGCCCTGTGTTAAAGGGAGAATTGCGGGGGGGAAGAAACTTTATATATATACACACACACTCACATATATATAAAGGTTTTTAAATGTATATTATATATATACATATATATGTACCTACATATATAATGAATGTTGAAAGAAAAATGCTAAACTCAAAACTGCACAGATACTATGATTACAATTACACAAAAGTGCTTAAGTAGATAATACAGGTAGAAAAGAAAAAGAAAAAAAACCCATGATTCATTAGGATATGGGGAGTATGACTGGTTTTTATTTTTTATTTTTATAACAAATTTGCCTATAACATAAATATAATAATAATAATTTTGCAATGCTTAAGCCATTTTGATTTCACATTGTGTATACTTTTTACCCACAATTATTGTAATTAGTAAAAAGCATCACTGATCAGAAATGCTGTTAATGTATACTGGTATAATTGTCCACATTTTCATCAACCCTTGTTAATGTCTTATTAACATTCAAAATGCATTTCTGTTTCATTGGAGTACTTGGTATTAGATGAGCCTTCTTAACCCAAGAGCAATATATGCTACTTCCAATTTTAAAACTTCATTTTAGTACATACATATGCCAGGGTACATAAGTGTCACTTTCACTTTCTGTGTATAAATAGAGACTAGAGGATGGGTAGGCCTAAGCTATACGCACAACTACACTGTGAAGGACTGGAGGAAAAGCTACATCTGAAACTGGCTCTTACGTCATCCAAATAAACACAAGCAAAAACACATCCTTATTACTTTTTCCCAAGATTTATTAGTACCAAAATTTCCACTGCTTTTAAGAGTCTGAAAAGACAGGCAAACTGCCAAGTGAAAAGAACTTTAAGGAGAACACTTAATACCCACTTGTTAAATGTATATATTACAGAGTTTCAGGGGGAAAAAAAGAACCATTACATTAAGGGAAAAGACATGAAAAAGAATTAACAATCTCTTCCAATTACACTGAGAGTCAATCCCAGGCTCTTTTTTGCATTAATATTTGCATTTTGAGCAAAACTCATTTATTTCATTCAAACCACATCAACTTTAAGCTTCCCAGATCAACCAGAAATTACCAACTCTTCCATTTTAATTAAAGCCTTTACCCCCGATCCTAGGCATTGTGCGGGGACAGACCTATCTGAAGATTAGTTTCTTTTGCTGAAACAATCTCTTGGCACTCAAGGAAATAGTCTAAAATGGAAATTCAGGCCAGCCTTCTCTTTGGGGGAATAAAGAACAAGACAAACCTCTATTTCAGATGTATTGCTGTGAAAGAAGGAGGTGAAACACATAGAAATAGAATGGCTTTTTGCCTCACCTAAATAACCATCTTCCATTATCACACATGCCTCAAAAAAATTCACAACTCAAATTTGCTTCCAGCAGGGCTACTGATTTCTGGTATCATAAAACGTGGCGATAACAAAGCAACCTTGTATTTGCATAATGCTTCAGGCAGTCTTCAAAGTCCTTCCACCTTCATCATCTTATTTCATCCCCGAATCACAGTTGTGAGGCTGGCAGGAGAGGTGTTATCTCAAATAAGCTTTAAGATCCATTTCTGATTTCCTAGATAAGTCTTCCACCATCTTATTTCATCAGAAGGATCTAATTATACCTCTTCTAGAAACCAGCTAAAATAAGCCGAGGACCTCAATAAAACAGGAAAACCTGGAACAAAGAGTGATTCTCACATGCCACCACATTTGAGGTCATTCCGGGGAGAAGAGGAGCCAATAGGGAAGGGACAGCAAACACCAAACATCTAGAACACGGGTTCCTGCAAAACAACCGGCTGATGCGAGATGAGGGACTCCATCACACAGGATGAAATGAAAGGGCATCCTGGCAAAACCCCAGGAAGCATCCCTTCACTGAGGGTCCCAGGGATGAGCCCTGGAAAAGGTGCAGCATGGTCTCACTAGGAGGCAGGGTCAAATGCAGACAAGACAAATAGAAAACCACAAGTGCTGGGGATTCCCTCTAACGAATGGAACTCTTTTCCAAATGGATGTATCTTCTCTTATTTGTCAGGGGAAGAACATTGGGCACAGAAACTCCGTGTACCTAGAATGAATGATGGGTCAACTAAAACTCTAGGAAGAGAAAGCTGGTCCCTAAAGGAAGGCTTCTCCAACATAGGGAAGGAAGAAGTCAAACTCCTCTGCTGGAAGACCCCGAGGTGCCAGGTCCCAGACCTCCTGCCCAGGCCACTGGGCTACTGAAATGGTCTTTAACTGAGTCCTAGTGCTAAAATCAAATCAGAAGATTCTAAAAGGCTTTAGGTAGATGTTGGAAAGATCCAAGGCCAATCACACATAGCAGGGAAACATGGCTGGCTTTAATAACCTTCTGCTCTGCCAAAGATTGGTGGCATCTATAAAAAAAAAACTGTGAAAAAAATATGAAAGAAGGTTTTGAGAAACTATCAAGGAAATTAAGCAATTGTTTGCAAAATATTTACTACAATAAGTAGAAGTTTTAAATGGCACTTTTTTGTCATTTAATTCAAGAAAATATCAACAGGGTAAAAGCTGAAAGATGAGATAAGACAACAGATTGAGATAAGGTATTAGGGTCTGAGTTAATACAGAATGGAAATTCAAAACATCATAGCTTTATCTTGAAGGTCTTTCACTTTAATAGCAGAATCAACACAGGAGATCTATGTAGAAGTCAAGATAGAGACAATTTCTAGAATGCTTAGAATAAAAAGTAAAATGAGAAAAAAAAAGAAACTAAAGATCTTATATATGAAAAAACAGAACAAATATAATATGGCTTTAATGGCAGAATAAACAGACAAATACATGGAATATAATAAAAAGTCCCAAAATAGAGTCAATAATTTGGGACTAAAAGAAAACTAGGAAAATATATTTAACCTTGTGATGGGAAAGTTTTCTAAGCAAAGAAAGAAAAAAATGCAGGACTGATGGACCTGGCTACAAATTTGAAATACGTATGTGTAAGAAGAAAACCACAAAGTAGGAAAAATATTTGCAGCATGTAAAAGAAAATGGCTTTACTATCTTTGAGATCAGAAGTGTCCTCACAAATTTATTCAGAAAGAAACAACATTAAAATAGACAAAGGATAGAAATAGGAATTGTAGAAATACTAATAGTTAAAAGACTTACAAAAAGAAATTCATCCAAGTGCTACCTTACAACTGTTTAATTTAAAAAATGTGTTTCTTTCTCCCATCAAATTGGCAAGGATTTACAAAATATATATATCCATATTGGTGAAGATGCAGAAAAAGCTAGCACTTGTGTACATAGATAATAGGCATGTAAATTGATACAAGCTTCCTGGATGGAAATTTTGTAATATATATCCAAAGCAAAAACTTGTTTGAGTCAACAATCCTACTTCTTTGAATTTATTCTAAGGAAGCAATCAGAGACATGTATTTCCATTTATTTATAGTAGTAAACATGGGAAAATAAGTTAAATGCCCTAAAACAAGAGGGATAAATATTGTAATATATCCATATAATAGATACCAAAGAGCCACTGGCAAGCATAATGATAATATTCAATGACATAGAAATATATATATATAATAAATATTAAAAGGCAGTTTCTAATCAGAATATAAATTTTTAAACAAAAACGTATATGCATCTGTATGCATATACAAGGCAAAGATCTAGGAAGAAATGTACAAAAGGATTAGCATTGTTTATATGGATTACAAGTGACTTTAAGTTTTCTTATTAATGCTTTTTTGAAATTTTAGATTACTTAGAAGATCAAATCATTCCAATAATCAGATGGAAAAATCATCATTTTAAAGATTCATTCTAACACTGATGATTTATCATTCTAATAGTCCTACCTTAAGATGAGGAATATATGTCCCAGAAAGACCAAGAGATTTTCTCAAGGTCCCACAACTTACAAGTTTTCAGTGAACAGAGATTATATCTGTTGGTTTCACTGTTGTATCCCCAAAATCTATCACAATGCCTGACACATGGCCGGTGCTCAATAAAGATTTGTCATTTCAGTGATTGAGCATGTGAAGGAAAGAATAAGTTAACCTCGGAACAAGAACCCAAGACCCTTGAAGAATTAAGACCATTGTGTAAAAGTGTCGTGTACATTTGAAACATGTTGTTACAGATCCCGTTGCGTTCCAAAAATGAAATTGAAAGACTCACACATCTACTTCCATCTCTAAACTCCATGGCTGCAGTACAGGTCAGAGAGGAGCAAGGGAGCCCACAGACCAGAGATAGTCCTAAGCGGCATTGCCCACAGGCATTTGACAGAGTGCACGGTGGAGGAAACGTCTCAGCAGGTGAGCTGATGAAGACTGCAGTTGAAGCATAAGCTCTGAAGAAACTGAGGGTTTGCTGCAACTGGTGCAAAAGTGGAGATTCAGGGTGGCAGCTGTCTTGCTGCAGAGTCCACAGCTCAAACAGAGGCAGTGTGTTGAGGAAGAGAGGTTTGGGACAAGGCAGAATTAACTCCTCTACTGTTTCCAAGAGTCAGGGATCCACTAGATACTAGCTTGGTAAAGTGTCCTTAGACCTGTGATCAGATATGCAGGCTTCTGTGGCTGAAGGTGCCATGCCTTAGCTTTTAATTATAGGATCGTGGACATTTGTTTTATTCTGGACTGAATTGTGTTGCAGCCCTCATGCCCAATGTGACTGTATCTGGAAGCAGGGTCTGTCAGGAGGTAATTAAGGTTAGGTGAAGTCACAAGGGTGGGGCCCTAACTGATAGGACCGGTGTCTTTATATGAAGGGGAAGAGACATCAGAGATTGTGCTCTCTGTCCATGTGCACAGAGAAAAGGCCATGTGAGGATACAGCAAGAAGGCGGCTGTCTACACGCCAGGAGAGAGCCATCGCCAGAAACCGACCCTGCTGCCACCTTGATCATGGACTTCTAGCCTCCAAAACAGCAAAAAAATAAATATCTGTTGGTTAAGCCCCCAAATCTGGTATCTTGTTATGACACAGCCTAGGCTGACTAATACATATGCCATCCATCTACACTAGATGTTCTCCTGGGGTCTTTCTTCTTCTACACAGCAATCCGTTCAATTTCCAAAAGCAAAAAGGGTAGTCCCAATGTTTCTAGAATTAGGTCACTTCGTTTCTTCCAAAATATGTTTAAAACAGCATTTAAAGTGAGGAACACTTACCATAAAAAGTATTAGGAAAAAGCAAATTTTTGCTGGAGAAAAAAATCATGTACGGTGGGATGTGCAGTGCCTGTGATTGTGGAATCATGTTTGTAATTATCTACGTGGCTGTCTGCCTACACAAGTGACTACATCAACGTGTTACAATTTTAAATAAAAGTCCTGCAACTCAAAAAATTAAATTACCACCAAAGCCTGGAGGAACAGTTTTCTGTGGTGTTCAGTACAGAGCTAAATATGTCTCTATGATGTCTGTGCATTTTAAACAGAGTCACATGAGAAATAAAAGAACACAGGCTCATCTAGGCTTCTCTTTTGCAGTTTGGGGAAAAAAGCACTATTTCCCCAGAAAGCCCTTGAAGAGAAGTTAAAGGTAGGGATAAGAGAAAAAATAAAGCCAATGTGATCAGTATTAAAGTCAGAGAAGACTGGGTAATGTGAAGTAACAAAGTTAACAAATCCTTCTGAAATGTGGAATCTTAAACAACATGAGCCAATCCTGAGCTACAGTTTCTGATGTCTCAGGTTTCTTCTATAAAATTTGTGGCTGGACTAAGAACCTGTGTGGAGTCCAAAAATTAACCCCACTACTGGCAAGAGCAAGGACTAGTGTGATAGCCACCGATTTCTTTCTTTTTTTTTTTTTTGTAAAGTCATGAGTTTATTGCGTATGTAACAAAATGAACCTGACCTCCTGGGTCCAGCCTGCTGTACAATCACTGTTTGTTTTGTGTTTCCAGCTGGTTCCATAACCACATTAAATAGAACTAGTATTTCATTAAATACTTTTGATTTTGACATAAAACAGAACAACAGTGTACAACTTTCACAAAATAAATCAGTGATGAAAACAATGGGAAGGATAACAGGGATAGCAGCAATACTTAAAAACAAGATATTACAAAATAAATTTAAAAATACATTATAAAGTGGTTGAGAAACAAAAATAAACAAATTTTTAAAATCCACACTATGTTTTGGGAAGGTTGCCGTGCAGCACACACCTGGCTGCAGATGGGCGGGGAGAGGGGACATTTTGTCTGCAGAAGGCCTTTCCTGACATCTCAGACTGAGTGACAACCTAATCTGAATTCAGACCATAAGGCTGAACAAGCTTAGGGGTTGCAATTCGATCTGGTGGGAGATTCTCTTTTCTTGAGAGAGCCCTTTTCCTGTTGCCCCGGGCCTCCCAGGCAGCCTCAGCTCTTCCTACCGAAAGCACTGGTGGAGTGGTGTTAGCTACATCCCTGAGTGTTGGCCGATGGCCACTGGTGAGGGCAAGCCTGAAAAGCAGGGCCCCTGAAGCATCTGGGCAGAGGGGCGGAGGGCATGGCTGGATCACCTGGGATCACTGAGAGGGGCCACAGAGAGATCACATGTGAATGGATAGCCACTGATTTCGAGTGAGGTTTAGTCTGTGGGAAAAAACAACGGACAAGTGTCCCCACCCTTATGTGAATGACAAGGCAGGCAGGGCAGTCTCTCAGACAACCCCAATAAGGTCAACAGCTGCAACAAGGCTCCCAGGAGCTCCCCCAACATACTCTGATCACCTCATTATTCTGTATAACATTTTTATATTAGATTATCTTTTTACCCTATTACTTTATACTTTGTAGCATGTATCATTAATTATTCTCAAATTGAACTCGGTTATTCTGAGTGAATCTTCCATTTCTCTTGATCCAACCCCACAACACACCTTTAAATATTCTGCACAGGGCTGTTGCTCTTTAAATACTCGTTAACTATTTAAGTAGCTAGGTAAATCGGATTACAGTAAACACAACTTAAACAAAACTCGCTTTAAACAGAGCAATAATAGAAGAAAAAGTTGGATTAACTAAACAAACAAAATTGTAGAGTATTTGCTGAACAAAGAGATTCTCCATCTCTCATCAAATTATATTTTAAAAGTCAAATTCCTAGGGTGCACTTAAAATGTGACTTTATTTTTGAAGATTTTGTATCCACATTATTTTCAAAAAATACTTCTAGGAATACATAACATTTATAACCTGAAAAAAGTGATCAGCGAATTCTATAAAGAACATTTCTCAGTGTAAAATAATGTGCACAGAACAGCCTATCTGTTGCTCCCATCTCTACACTAATGTTGCCCTCCCCACCCTTGAGTCAGTTTTTTGCACAGAAAATTACTCAGTGGAAGTGGGGCAGGGATGAAAATTCTCTCACCAGTGCAGCTGGGGCCAGCTATAATACTGTAGAAAAATAGGTAAGCAGCTTTGTTTCACCTAATGACGGGAAAACAGAAATTTTTTCTTTTGAATCCCATCTTTCTGAGTCCCCAAACAGAGTTAAGTACTCCAAAGCATATTTGATTATTCCACCAGTATTTGTTTTATTTAATCCAACTTTACAGGCCTTAGGGGAAGAAGGAACATGCTGCCAGCTGCAATTCCATTATCACCTGCAGCTCAACCCCCACCTGCTTTTCAATTTTTCTATTTGCTTACTCAAAGACCCAGATTTTAGTCTGTTTGCAGGTTGCTTTCAATTGATGGCATGATGAAAGAAAAACAGGGAATTTCTGAAATACGTAATCCATCATCTCTAGCCAGGTGGTTGAGTAGAGGATTTTTTGAGTTGCAGGACTTTTATTTTAAATTGTAATGCATCCTCAACTCAACCACCTGGCTAGAGAAGCTGGATTATATATTTTGGAAATATATTATCTGTATTTAATCAATACTAATATGGTTTGGCTGTGTCACCACCCAAATTTCATCTTGAATTGTGGCTCCCATAATTCCCATAATTCATGTTGTGGGAGGGACCTGGTGGGAGATAATTGAATCATGGGTGCAGTTTCCCCAAATACTGTTCTCATGGTAGTGAATAAGTCTCACAAGATCTGATGGTTTAATAAGTGGAAACCTCTCTTGCTTGGCTTTCATTCTCTCTTGCCTGCCACCATGTAAGACATGCTTTTTGCCTTCCACCATGATTGCGAGGCCTCCCCAACCACGTAGAACCTCTTTTTCTTTATAAATTACCCAGTCTCAGGAATGTCTTTATCAGCAGGGTGAAAACTGAACTAATGCAAGTACCCACCCACCAAGAAACGCCCAGAGCTCTATGTCATGCCTCTCCCTCAACTAGAGGGACCAGAGAGAAGCCAGAGAGAAACACAGGCAGAGGTTTACATTTCTAGAGGTGAGGGCACGCAAAGCACCCACTCCTGGGGAGAGCTGAGAGGGGACTGCCGGAGGTCAAACTGCAAGAGTCCTTTCCTTTCCATTCTCTCTCAGTTTGATCCTTGGATCACCTATTCAGAATCACAGGGAGTTTTTTTAAAAGGCAGTTTCGTGACTGAATAATAAGAATTACTAGGGATAGAGTTTGGGGCATTAGATGTTTCACCAGCTCCCCCAGTGCTTCCTAGGAAAATGGATTTTTAAAAATTGCGGCTTTCCTTTCCTCTCTTTTCAACTCTCCCATCTCTCCCTGGTGGCTGCCAAGCCCAGATTGGCAGGAAAAGAAACCAGACTGAGTGAGCTGTCTTCTGGCTTCAGCTGGATAGCACCTCAGTGAGAGGCAAAATCAGGGAGAAATAGTCTCAAGGCCAACCCGCCGGCAACCTGAAAACAGCAGGCTGAGAGGTGTGGAGCATGAAGGAAGCCCACTTTTGGCAGGGGCACTGCTCTAATGCCTTCCAGCTCTCAAGCTCTTCAACTGCCAGTTTTCATTTCTCAGAATCTTATCTTTCCCTCCCCTCCCAACTTTTTTTTCTCCTCTTCCTAACCACCTTCACAACCTTGCCCTTTAGCTATCCGAACACCCTACTGAAACTCAGTACAGATGCTCCTTGACTCACGATGGGATTTCTCCCCATAAGCCTGCGGTAAACTGAAATTGAAATGCATCACCTAAATCGAAATGCATTTGACACACCTAACCTACCCGACACCATAGCTTAGCCTGGCCTACCTTACACATGCTCAGAACACTTACATTAGCCTACAGCTGGCAAAAATCATCTACCACAAAGCCTGTTTTATAATATAGTGTTGACGATCTCATGTGAATTATTAAATACTGTACTGAAGTATGGCTTCTACAGAAGGTGTATCGTTTTCTCATAAAGTCGAACAATTGTTAAGTTGAAACATTGTAAGTTTGGGACTGTCTGCACTTCCAGAAAGAACCATTATCTTTCCTCCTATATCAAATCCCTTGCTCAATGTTCCTGTTTTAGTCCGGAGCACCGACATTCTTGTAGGCAACGGGCACAAAACCAAGTGAAACAAAAATATTGGAATATATGAACCAAGACTTTTAAATAAGAAAGATAAGTATATTTAAGAAGTTGAGAAGATATTACCAATATGAAGCAAAAACATGAAATCATAAAAAATATAAAGCAGACATATTAGGTAGTAGGAATATATACCATGGCCAAGTAAGATTTATTGGTTTAATAGATGAAAACCCATTAATGTAATGTACCACATTTATAGAAGGAAAGGCAAAAACCCTAAGATCATCTCAATAGAGCCAGAAAAAGCTTTGAACAAAATCTAACACCCTCTCATGACAAAAACACTCAACAACTAGGAATAGCAATGAAGTTTCCCAACCTGATAGGGCCATCTGTGAAAAACCCTACCAGCAAACTTCATGGTGGATCAGAAGCTTTCCCCCTAAGATGAGGAGCAAGACAAGAACATCCCCTTTTGCCACTTCCATTTGACACTGTAGTGGAGGTTCACAACAGGACAATTAAGCAACAAATTGTGGGGGTGAGGGAGGTGAGGGAAGCATCTAAACTGGAAAGAAGAAATAAAACTCTCTCTACTTGCAGATGACATAATCCTAACTGATCCACCAAAAATTACAATTAAGAAACGAATTCAGCCAGGCTGCAAGAAGCAAGATCAAAATACAAAAACCAATTGCATTTCTAAACACTAACAATTAACAATCTAAAAATGAAATTAAACAACTTCATTTCCAATAGCATAAAAAAAAACTACTTAGGAACAAGCTGATTCTAAAACTCACGTGGACTCAGATTAGCCAAAACAATCTTGCAATGAACAAAGTTGGAGAGCTCACACTCCCCAGTTCAAAACTTACTAAAAAGCTATAGTAATCAAGACAGGGTGGTACCGGCATAAAGATGGATATATAGATCAATGGAATAGAATTAAGAATCCATAAATAAGGCCGGGCGCGGTGGCTCACGCCTGTAATCCCAGCACTTTGGGAGGCCGAGGCGGGCGGATCACGAGGTCAGGAGTTCGAGACCATCCCGGCTAAAACGGTGAAACCCCGTCTCTACTAAAAATACAAAAAATTAGCCGGGCGTAGTGGCGGGCGCCTGTAGTCCCAGCTACTTGGGAGGCTGAGGCAGGAGAATGGCGTGAACCCGGGAGGCGGAGCTTGCAGTGAGCCGAGATCCCGCCACTGCACTCCAGCCTGGGCAACAGAGCGAGACTCCGTCTCAAAAAAAAAAAAAAAAAAAAAAAAAAAAAAGAAAAGAATCCATAAATAAATCCTTCCATTGGTGGTTAATGGATTTTTGACAACCATGCCAGCACAATTCAACAAATAATGATGGGACAATTAAATATATGCAAAACAGTGGAGTTGGACTCCTACCTCCTACCATATACAGAAGTTAACTCAAAATGTATTGTAGGCCTTGAAGTAACAGCCAAAACTATAAAAGCCTTTGAATATTTGTAACCTTGAGTTAAACAATGGCTTCTTAGATGTGACACCAAAAGCACATGTGACAAGAAAAATAAATAAATTGGATGTCATCAAAATTTTTAAATGTTGTGCTTCAAAGACACCGGTGGCTCACACCTGTAATCCCAGCATTTTGGGAGGCTGAGGTGGGTGGATCTCGAGGTCAGGAGTTCAAGACCAGCCTGGCCAATATGGTGAAACCCCGCCTCTACTAAAAAGATAAAAATTAGCTGGGCATGGTGGTGGGTGCCTGTAGTCCCAGCTGCTTGGAAGGCTGAGGCAGGAGAATCACTTGAACCCAGGAGGCAGAGGTTGCAGTGAGCCGAGATCATGCCACTGCATTCCAGCCTGGTGATAGAGCAAGACTCCGTCTCGAAAACAAGCAAACAAACAAACAAACAAACAAACAAAAACAAAAAGAAAGTGAAAAGACAACACACAGAATGGGAGAAATATTTTCAAATCATGTATCTGTTAAGGGACTTTTATCCCAAATGTGTAAACAATTTTTTCGACTTAATTATAAAAAGACAAATATCTCAATTAAAATCATGGGCAAAGGACTTAGTTAAAGAAAACCAGAGCTGGGCAGATGTTAAAGTGGTAAAGATAGATTTCATTCAAAAACTATTGCAAGAAGGGAAGAAATGCTCCAGCATGGAACTGGACTTGATTCCAAATACAATCAGAACAAGGGATTTATAGTCAAGGTGCGAGTTGTGAGGCTTGAGGGGAGGTATTGGTTCTCCAGAAGAGATATACAAATGGTCAATAAGTTGATGAAAAGATACTCACCATCACTGGTCATTGGTAAAATATTCACCATCATTGGTCACTGGAAAAATAGGTCCTTGGAATATCACTTCACACATGCTAAGGTGGCCATCAGAAAGACAGACAATAACAAGTGTTCCCCAAGGAAGTGGAGAAATTGAGACCTTACACACTCCTGGTGGGAACATAAAATGGTGTGGCCAGTTTGGCAAACAGTTTGGCAGTTCATGAAGAAGTGAGAGTTACCATATGACTCTGAAATTTCACTCATAGGTGTACGCTCATGAGAATTGAAAAACATATTCACACAAAAACTTGTCCATGACTGTAGTAGCATTATTCATAATAATCAGTATGTGGAAATAATTCATATATCCATCAACTGATGAATGGATTTTAAAACTGCAGTATATCCTATGATAAATATCATTCAGCTATAGAAAGGAATGAAACTCTCACACATGCTACAACATGGATATGCCTTGAAATATTACACTACGTGACAGAAGTCAGAAACAAGGGGCACACATGATATGATTCTACACATAAAAATATCCAGAATAAGCAAATCTACAGAGACTGAAAATAGATTAATGGTTGCTAGGGGCTTTACAAAGGGGAGAATAGGCACAGACTTTGTTTAATACTACTAACCTATGCTGCTAGTGAGTTTAGGGGTTTTGGAGGATGTGGTGTAAATGTTCTGGAAGCAGTGGTGGTGATCCATGCAAAACTCCACCAAATAACCATCACCAAACTATACACTTAAAATGGTAAACTTCATAGTATTTATATCAAAATAAAGCTGTTATTTAAAAATTAAAGTTATAAAAACTACTATAAATAACTACATAAACATAAGAGATGCATATCTAGGAAACATGATAAAAAATCCCAAGAATAAAAAAGAACTTGAAAAAAATCTCAAGTATTAAAGAAATTGAGGCCAGGCACAGTGGCTCACGCTTGTAATCCCAGCACTTTGGAAGGCCGAGGTGGGCGGATCACCTGAGGTCAGGAGTTTGAGACCAGCCCGGCCAACATGGTGAAACCCTGTCTCTACTAAAAATAAAAAAATTAGCTGGGCGTGGTGGCAGGTGCCTGTAATCCCAGCTACTTGGGAGGTTGAGGCAGGAGAATTGCTTGAACCCGTAAGGCGGAGGTTGCAGTGAGCAGAGAAGGCACCACTGCACTCCAGCCCTGGCAACAAGAGCGAAACTCCATCTCAAAAAATAATAATAACTGAAATGATCACCAACCACTTCCTCTCTTCTCTACCACCACCACCACCACCACCACTAACACCACCAACAATATTTTTTAGAGGTTCAAATGCCCAGATCATTTTATGAGGTTGATAGGTCCATTGCTTTTAAATGTTGATGCCAAAACCCTTAAGTAAAACTGAATACAACATTGTGTTTTTTAAAATAATATATCATGATCAATCATGGATTAATTAGTAATGCAAACATAGCACAACATGAAAAAATCAATATTATTCACCACATTAATAGACTAACAGAAGAAAAACTGCATATCTAAATCAATGCGGAAAAATCATTTGACAAAATCCGGCACCTATTTATAATATTTTAAAAATTCAAGTAGCTAGGGAAAGATAGGGCTGTTCTTCTCTCCATACAGGTTATATGAAAAATCGATAACAACCATTATACTTAATACGGAAATATTGATAGCATTCTTTTAAAGACTAGAAACAAGAAAAATATGGCCACTATCACTACTGCTGCCGAATATAGCACTGGAGTTCCCTGCCAAGAAAGAAAGAGATCTAAGAATAGGAAGGGAAGAGCTAAAACGTATTGTTTGCAAATAATAACAAACATTTATCCAGAATCCATACATAGACCCTTAAAACTCAGAGTTCCATCAGTTTGATGGACGTGAAGACACACTGCCCCGATCCCCATTCAACGGAGAATCATTACCCCTGCTCCCGGGGTTTGACAAACCCCAGCCTTTTCAGGGATCCCCTGAGCTGCAGAGAGCTGCCTTGCCTAAGGTCAAATCCATCCCAGGATGTGACGATAAAAGTACATAAGTCAGTAAATAATAAGAGAGGTGGCTTGCATAGACTGAGTTGAAAAACATATTATGAACTTTTAACATTCTGCATTCTCAGGTTAAATAATATTTAACTTGTACAAGTACACACTGTATAGAGCCAGGATTTGAACCCAGGCTTTCTGACTTCAGAGACTAAAGTCTTAACTCCAGTGCTGGACTGCAGGATATGTTTTCCTCGCACCCAAGATCACGCATTGCATATTGATGCTTCTAAGCGTTTGCTGATTCTCACCCCAGTTCCTGGGATACACATATGCCTCCCTTTGATATACTAGACTATGTATATGTAAACAGACCCTTCAATGTCTATTGCAAGACTGACCCGTCTCTGAAATCTTCTCCTGTATCTCCAGAACACTAATTTCATCCTATACTGACCTCTCACAGCTCTCATTGTCTTGGCCACATAGTTTAGCCCTTTCTGATTTTCATTTCGGCAATTCATAAAAGACAGATTAATAACTGCCCAGCTTGTCTCATGTGGTTCCAAACCACAACCCTTTGGCAAAGAACAATGCATGTTAGATCTTCTATATTCTAACAAGGTACAATGTACTGTAGGTGTCCAAAAAACGCTCCTTGGTTTGAAATGATTACCTCTGGTATATTAATTAGTCTCACTGTCTCAGACTGAAGTTAAAGCAAAGGAAACAGAAGTGTCTGTCAAACTCAGTTCTGCTTGTCTTTCTCAAACACATGGTCAGGATTCTATAATTTCTTCCTGACCCTCATCATTTTTGACAATCTAATTTTGATTCAGTCTCTTCACAAAAGTCAGCCTACAGATAAATATGCACATATAAAGTTAGTCCAAAACTACTGACAAGTGTTTAACCAATGTAATCATGCATTCAGGCTGGACATTTTCTCATCCAGGGAAAATAATAAAGTCTTCATCCTAACGTTATTGGGCACCACATTATGCAGTACCATGCATAACCCTTTCCCTCCCACCATCTGCTCTTAGCTAGATTTCAAATAAGCCTGGCCCACTTTTTTTTTACCTGCTAAATAATTTGCTGTTTCATAGAAATGTACTAAGATTCTGAAAACTGGTTAATAAGGGTGGAAAACGATGACCATTATTTTTTTTTAAAGGAGAGAGGGTTTAGCTGCCTTCAGCTCCTTGACAGCCCACTGCAGTTGTTTCTGACTTCCATGACAAAACACAGCAGCCAAGGGGAGGCTGTGGCTGTGGATTCCTTTCTTCCTTGCTGAATTAGGAAGCCAGAAGAAATTTGTGCCTTAAACACAACCATCTGTTCTCTTCTGCACAGCCCTTTCTTCTGGACTTCAACAAGGGGGTGATGTGTTGATTCTAAGTCACATTTCAATCCAATTTCTGGTATTTCTAATCTTACTCCTCTCTGCTGAGAGTGAATTTACAAAATTGGGCCAAAGTGAGAAAGGAAATTGACAAAGGTTTGAGTCCTATTAATATTCGTAGGCTTTTTTTACTAGATTAAACCAATTCTACCAAAAAAAGAAAAACAAGTTATGCTATATTTCAGCTATGAGAAAAGTTGAATGGTTATGAATTATAGAAGGTAAATAGTACACAGAAGTACATGACATTCATTCATTCATTCATTCATTCTTCAAACCTCTGATGCATACCGTACACAAACAAGGGTCAAAATATACCTCCTTAAGTAATCTGGAATGTGAAGTATTTTGGTTGAGTTATTGCTACCAAAACAAAGAACAGCCAGCATGCACGTTCTGGTTATTCTCTTGTGAAATCTCAGCATCTCCTTCTGTGAACATCCATTCATTAACCATCCTCATTCAGTCCTTGTGCCTCCCAACTTACGGGTCAGAATTCACACAGCCACCTTCTTCAGTGTGACATCTTCTTTTGGCTTAGTATGTCTAATGAAATTCCCCTTCCTCAAGAATTCTGGACCCTAGGATAGATGGGAACAAACAGACTGTGCTTACAGAAGAAAATTGGGATTGCATTTCACTGAAGGCTGTTCTAGGCCCACAAAGAGTAACTAGAATGTAATTTTGGATTCAGTTAACAAGATTAAAACAGAACAGACAGAGTCTGTCTCTGAATATAAAGATAGGTAACATTCCAAAACTGGTTTCACCCGAGAAATTTTTTCAATAAACACCAAGAGTGGTACATAAATTAATTGTAAAATGCTGACTAATATATGTTTCCTTAACTGTAAAATGTAAAGATAGAATATGAGAATTTCAAGTGTCCCAATCAATTTTAACACTCCGTATTCATTATATGGAGACTTTGAAATGCCATCCCAAATTTACAGCACTAAATGCTTATAATAGAAAAGAAGAAAGATCTGAAATCAATGACCTCAGCTTGCACCTTATAAAACTAGAAAAAGAACAGTACGGCAGTCTTCTTTTATAGAATAGGTTCCCAGACCCGCAGTGGGTGCCTGAAACTACAGATAGTGCCAATCCCCATCGCTGTCAATCAGAACATGTTCTGTCCATGTCATCCATCAATAAATTTAATGCCTTTCCATCTTAACTAAGCACTTATCACACACTGTGGTCATAACTTTTGTAGTTTGAAATGAGACAGCAAAAGTAACACAAATTTCTTTTTCTTCACAATTTCATGGATGGAAGATTTATTCTTGTGTAAATCTTAGCAACCTCAGCATACAATTTTTGTCCTTATTAAGTTGAGAACTTTCATGTTTTCACTTAAAGGAAACACTTTACAGCTTCTCTTTGGCATATCTGAGTTGCCAGCAACACTACTTTTGTGCTTTGGAGCCATTATTAAGTCAAGTAAGGGTGACTTGGACACAAGCATGGTGAGGCCTCATTAGTGGATCTGACAACCCGTGTGGTCTACAAGTGTGACTCACAGGCAGAGAGCACCCACAGTGCAGAGACACTGGGCAAAGGGAGGATTCACAGCCAGGGCGGGATGAACCTGGATGGTGTGAGGTTTCATGTGCTGCTCAGGAAAGAATGCAACTTAAACCTTATGAATTGTTCATTTCTAGAATTTTCCTTGTAATGTTTTCAGACCATGGTTGGCTGAGGGTAATTGAAACTGTGGAAAGCAAAACTATGGATAAGGAGGACTACTATAAATTAATCCTCATGAAAGCAGAAGAAAGGAAAAAATATAAGTATTATAGTGGAAATCAAGAAAACAAAAATAGAAATACAAAAGAGAAAATCAATGAAAGCAAAAGCTGGTTGTCTGAGATCAGTAAAACTGATAAATCTCTACTCAGACCAATGGGGAAACAAATAGAGAAAAGACACTAATCATGAATATCAGGAATGAGAGATAAAAAAACATGACTCCTTCTACATATATTAAAATAATAATCAGGTAATATTATAAATGACTCTGCCAATTAATTCTACAACTTAGATGAAATGAGCAAATTACCTGAAAAAACAAACTACCAAAGCTTAAGAATAAATAGGCTGGGCACGGTGGCTCACGCCTGTAATCCCAGCATTTTGGGAGGCCGGGGCAGGCGGATCACGAGGTCAGGAGATCGAGATCATCCTGGCTAACATGGCGAAACCCTGTCTCTACTAAAAAATACCAAAAATTAGCCGGGCGTGGTGGCGGGTGCCTGTAGTCCCAGCTACTCGGGAGGCTGAGGCAGAAGAATGGCGTGAACCCAGTAGGCAGAGCTTGCAGTGAGCTGAGATTGCACCACTGCACAATCTCAGCTGGGTGACAGAAATTAAATTTGTGGTTAAAATCTTTTCACAAAGGAAACATCACATTTGGATGGTTTCACTAAGAAATTCTACCAAACATTAACAAAAAAAACACCAATTGTACACCAACTCTTCCCAAAATTGAAAAAGAGGGAATACTTTCCAACTCATTCTGATGCCAGTATTATTCTGATATCAAAAACAAGGACATTACAAGGAAAAAAAAAAACACAAACTGATATCATTCATGAACATAGATATAAGAATTCTTAACAAATTTTTAGCAAATCAAATATAAGGACATATACAATGAATAATACATCATGACCAAAGGATATTTGTCCCAGGAATCCAAGGTAGATTTAACATTTAAAAATCAATTAATAGAATTTATCATACCTACAGAAAGAGAGAGAGGAAGGGAGGGAGGGAGGGAGGAAGGGAGGGAGGGAGGAAGGAAAAGAGGAAGGGAGGGAGGGAGGGAAGGAAGGAAGGAGAAGGGAAGGGAAGGGAAGGGAGGGAAGGGAGTGAGGGAGGGAGGAGAGAGGGAAGGCGAAGAAGGGAGAAGAAAATTCACATCAACATTGCAACTGTGGAATAGATGCCAAAAAAAAAGGGTGTGAGAAACTCAAACATAAATTGATTTAAAAAGGAAAACTTTCAGCAAACTAGGAATAGCAGGAAACTTCCTCACCCCTGTAAAAGGCACCTATGAAAACTTACGGCTAGCGTTGTACTTAATGGTGAAAGACTGAATGTTTTTTCCAAGATGAATTAGGCAAACGTGTCTACTGTCACCCTTTCTATATGCAATATTGTACTGGGAAGTTCTAGCCAGCATGATAAGGCAAGAAAAAGAAATTCAGTGCATCAAAATTGCAAAATGAAAGACTGAATATGCAAATGGACAATGGTCAGACCATATATAAAAACAAAAATTAGATAACACAACAGGGTGACTAGAGTCAATAATAATTTATTATACATTTTAAAATAACTAGGAGAGTATAATTGGACTGTTTGTAACACAAAGAAAAGACAAATTCATGAGGGGATGAAGACCCCATTTACCCTGATGTAATTACTATGCATTGTATACCTGTATCAAAATATCTCATGTACCCCATAAATATACATACCTACTGTGTACCCACAAAAATTAAAAATTAAAAACAAATAGTACTCTGACCCACAAACTGTAGCAATCAGCCTGGGAAGCCAACCTACTATCTGCAGTAATGAGTCCAGGAAGGCAAACTACTGTGTAGCAGACAGCCCATAAAGCCAAACAATAACTCCTGTAGCAATCAGCACAGAACAGCCAGAATATAATGAGTAATTGACAGCTTTTCTCATATTGCTCCCACTTCCAACTTAGAACCAACTGGAAAAAAAGCCAAATATCCACCCCAAACCAGTCATGTACACTGCCCCACTTCTAGTTAACCCACCTAAAGCTTCCCCATGCCAATACCTCCAGTCAAGGCATACATGATTCCCTCTCTTTTCCACCATGAAGCTTCCCCACTCCCCTGCCTGCCTTTGAGTCTCTGTTAAACACAAATGATTGTGGCTGACTCTCTTGCTATAGCAAGCTCTGAATAAATACGCTTTGTTTGTTTTCATTTGGATGGTCTTCATTTATTTCCACAAAATAAAGAAAAAAAACTGTTTTTATTCTTAAACAACATGATTGTAGCAGTAGAAAATACAGAATCTATTTTAAAAGCTTCTAGATCTAATTGGTAGGCTAACAATGGTTTTAAAAGCTTCTAGATCTAATCAATAGGTTAGCAATGTTTCAGGATACAAGATTGATATCTAAAACCAATTGCATTGCTACATACTAGCAACACAAAATTAGAAATTGATATTTTTAAAAAGATGGATCTCATTCTGTCACCCAGAATGAATGCAGTGGTGTGATCATAGAGAATTTAAATTTTAAAGAATAACATTTATAATTTAATTGTTTAAATACCATTTATAATACTATCAGAAATATGAAATATTTGGGGATAAATCTGACAAAATATGTGCAAGACCTATACACTAAAAAATACAAAACATTGTTGAGAAAAATTGAAAACAAAAAAATTGAGAGATATATTAATACTATGGATTAAAGACTTGATATTGTTAAGATGTCAATTATCTGACAAGTTACTTACAGATTCCATGCAATTCCAATGAAAACCTCTGTAGCCATTTTTTGTAGAATTTGACAAACAGATTCTACAATGCATTTGAACATGCAAAGCACTTAGAATTGCCAAAACAACTGTGAAAGCAAAGAACAGAGATAGAGAACTTACACTACCTGCTTCAAGATTATCAAAAAGCTATGGTAATCAAGACAGTGTGGTATTACTATCAATATACACCAACAGATTAATGAAAACAGAACACAGTGGCCAGAAAGAGATTCACATTTATATGGTCAATTGATTTTGAAAAAGAAGCAAAGGTAATTCAATGGAGAAAGGCGGCTCTTTCCAATAAAAGATGCTGAAGCAACTGGATATCCATAAGCAAAAGAATTAACTTTGATCTATATCAGCACCATATTAAAAATTAACTCAAGATGGATTATAAATCTAACTGTGTAACCTAAAATAATAAAACTTCTAGAAAAAATATCCAGAACCCACTCAGGGAACAGATGTTCAGAAGGGACTGGAGGAGCATGGGATGGCATCCAGAGAGTGCAGGGGAGCACAGATGTGACCAGGTTCCAAAATCATGATGGAATAAGAGGTAACATGGAAGCGCTCCTAGGAGCTCCAAAGTACTTAAGCCTGGGAAATCCCGCTTCCAAAGCAGAGGGTTATAGTTTGAAAACAGATAACCACAGAAACTACACTGAGAGAGTAATGTACAATTTACAAAGTGATTTCATGTATACTATCAATAGCCCATCTCCTCTGATCCTCCAAAAACCCTAAGGCTCAGAGAGGCTGAGCAACCAGCCAAGGTCACACAGGTCCTTCGCCCTGGCTCATGGCTGAGTTGGGCCATCTTCTGCTCATGTAGTTCCCCACACCCACATCCAGCATTCTGCAATATAAGCTTGTTGAGGGCAGGGAATAGTCCGAATTGCTCACTGCTAGATCTCCAGAACTCAGAACATAGATTTTTTTAAATAATAGCTATTGACCAACTACGGACTCTAAGACCAGCACACTTTTCACTACACTGAGCAGCATATTCTGCCATGTTTTGTCTTAGCCTGAGAAATCGAAGCTCTCCCTTATAGCCCACAGACAAGGAAGCTATAGGAGGCCAGCCCTGTGCCCTGGTGTCCACTGGCTTGTCAATAAATTGGATAGCTATGAGCACCAGCTAACTTCATCAGGAGGGCCGCTGCACAGCAGAGGGGCCATAACTCCATGTCCGGGTGGGTTGCTTCAAAATCCACCAGTGTTGCTATCCACCCACAGCATGCAATGAGTTCACCTCTTTCTGGGATTAAAAAGACTAAAACTAGCTATGGGGTTGAAACTAGTCTGACTGGACTTTGAGGCAGAAAATACTTTTACATTAATTTTGTATTTCCTTACCTACAAAAAAATCCTATGTTTCACTTTCAATATTCTACATTTCTGTATGTGAGCTATATACTGTGAGCATATGCTGTGTTGAACCATATGAAACTACTATTTTTGTATGTGAAAAAAGGATTAAATATTGGCAATTTCATATGGTTCAACCTTATTTCTTTTATAAACTGACAAAAGTCTTGTTTTATTTTTAAAAAGGAGACTATAAATAGTTATATATTCCCTGAACTGGCCACTTTCCCCTCTCAAGTTCACTAATACTAATATAATGATAAGATTAAAAATCTTGCCATTAGCAACCAAGATATCCTTCAATAGATTAGTAGGTAAACCATGGCACATCCATACAATGGAATAGTATTCAGGAAGGAAGGAAGGAAGGAAGGAAGGAAGGAAGGAAGGAAGGAAGGAAGGAAGGAAGGGACAGAGGGAGGGAGGGAGGGAAGGGGAGGAGAGGGGAGGGGAGGGAGGAAAGGAAGGAAAGGAATGAAAGGAAGGGAGGGAGGAAGTGAAGGAAGGAAGGAAGGAAAGGGGAGGGGAGGGGAGGGGAGATGAGGAGAGGGGAGGGGAGGGGAGAGGAGGAGAGGGGAGGGGAGGGGAGGAGGTGGGGAGGGGAGGAGGGGAAGGGTAGGGGACTGGAGGGGAAGAGAGGGGAGGAAAAGAAAATAACTAAGCAATCAGGCCATGAAAAGACATAAAGAAAACTTAAATGCATATTACTAAGTACTAGAAGTCAATCTGAAGAGGCTGCATCCTATATGATACTAGCTATATAATGTTCTAAATAATGGAAAACTATGGACATGGCAAAAAGATCAGTGGTTGCCTGAGGGGTGTGGGGATGGTGAATAGGCAGAGCACACAGGATTTTTCAGCTGGGGAAACTGCTCTGTATGATACTGTGATGGTGGATACATATTATGTACTTGTCAACACTCATCAAAGATATAACACAAAGAGTGAGCCCTGAGCGCAACAGTGGGCTTTGGGTGATAATGATGTGTCCATGTGGGCTCATTAATTGCAGCAAATGTGCCATACTAATGCAAGATATTAATAACAGAGAGAAACCGTGGTGAGAGGGGGGTACATGGGTACTTTCGCTCAATTTTTTGTAAACCTAAAACTGAGCACAAAAATAAGTCTGTGAATTTAAAAATACAGAAACAAAAAACAAACAAACAAACAAAACCCTACTTTGCCTTTCATTGCCAGGTAAGAAGACTGAAGGACAGTTGAGAGAAGGCACAGAATAGGCCGTGTGCCCCTGGAGGGGGAATGCCATCTTTCGCTGTCCACACAAGGAGGAAGACAAGTTCCAGAGCCACGCTCCATCGATTTTCCAATCGGGCAAGGGCTGACCTTTCTTTCCTAATAGCATGATTTAACAACAGCCTTGAAATCCTTTTGCGAATTTGCTGCTTCCTTTCAAGCGTTACAAATTTTCCATTTGGGGGTGTTTCTAAAGCTCTCGTGATGTTTAATCTCATCTCCAAGTCATGCCGAAAAGTCCAACGCTTGCGAACATTTCCAAGTAAAATGAATTGCTCATGACAAGTAATGTCCCCAATGTTTTCAAACCTGCTGGTCTGTGAGGACCAGAGCCACTGATTTGTATCTATGTCGTTTGTCTAAGCCCTGAAGTTTCTCAAGGTTGAGGGGTCCCCTGAGGTGTGACATCTGTAATTACAATCCATCTGAATTCCTCTTGTCACCTTCTTCAGGAAAAGTGTGACGGACTCGCCCCTCCTTGGGATCTCTTAGTAGAAGCACATATTTGTGTATTTTCTGCCCCAGATCTGTACACTCCTCAAGGACATATGCAAGCTCCCTTCTGTGGAAAACAAAGCATGTTTATTTCTCCCCACCCGCTGGTATTCTCATTCAGTTAAGCAGAATGTCCACTTTCACCAAAGAGAATTTCCCTTGCAATTAGTTCTTTGCCAGCTGCCTTAGGAGACATCAAAAGGCAATTTTTTTAATGTTTTTTTTGGAAATTTTTGAACTCAAACATAAATATCATTTAATCAAATGCACTGATGCATTAGTGTTGATGCATAATGTGGTGCAGAACTCGGATAACAAGCCTCACTTTCTTACAGGGTAAGATGCTTTTAGGAAGAACTGACTTCATGCACATGGATGAGAAATAGCTTGTTGGCACCATAAGCTACAGAGACTCCATGGGCATTTGGAGGCATCAGAATCTCCCCTGACTCAGACATGGAGTTACCCAACACACCATATAGCACTATGTGTCTTGGTTCTGACTACTCATTGAAACCTAGGGCACCCAGAAAGGAAACACACTACATTGCATTTCACAAAGTCTTTCTCCAGCCAGATGACTCCAGGCACTCTCTACAGAATAGCCCACAGTCCTGCTTCTCTATCAGCCTTCTTCCGGGGGAGTTTACTTGGGCTTGGTGTTGCCTCCCTGTCTTAGGGATGGGGGAAAGACAACTACAGAAGAAATGAAGCCCAACAGCAGAGCACGTGGCCTGGTGCAGGAAACCGCAGGGCAGCGTGGTCTGGGTTTTAGCTCATTGATGCTGTGAGACACACACAGTCCCGCTGCCTTTCTAACTCTCCTTTCCCCAGTGGACACAGGTATTCCCAGGTCAGGCATGTCCCTCCCCTGTGGATCAGTTTTCTCCTCTCTGGGTCTTTGTCTCAGCTGGGGACACAAACGGCCAGCTGTCATCGTCAAGGGGTTGTGCTTTTGTGTGGCAATGATTGCGTTCATGTGAAGACAAGGGCTTACAGGTGGCGGGGGAGGGTGGGCATTGGGCAAAAGTGGCAAATGGAATCTCATTTTCCTGACAGCAGAGGAGGACTAGATGGCCCTGGAAGCTCAGAAGAGGGAGGGTGACAGATGCAGAAACACTCTGTCTTAGCTTAGGAACCTAAGACAAAGCCTCAGAAGTCCTCTCTGCACCTTTATTTCTCCACTTACCAATGTCTCATCAGCAATGCTATTCTATGATCCTGGCATTATGGTATAACTCCCCAGACCCTAGTCTAATCACACATCTA
Organism: Homo sapiens; assembly: GCF_000001405.40. Lineage (NCBI taxonomy): Eukaryota > Metazoa > Chordata > Mammalia > Primates > Hominidae > Homo > Homo sapiens. The sequence goes on from NC_000008.11 coordinate 40,795,147, forward strand.
CTCTGGACTTAGCCCTTACCTTGAAAGCCCTAACCTTGAGTCCATGTTTATAGCCAAGCATCCGATCATTGCAGCTGATTTGGGGGCAAACCTCCAAGAACAGTTGTGGCCAATGGTTTGCACACTCACGTGAAACACCCATGCAAAGAGGCCCTGGCACACCTGACTCCTAAAGACACAAATACAAACCTCACGAGGTCTGTCCATCAGGCAGCCAAGGACACGAATTAAAAGCTGTACTGGATCCTTATGAATACCATGATCACCAGACCATGAGACTGTTTTTTAGTGCAATTTCTGGCCAACATAGTTAAGTCCAGAATTTACAGTTACAGAAATTCAATTCAGAGCCTAGGCTGTCCCTAGGCTGAGAGGAGAATTTAGTATGACACCTGCTTCCTCCCTGGGGGCTCCTTTTATGTTTTGACTGGCTGTACTGATGCATCAGTTGGGAAACTGCTCTCATCAGTGGAGTGGAGTATTGATTTAAAGGTCTGAGACTCAGGAACTCAGGATATAAACTTTCAATCCCCAGATTTATTTTATACTATCCGTTGCATTAATGTTGCATATAAAAATTTCTCCATACTTTATAATCAACATTTTCCGTTCTGCAAATTGCAAACCGATGACATTCTTGAGCATCCAAAGGGATGTTTTATATTCCATTCACTACCACCACAAGCATCATAGCATTTAGCCAAGACACTGCCTAGACCAGTTTTGGTCCCTTCCTGTTACAAAATGAACCTGAAAAGCAAAAGAAGTGCTTAAAATATACCATCACAGCTTCTTAATTTTCCACACTTTCTTCTTTGTTCTTCTTTCCCACTTTCTTCTCACTCAGAGTCTTCAATAGCAACTCTGGTGTGTGAAGAGATAGAGAATAGCAACTCTGGTCTGTGAAGCCCCTCCTCAGAACAACCCAGCTCTCCCCCTCTGGCTGACTCTCAGGGGCTGACGCAGCTACAAAGAAAGGGGACGTTTCCGCTCCATATTTAACCGGCCTTGAAAGCCTGTATATCAACAGATACCCAGTGTGCATCCACAGCGCCCATGCACCTAACAGCAGGCTCCAAGAGGCTCCCCAGGGAGAGGAAACCGGCCCCACCGTTGTCTGCTCTGCTTAAACATGACACTCACCTCAAGGCATATCGCCTGCCATGCCACATTTTCCTTCCCAATAAATGACCCTGGCATGATTTACTCAGATCAGTACTGAAAAATGAAAACAAAAAAACATTGATATTTCATGTCAGGGTGCTTCTTTTTGTGTATTTAGCAGAGGAGGAGAAAAGCACTTGAGGAAGGAACAGAGCAAGTGCTGAAGTCAGCAACTCGCCAAGTGGCTGTCTGCTAACCAGAACCCTTGAATCTCACCCAGCTCTTTATCACTGTCTCTGTGGTATTTAAAGAAAAGAAAGAAAGAAAGAAAAACTTTCAAAACTGCAGACCTACAGTTCTCCCTTAAATGCACTACTTAGAATGATATCTCTTTCCCTCCCCGGCTCCGCCCCGCACAGCTGCTGCAGAGACTGGAGAGGTGAAGGTGCCTGGAATTGCAAGTCTGAAACATTTTTCACAGTATTCCCTTTTGCTTCTTCATCAGATCTAGTCTGGAATTCTTTCCCCTTTCAGTCAGAGGTCACCTTGTTTTCTCTCTTTCTTCTGAGTGTCAGGGAAACTGCAAGAAGTCCCAGAACAGAAAGCCACCTGCTGTGCTCGGAGATCTCATCTCCTTCCCAGGGCAGGATCCATGCAGCACAAGGCCTTCCAGCCCCATAACTGGCTAACTGGCCCCTCCTTAGCCAGTTCGCCTGATCTTCACCTCCAGGGGCCACAGGCAGGGAATCGCCCCTGGTTAGCTTTCCAGACTCACTCCCCTCACTCTGTGCTCCAGCAAAGCTACACTGCACACCATTTCCATGCACTCAGAGCTCTGAGCTTTTGTGCCATCCACCTGGAGTGTCCTTTTCCCCTTGTCTAACCACTGAACCCTCATTCACTCTGCAGATCCCACCTCCCAGTGCCTCTGTGAATCCGGGCCTGTCCACCACACCACATCCTACTCCACTAGCCACTAACACCAAAAAAAGCACCAGCACCTGTCTGAGCAGTGTGCCTCTGCCGGTGCACTTAGGGCCACTTGAGTGATATGACACTTGTGCCTCACACATTAATCTCTGGCCTCAAGGAGCTCCATGCCATTACCCAGACAGTGCCGACATTACTGCCCATCCTGCGTGCTGGGCCCCAGGCTCAGTGCTTGGCACATTCTAAGAGCCCAATACATCCTTACTGAATTAAAGAGATCACAATTGAACTCAACTGCATTGTCACCTGTCCTTTAACCTCAGACAGTGAAGGGGAGGGGGAGTGAGTGACAAGACTAAGGACGGTGGTATTTGGAGAATTTGCAAAATAACAGGGCCCAGATATTGTAGCTGTGCACATTACAGGACTTCCATGAGCTACAATTTCCTCTAAGGAACAGCATGCAAAATTGAGATATCTACCACTTGACAGGTCATCGGAAGAAAGAAATGACAGGATGCACAGAAAGATTGGTACAGCACTCGGTCCTCAGTAAATGGAAATGTTGCCACCAGTAAGCTTATCAGGCAGGGGATCTGTCGACAGGTCACAGTCTCCTCACCTGCAGCATCCCCCATTTTGAGGTAGCTGTGTTGAACATTAGAACATGCACTAGGACAGGCAGCCTTTGGATATGGGGCAAGACCTTGAATTCCAAGTCAGAACCCTCTAAGGAGTGAGCCAGGCAATTAAGCCAGGGCACTGAGGGGCTGGCAGGTAAGGCAAGGTCCTAGGGAGGCAGTATCAGGTGTCCATGCCCTTCACTCTTCTCCAGGGTCTTCACTGCTCCACCAGGCACAGCCCAGCTTCCTAGCAGGGGAAGCAAGAGGGCACAGTATGTCGCCAAAGAACTGGGTGCAGGGGGAACCTCTACTTCAGGCTAAGCGGTCAGGCTCCTCACTGGCTTTTTCCTGCATCTCCTTGTGATCTAGGAAAGTCTTCAAAGAACTGGAAATCCACACACAAACCAGAGCAGATATGCTCAGGGTCCTGATCTGCAAGTTAATGATCTGCACACATCTCGGAAAGAACTTTCTGATGTTCTCTTCCTCCTCCCCTGGCAAACATTTATCAAGCTCCACAGTAGAATGTGTTCTTGCTGACTGGCATCGCTCTGTTCCAAGGTCCCAATGCCAGGCTCTTTAATGTATGACAACCCACAGCAGGCAGGACATCTTATTTTTCAAGCCCCGCTTGTAGGTTTTATGAGAAAAGACGTTGCTGAAAAGCAGAAAAGAACACTAGAAACCAATAAATACCTCTTACTCCCTGACTGATTCCACTGTGAAGAGCTGCCTTGACTTTCCATATGCTGCATAAATCCACCCCACTTTAGAGCCACAGAGGTCCCTGCTGATGCTCCTGGTAGTCCTGATCACTTTCAACTTCTGTTGGCTCTGACAGAAGAAAACTTCATTGACAAAGTGGATAATTCTTACCTGCTTTCCCAGAGCAGCACTCGGCTGAGATTAATTTCCCTCTGCCTTTATTGCTATTGCTACTATTTCTCAACATTACTTCCTAAGGCTTCGACCTAGATCGACACAGGGTTCTATCAGTAAATAAAACGATGGTTAAACCTGAAGGCAGTTTTAGCAGCATACAGACTTTCCTCCACCTCTCTTCTCTACTCCAAGTTTTTGAACTGTGTTTCTAGCCATTGGAAGGGGCTTTTTTCAGGCCAGTCCCCTCAATTGGGACATATTCCCAGCTGGCCTTACCTTTAGCATCCTGCCTAGCTTCTCTCTTGCTGTGTCTGTCTGTGTGTCCATTTCCATCTTGATAAATAGATAGAAGGATAGATGGCTGGCTGGCTGGCTGGTTGGCTGGCTGGCTGGCTGGATGGATGGATGGATGGATGGATTAATAGAGAGAGAGAGAGACAGAGAGAAGGATAGATGGCTGGCTGGCTGGCTGGATGGATGGATGAATAGAGAGAGAGAGAGACAGAGAGAAGGATAGATGGGTGGATGGATGGATGGATGGATAGATAGATGGATGGATGGAGACAGATAGAGAGAGAGGGAGACAGATAGAGAGAAAGAGAGACAGATAGATATCCAAAACTATATTTAGATATCAATGATGTTTAGATAGTTTAAAACTGTTTCTGTTCCTGTCTGTCCGTCTCTCTCACTCTTTCCCTTTCCGTTCTGATATGTGTAGACAGAGACAGACAAAAGCAAAGACAGAAAAAGAAAGACTAAGGTTTTTTCTTTATTCCAAATTTAAAGATTTGTGCCTCTTTACATTGGAGTTTTATCCTGAGGGCTCTGAGGGCTCTCTGAAGGGTTTTCCATTTGAATGCACAAAATAAAGGCAGATATTTTAAAAATTTAAAACAATTTTTAAAATGTAAAGGAAAATAAAAAAGGTCAGAAACTCAGATCTGCATAAAGTCAGGAAGAGCATGGTTGAGGGTAAAATAAAAGAATTTTTTTTCTAATTGATCTAACAGATAACAATTTGTTCAAAATAATAATAGCAACAATGTATTCAATTGTATAAGTATGTATAAGTGAAATGAATGAAAGCAATAAAACAAGGTAAAGGAGAAAGGGATTAGGACCATTTTGATATTATGAGATACACCAACCATGAAGGGGTATAGTGCTATTTGAAAGTAGACTTGGATTAGTTGTAAGTGAATATTATGAACTGTAGTCCAGGCAATAAAAAGAGTAAAAAATAAGAATAACTAATGTGTTAATAAAGGAGAGAAAATGGAATCATATAAAATGCTCAATAGAAACCAGTGCAAAATAAAAACAGAAACAAAAAGCAAGGGCAACAGATAGAGAACAGTAACAAATATATTAGATATTAATCTAACTACAGTCATTTGCTGCATGGCAGCATTTGAGTCAACGATGGACCACACGCCCAAGAAAAGTTATCAAGGATAAAAAGAGGTATTATGTAATGATAAAGGGCTAATTCTCCAAGAAGACATAACAATCCTTAAAGTGTATAGACCTAATAACAAGGCGTCAAAACACATGAGGTAAAAACTGATAGAACTTCAAGGAGAAATAAACGAAGCTCTTACTATGCTTGGGCACTTCACCACATCTCTATCCAAAATGGACAAAGCCAAAAAGCAGAAACTAATAAGAAAGAACATAAACACAACACCATTAATCAATGGAATATAATGGATATCTATAGACTATCTCATCCAACAACAGCAGAATACACATTCTCAAACTTATTTAGGACATGCATCAAAATAAGCCACATTCTGGCTTTAAAACACCCCTTAACAAATTTAAAATAATAAAAATCATAATAGAAATAATAGAAATCACTATCAGTTCTCAAACCACAGTGGAATTAACCTGGAAATCAATAACAGAAAGATAGTTTAAAAATCCCAAAATACTTGGAGATTAAACAATACACTTCTGAATAACACATGGGTCAAAAAAAACTCAAGAAACACTTTAAGATATTTTGAACCAAATGAGAATAAAAACACAACTTAAAATTTGTGAGATGCAGTAAAGCAGTGTTTAAAGCAAAATTCATGGCATTGAATGCATACATCAGAAAAGAGGAAAAAATTAAAATCAATCACATAAGGTTTTAACTCAGAAAACTAGAAAGAGAAGAAAAAAATTAAATTCAAAGCAAGCAGATGAAAATAAATAAAATTAGAAACAGAAAATTATAGAGAAAATTATCACAACCAAATGCTCATTCTTCGAAAACATGAATAAAATCAATAAGCCTCAAGCAAAGCTAAGAACAAAAAAGAGATGACACAAATTACTAATATCAGAAATTAAAAAGGGAACATTACTACAGGTCTCATGAACATTAAGGCAATAATTTAAAAATGCCATGAAAAATTCTATGTCCAAAAATTTAATAACCTAGATGAAATGGGACCAATTTCTTAAAAGACACGATCTGACAAAAGTCACACAAGAAGAAATAGATAATGTTAATAGGCCTATATATATTAGAGAAATTGAATTAATAATGGCCTTCCAAAACAGAAAGCACCAGACGTAAATGGGTTCACTAATGACTTCTACCAAATATTTTAGGAAAAATTATACCAATTCTCTATGGTGTCTTTCAGATGATACTTTCTTTAAAAAAAAAAATATATATATATATATATATACATATATATATTCGGTGGGGTGCGGTGGCTCACGCCTGTAATCCCAGCACTCTGGGAGGCTGAGGCAGGCAGATCATCTGAGGTCAGGAGTTCGAGTCAAGCGTGGCCAACATGCTGAAACCCTGTCTCTACTAAAAAATACAAAAAATTAACTGGGTGAGGTGGTGCACACCTGTAATCCCAGCTACTCAGGAGGCTGAGGAAGGAGAATCACTTGAATCCAGGAGGCAGAGGTGGCAGTGGGCTGAGATCGCACCATTGAACTCCAGCCTGGGCAACAAGAGCGAAACTCTGTCTTAAAAAAATAATAATAACAATTTCAATAATTCCATAAGCTGCTTTTTAACTCCTTCTATGAGGCCAGCATTACTCTAGTACCAAAATCAGAAAACAGTATTATAAGAAAAAGAAAACTACAGACCAATATCTCCTATGAACATAGATGCAAAATTTTCCAACAAAATATTAGCAAATTAAATCCAACAATGTACAAAATAAAGGATACACCACAACCAAGTGAGATTTGAAGTATGCTAGACTGGTTCAACATTTAAAAATCAATTAATGTAATCCGTTGCATCAACGGGCTAAAGAGAAAAAAAAATCGCATGATCTATTAAAAGATGCAGAAAAAACATTTGACAAAATCCAACACCCATTCATGTTATGAACTTTCAGTAAAATAGGAATAGAGAAACATTTTCTCAATATTATAAAGAACATCTACAAGAAACCTTCAGCTAACATCATACATAACAGTGAGGAATTCAAATCTTTCTTGCTAAGATCAGAAAAAGACAAGAATGTCTCCTCTCACCACTGCTTTTCAGCATCGTACTGAAAGTCCTAGCTAATGCAATAAGGAAAGAAAAGGAAATAAAAGGTATACCTTTTGGGAAGAAAGAAATAAAACTATCCTTCTTCACAAATGACATGATTGTTTTTATAAAAGATCTCAAAGAATCAACAAAATGGCCCCTAGAATTCATAGGTGATTATAGCAAAGTCACAGAATACAAGGCTAGTATATAAAAGTCTATTATTTTTCTATAACCAACAGCAAGTGAAATTTGAAATCAAAATGCAATACTATGAATGTTAGCACACAAAAACTTATTTATAAATATAATAAAATATGTATAAGATCTATATAAGAAAAACTGTACAATTTTGATGAAGAAAATCAAAGATGAACTAAATAAATAGAGAGATATTCCATGTTCATGGATAGAAAGACTCAAGATTGTCAAGGCATCAGTTCTTCCCAATTTATTCTATAGATTCAATTCAATCCCAATCAAAATCTGAAAAAGTTATTTTGTGGATAACTTTGAATCAATTTAGAAATTGATTCTACAGTTTAGACAGAGAGGCAAAAAACCAAAATAGCCAACTTAATATTGAAAAAGAAGAACAGTCAGAGGACTGACACTACGTGACTTCAAGATTTGCTACAAATCTACAGTAATAAAGACAGTTTGGTATTGGTGAAAGAATAGACAAATTGACCAATGGAACAAAATCAAAAGCCCAGAAATAGACCCACATAAATAGAGTCAATTGATCTTTGACAAATGAGCAAAGGCAACACAATGAAGAAAAGAGTATGTTCAACAAATGGTGCTAGAACAACTGGACATCCACATACACAACAAAAATGAATCTAGACATAGACCTTACATTCTCCACAAAAAGGAACACAAAATGAGCCACAGACCTAAATTTAAAATATACAACTATGAAATTTCTAGAAGATAATACAGGAAAATATCTAGATGACCTTGGGACCAGTGATAATTTTTTAGTTGCAACACTGTAGGCATGATCTATAAAAGAAAAAATTGACAAGCTGGGCTTTAATAAAATTAAAAATTTCTATTGTGTGAAAAACATTGTTGAGAAAATGAAAAGGCAGCCAAAGATTGAGATAAAATATTTGCAAAATATTTCTGCTTCTGTCTTAATTCCCTACCCAAAAGATAAAGGACTGTTATCCAAAATATGCAAAGAACTCTTAAAACTCAACAAGAACACAACCCCACTAAAAAATGGGCCAAAGACCTTAAGAGACACCTCACCAAAGAAGGTACACAGGTGGCAAATAAGCATATGAAAAGATGCTCCATATCAGAAGTCATCAGGGAACTGCAAATTAAAATAACAATGAGATACCACTACATATTACAATGGCCAAAATCCAGAACACTGACAATAGTATTGGATGTGGAGCATCAGGAGCTCTCATCATTGCTGGTGGAGATGTAAAATGGTACAGCCACTTTGGAAGACAATTTGGCAGTTTCTTACAAAACTAACCATACTCCTTCCATATAATCCAGAAATCACACTCGTTGGTATATAGCCAAAGGAGTGAAAAACTTGTGCCCACAAAAAAAGCCTGCACACGAATATTTATAGCAACTTTATTCATAATTGCCAAAACTTGGAAGCAACCAAGAGGCCCTTCAGTAGATGAAGGTATAAGCTGTGGGACATCCAAACAATGGACTATTATTCATCACTAAAAAGAAATGAACTATCAACCCATGAAAAGACATGAAGGAAACTTAAATGCAGCTTGCATTTACTACATTTAAGAAGCTAATCTGAAAAGGCTGCATAATGTATGATTCCAACTATATGACATTCTAGAAAAGGCAAAACTAAGGACACAGTAAAAAGATCAGTGGTTGCCAGGAATTAGTGGGGAGCAAGGGATGAACAGACAGAACACAATGGATTCTTAGGGAAATACAGTTACTCTGTATGATACTATAATCCTAGACACAAATCATTATACATTTGTCCAAACCCATAGAATATATAACACCAAAAGTGAACCCTGAGGTAAACTATGGACTCTGAGTGATAATGATGTAAGTCAATGTAGGTTCATTACTTTTAACAATGCACCTCTATGGTGGGTGATGTTGATAATAGGGGAGGCTGTGCATGTGTGGGGCAGGGGATACATGAGAAATCTTTATACCTTTCAGTCAATGTTGCTGTGAACTAAAACTGTCCTAAAAAAAAGGAAGTCCATTTTGAAAACAGAACCACAACATATCTGGGAAATGGATAAATCAGTCAATCTATCTATCTAATGATCATCTTCATAATCTTAATTGTTGGTTGACTGACTTTGGAGATTATTGGCACAAAAGCAATTTTAAAATATTAAGACCAGGCCAGGAGCGGTGGCTTACTCCTGTAATCCCAGCACTTTGGGAGGCCAAAGTGGGCAGATCACCTGAGTCGGGAGTTTGAGACCAGCCTGAACAACATGGAGAAACCAGGTCTCTCTGCTAAAAATACAAAATTAGCTGGGTGTGGTGGCGCATACCTATAATCCCAGCTACTTGGGAGGCTGAGGCAGGAAAATTGCTTGAACCCGGGAGGTGGAGGTTGCAGTGAGCCGAGATCGGGCCATTGCACTCCAGCCTGGGTGACAGAGTGAGACTCTGTCTTAAAAAAATAATAATAATAAAATAAAATATTACGACCAAAAAGGAGTAACTGAGTAGTAGGCTCAGATATACTATAATATCGTTTAAACCAATATTTCTCAAGTGTAAGCAAAAAAAAAAAATTCTAGAGCTTCTGCACAGCAAAACAAACTACCATCAGAGTGAACAGGCAACCTACAAAATGGGAGAAAATTTTCGCAACCTACTCATCTGACAAAGGGCTAATATCCAGAATCTACAATGAACTCAAACAAATTTACAAGAAAAAAACAAACAACCCCATCAAAAAGTGGGCGAAGGACATGACTCAAAAGAAGACATTTATGCAGCCAAAAAACACATGAAAAAATGCTCACCATCACTGGCCATCAGAGAAATGCAAATCAAAACCACAATGAGATACCATCTCACACCAGTTAGAATGGCAATCATTAAAAAGTCAGGAAACAACAGGTGCTGGAGAGGATGTGGAGAAATAGGAACACTTTTACACTGTTGGTGGGACTGTAAACTAGTTCAACCATTGTGGAAGTCAGTGTGGCAATTCCTCAGGGATCTAGAACTAGAAATACCATTTGACCCAGCCATCCCATTACTGGGTATATACCCAAAGGACTGTAAATCATGCTGCTATAAAGACACATGCACACGTATGTTTATTGAGGCATTATTCACAATAGCAAAGACTTGGAACCAACCCAAATGTCCAACAAAGATAGACTGGATTAAGAAAATTTGGCACATATACACCATGGAATACTATGCAGCCATAAAAAATGATGAGTTCATGTCCTTTGTAGGGACATGGATGAAATCGGAAATCATCATTCTCAGTAAACTATCGCAAGAACAAAAAACCAAACACCGCATATTCTCACTCATAGGTGGGAATTGAACAATGAGAACACATGGACACAGGAAGGGGAACATCACACTCTGGGGACTGTTGTGGGGTGGGGGGAGGGGGGAGGGATGGCATTGGGAGATATACCTAATGCGAGATGACGAGTTAGTGGGTGCAGTGCACCAGCATGGCACATGTATACACATGTAACTAACCTGCACATTGCGCACATGTACCCTAAAACTTAAAGTATAATTAAAAAAAAAAGTTTTCACAAGAACAAAATTCTCAAAGATCTGATGAACCTTGTCTGAGAAAAAATAACAATAATCTCATCTTATTCTAGAAAAAATATATCTTAATTGTTATCACGAAAAAGGGGAACATTTCATCTTTATACCTGGTAAAATACGTGCATTAAGAATTATTTAAAAACCAAAACGGTAAAGGTCTAAAAGAATTTGTAGAATGTCAAAGTTATACCCAGTTTGAGAAACAGCATTTGCAACTTTTTGCATGTGGGCAGTTCGATCCACAGTGTGAATACTCACTGGGGCACTTGGAGTTTCAAACGTCTAAACCTCTATGGAAGCAAACACCTAGCATCACATCATAGTTTTCCTTTGTTTCTTTCTCTTTTTCTTTCTTTTTAATTAAGGCCATTAGCAATGACTTTATTTCTTAATGACATGGATGTGCAGCTCCTCATGATCACACATATGAAAAATGTCCAAATACAGAAAAGCAATGCTTCCTAAAGTTTGGCTTTGGGCAGCCTTCATTCTCAGACATGTGCTGCCATAAACAGAGCTTTGCTCTGTATACGAAACAACCACATTTCGTTTTTAATTATTAAATATATTATGTATACAGAGCTACTCTACCAAAAAACACAGGCAGTTCTTTATATTATTTTCACATTTCATTGAATAGAGAATAAGTCAAGTTGTATTTTCTTTCTCACCAAGTCATCCTAAATCTCTGTGATGGACGGCACATATTTATGCATCTGTATTGCTACATACATCCTTCTCATTTGTGTGGATGTCATTTCTGCTTCTGTCTTAATTCCCTACCGAAAATGAGTGCAAGATTTTTGATGTGTTTTTTTAAAATCTAGAATCCCCATAGAGGAGAAAATAGAAGCTATTATGGTACATTTACACAGTGTAGATGTTCAAAAATATGTTGGGATAATAAATGCAGGCACACATCACAGTTGTTTATCACCAGGCTCCAAACTTAGAAGAAAACGCTCAGAAATAGCTGCAAGTCACCCACCTTTAGGATCTTATGCTATTTGGCTGACCTAAATATAAGAACATTAACCAGTGTATCTTTCTGTGTACCACTGTCAGAAAAACAAGCAGAAGGAACTTGCAGTTTCCCAGAGTGAATATGCCCAGAGAGCAAGATAAAACTCTCTTGGGCAGGGGGAGGTAGTGGGGTGAGGACAAAAAAAAAAAAAAAAAAGTCAGCCGGGCACAGTGGCTTATGCCTGTTATCTCAGCACTTTGGGAGGCTAAGGCAGGTGGATCACCTGAGGTCAGGAGTTCAAAACCAGCTTGGTCAACATGGCAAAACCTCGTCTCTGCTAAAAATACAAAAATTAGCCGGGCATGGTGGTGGAAGCCTGTAGTCCCAGATACTCAGGAGGCTGAGGCAGGAGAATCTCTAAGAACACCAGGAGGAGAAGGTTGCAGTGAGCTGAGATTGTGCCACTGTACTCCAGCCTGGGTGACAGAGCGAGACTCTGTCTCAAACAAAACAAAACAAAAGTCCCTCTTGAATTCTGGAGTCAAATCTAAGTGGCTATGGATGATCTAAGTGTTCCAAGTCCTCAAAGATGAAAGAAATAACCCTGGATCTTACAAGCCGGCATGGCTCTTTATTTTTATGAAACAGACTATGTACCTCTCTGCCACATTCACATTTTAGCTACAGGATTGCTTTTCTGAGCAAACACATTTTGGTCTTTCAGGTGCTAATACAGTAAATATTATCTCATATTCCTTCACTGAGAAAACATTTCATGAAAAATTCTAAATGCCATAGAGGCACAGTGACTTCATTAATTTCAAAACTTTGTTTCCTCCTCAACAGGATTAGAAAATTGATTAGTCCATAATTAGCATCACCAATATCAATTATCTCAGCAATGCCAAGGAATTCCAAAGACATTTAGGTTCTTAAAATACTAGAGGCAAGGCATACTGTGCTTTTTCAGTGCCTTCAGCAAATTCAGCATTTGATTTTTATAATTATTTCTTCAAACATGGTCTTGCCTTCCCAGTGCACATAGTGTCAAAGAAAACTGACTTGATTAATTCTGTGCACAGTGACACAATCAGATTGAAACACTTTTTAAACTAGGAAAAATGCATTATCATATAGCTTATTATTATATGGATTTTGATAGGGTACAGGTCAAATTATGTCTCTGGATCATCATAATTATATAGATTGAAAAGCAGACACGAGGCAATAACAGCCCACAGGGCAGAGGTTAAACAGGTCACTAGCAAAATAAAAAGGATACACTATAATACTTTCCTTTCCCTTCATTTAAGAAAATAATTTTTTTTCTTTAGATCAAAGGAAACTACTATGAGAACACCTGAAACAATAAAGGTTTCAATAAAGAATGTTACAGCACTTTGCAAAGAAAATGTGGTAATGAAAATGCAGCTTAAGGGTGAATTTGGAAAAAAAAAAGACAGCATATTTTGGCTTTTTATTACAGGATATTTAAGAGACAGCTTGGCAATAAATGTTAACATCTTTCTAACGGTTGACAATGCAGTAGTATAAAGCTGAAAACTCACCTTGACTTATTGACACAGCTAGTTTTAAGTTACATTGCTCATTCCCAGAGGAACTGCACCACACTGCAAAAAAAAAAAAAGTGCTGAGCTTCACTCAATAAATGGAGGTAGGTGTGAGCTCCCGTTACATGGTCACATTAGACATCTTCACTCAGGGGAGGTAACAAGAAAGAGAGGGAAAGAGCAGGCAAATCAGTGAAGAGGAAGAAAAAAAAAAGAAATGTGAAGAAGGAAAAAGAGGATGTCAGAGAAAATCTCCAATAAGATGCCAACTATCCTGGATGCCAACTAATGTTAAAAACTCGCCTCTGGTAAGATGCTTATCCTGGATGCCAACTATTTAAAAAAAAAAAAAAACTATTCCCGAACTCTTTCTATGTTGAGACACAGAAAGGATAAAAAGTAATTAAAGGCATTTGGTAGAATGATTTACTTTCCTTTGGGTATATACCCAGTACTAGGACTGCTGGGTCGATTATTCTGTCAAAAAGACACATACACTAGTATGTTCACTGCAGCACTATTTACAAAAGCAAAGACATGGAATCAACCTAAGTACCCATCAATGGTGCATTGGATAAAGGAAGTGTGGTACATACACAGCATGGAAAGCCATAAAAAAGAAAAAATTGTGTCCTTTGCAGAAACATGAATGTTGCTGAAGGCCATAATCTTAAATAAATTAATGCAGGAACAGAAAACCAAATACTTCATGTTTTCACTTATAAGTGGGAGCTAAACACTGAGTACACATGGACATAAAGATGGGAACAATGGACATAAAGATGGGATCAACAGACACTGCTGACTACTGGAGAAGGAGGGAGAGGGTCATGGGTTGAAAACCTACCTGTTGGGTTCTATGCTCACTACCTGGGTGATGGGATCCATACCCTGGACCACAGTATCATGCAATATACTCATGTAACAAACCTGTACATGTATCCTCAGAATCTCAAATACATCTTGATATTATTTATAAAAAAAGAAAAGAAATTAAAGGCATGGCTTTTGTTCTCAACATGATTACAATTTAGTTAAAAGACTAATGATTAAACCTTGACAAAATAATGGAAAGAAAAAACATAGTTTTAAGAATCAAATCACACAACAATTATGTGTGTTCTCATGGTTTATATGTTTATTAAGTTACCTTTCTCTGAAATTTTAATATAGAAATTGGTTTAAAATTGAATAGATAGATAGATACCCCTGCTTTAAGATAAGATGACTTGATACTATAAAAATATTGTTGCTGGGTGCAGTGGACCACACCTGTAATCCTAGCACCTTGAGAGGCTGAGGTGGGCAGATCATTTGAGGTCAGGAGTTCAAGACCAGCCTGGCCAACATGGTGAAACCCCATCTCTACTAAAAATACAAAAATTAGCTGAGCATGGTGGCGGGCACCTGTAATTCCAGCTACTTGGGAGGCTAAGGCACAAGAATTACTTGAACCAGGAGGCAGAGGTTGCAGTGAGCCAAGATCACACCACTGCACTCCAGCCTGTGTGACAAGAGCTAAACTCCGTCTTAAAACAAACAAACAAACAAACAAAATATATATATACACACACATGCACAAACATGCACACACATACATATATATGTGTATATGTATGTATATAATATATATGCATGTGTGTGTATGTATATATTCATTGTCTTTAAATTAATTCTTAAACTTGAAGAAATTCCAATCAAGATTTCCAATGGATTTGCGGACTTCTTCAAGTATTCACATGGATTCAAAAGCATACACTAAACAAATAGCTAAGTCAACTCTACAATAAAAGAAGATAGATACGTGATTTGTCCCTCTCAGATATTAAAGCACAGTAACTAAATACAGTAAAGACTGACCAAGATCAAGAAAATTAAATTCATAAAGCAGAAGAAAAGGATCTGATTCAGACTCATGCACATGTGGGAATTAACACACAGCAAAGTGATACCCCAAATTACAAGGAAAGAACGAATTGTAAATGGTGGTAGGAAAACTGGCTCACCACATGGAAGAAAATCAAAATGGATTTCTACCTTATGCAATATTTAAAGGTAAGCTCCAAACAGAGTTAAAAATATGAATATGAAAAATGGAAGTGTCAGATTAATTATAGTATACTTAATATTTTTTGATCTAATAGTGGAAAGGGCTTCTTAAACAAACTGTAGAGCAAAATGTTTACTAAATTGATCACATAAAATGGAAAAGCTTAAAAGTAACAAAGGGCACCATGAGCAGATATAACAGGAAGATGACAGAATGGGAGAAGATAGTTACAATGTATAAATTCAACAAGGAATATAGGAGGAAATAAAAAGAATACAAGTACACCAATAAAAAAATGGGCAAACGATACGAATAGAAATCATTTAAAAATGAAATCATTTAAAAAGTATGTTTAAAAGTTGTTCAAGCTTTATAATAATTAAGAAAATACAATTTAAAATAACAATAATATATATCAAATATTGACTAGATTAGGAAAAAACGTGAAAGCTGAATAAAGCCAATGATTGGCAGATATGTAGAGATCTGGGAACCCTCATGTACAATTGGTTGGAGAGTAGAGCAAGGCTGAGTCCAATTCAGTAATAATATACCTTACGGTGGCTGTATATTCATCTGTTCCATGAAAGGGTTGAATGTACTAAGTGGCCCCCAAATGCTGAAGGAGCCAAAAAAGAACAGGGGAGACAAATTCAGTTTGGAGGTAAAGTGTGTTTTACTGGAGGAACTTACAGACAGAAGCCTGGTCTTGGGTGGTTGTAAGACGAGTGGATCTTCACAACTGTGACCCCCAGACCCAGGGCTGGGTATATTTCCATAGGGAAAGGGGATACATGATCTGTGCAAGACAATTAAAGGCATCCTCCGGAACAGGCAAATGTCACAGCCTGTAATGTGTGCCATAACATCAAGGTTGACAGCACTACACACAGGAGATAAAATAGCAATCAGGAGGCATTCACAAGACTGGGGTAATCGGAAGCCAACGTAGTGGATTAGCATCTAAGCTGGAGTCACTTTTGTCTCCACACGGTCTCAGAGAAAACCCCCAAGTTTCCTTAGGGAATCTGTTAAGATGTTTGTCACAGCATTGCTTGTGCTAGTAAGGCATTGGAGGCAAACTAACTACCCATCCCTGAAGGAATGGGAAAGTTAAAAGGTAATAGATGCTCATTATGGAGTATTAGACAGCAGTTAGAAGCCATAGATTACATGTAAATGCAGGAACATGGATGGCTTTTGGAAACATACTGCCAAATGAATAGCAAGATAAGAATGAGATTCACACCCCAATGTCATATAATAACATGTTAAAAATACATGCCGGACCAGGCACAGTGGCTCATGCCTGTAATCCCAGCACTTCGGGAGGCTGAGCTGGGCAGATCACCTGAGGTCAGGAGTTCGAGACCAGCCTGGTCAACATGATGAAATCCCGTCTCTACTAAAAATACAAAAATTAGCCAGGCGTGGTGGTGCGCACCTGTAATCCCAGCTACTCAGGAGGCTGAGGCAGGAGAATTGCTTGAATTTGGGCGGCAGAGGTTGCAGTGAACTGAGATTGCACCACTGCATTCCAGCCTGGGTGACAGAGTGAGACTCCATCTCTAAAAACAAAATAAAATAAAAATACATGCCTACATACACTGTGCCTGATGATATCCTCCCAAAGAGTACACAATGGAAAGAGAAGGACTGGAGTGACTTTGAAGTGGAGAAACCTGACAGTCACTCCCTCAGCCAGGTGATCAAGGTCAACACCAACATTGATAAGTCATGTCGATAGCACGTACTCTTGATGTGACATAATGAGAAGGACACTTTAACCTCTGTGGTCTTACTCTCCAAGGACACATAACTCCAATCTCATTATAAGAGAAACATCAAACGTATCTCGGCTGAGGGCCATCCTACCAAATACTTGACCAGTAATCTTCAATATTGTCAAGGTCATCCAAAACGAGGAAAACCTGAGAAACTGTTATAGTCTAGAGCAGCCTACAGAGACATGATGCAAAATATAACATGGAATCCTGGGTGGGACCCTGGGACAGAAAATGACACGACAGAGAAACTAAGGAAATATGAACAAAGATTGGACTTGACACTTTAAAATATAGGATATAGGTCAGGTGCGGTGGCTCATGCCTGTAATCCCAGCACTTTGGGAGGCCGAGGCGGGCGGATCACCTGAGGTCAGGAGTTTGAGACCAGCCTGGCCAACATAGTGAAACCCTGTCTCTATTAAAAATACAAAAAATTAGCTGGGCGTGGTGGCAGGTGCCTGTAATCCTGGCTACTCAGGAGGCTGAGGCAGGAGAATCACTTGGAACCTGGGAGGTGAAGGTTGCAGTGAGCCGAGATTGTGCCACTGCACTCCAGCCTGGGCGACAAGAGCAAAACTCCATCTCAAAAATTAAATTAAATTAAATTAAATTAAATTAAATTAAATTAAATTAAATTAAAAAATAAAAATATATATATGCTATATAATAGTAATAATGTATTAATACTGGTTCATTAGCTGTGACAAATGTACCATAGCAATGTAAGATGTTAACAATAGGGGAAACAAAGTATGTCTGGGTACACAAAAATATTCCATACTTTATAACCTTCTTGTAAATCTAAAACTATTCTAAAATTTAAAAATTATGTAAAAAAAATCCATGCCCACAAAGCCATGCACACTTTAAAGAACATATATAAATAAAAGTCATATCAAACCTCATGAATTAGTTGCCCATGAGGGCATAGGGAGGGGATGGGTATGAGAAAAGGGGTAAAAACAAAGAAGATCCCCAACCTCATGTTACAGAAGAAGAAATTAAAATCAGGAAGGGTAAAGTGATTTAGCTAAGGCTGTTCATACAACATAGGCTTTCTGACCCTGAGTACAGCAAAAGCTGTTTTCATAGCTAAGACCTGCTCTGCCTGCTCTGAGGATAAACTAAGAGTGAATTCACTCCAGGGGTAGAAGAAGGAAAATTCAGTAGATGAATCCAAAGGAAGCATGAACCTTTCCATGAAGTGGGAAAGGAAGATGTGGCTTTGGGTCTTTAAAGCAAGTGACGGCTTGCCAAAGGGCTCGCCATAAGGTTATACACGGGAGCTGGCTTTAGGGCCAGAGACCCGGTGAGTCAGACAAAAGGTATTACCTAGGGCCAAACCTGAAGAAGCTAAATTTCCAGAAGACGTATTGACAAGTTGATAGCTTCATGGAATTAATGAAAAACATCAATGGGAAGGATTTCTCGGACCAGAAGGCAGGGAAATTTCCCAAATCAGAACAAAGTTGGGGAATGGCATAGCCAGGCCTGTAGAGAGGCTCAGAAGAGGAATATTTGGCAGAGATAGAAAACAGTTTTGTTCTCTTTTTCCTATTTTCTTAATAAAACTTAAAAACTTTAAAAGGACTCTAAAAGCCTTTCCTGCAATTGGAATAGTGACAGCAAAGGTGATCCCAGAGGTCGGGGAGCAGGGGGCTGGGGACGGGGTGGAGAGGAGTCATGGGAGCAGAGATGCCAAGATGGCCTGGGCACCTCCTGAACAGGTGCAGTTACGCATTCGTAGGATCCTCTGAGAAAGTGATAGCATTTGAAGTTAGAAAAGTTCCACTCAAAATTAAATCATCTTAGTATAGAAGACTGAGGAAACTAATTAAATTCTCAAATCACAGCAAACAAGAAGAGCACACTGTTCTCAGCACCTCCAAGTATCAGAAGAGATTTAGGCAAAGACACATGGTTTTGCTCCACACTCAAGCCCACCTACTTTGGGGATTCCCCATCCTGTTAATATCTTTTTGAAACAATAAACAAGCCCAGTTGGCGGAATTACTTGGGGGTCAGGAATGCATATGTTTTCAAGTGAACACTGGGAATAGAAAAGCTGAAAGAAAAATTGTCACAGTCAATAACCAATCATTACAGGTCGAGATCTGAAAAGCAACTGATATGTGCATCACTACACAAGTATTCACAAGGAGAAAGTCTTTTTCTACCAGAGTTTTATCAAGGCTACCAAGGGTTATCAGGCAATTCAATAGTGCTTTACAAGTTATGATACAATCATAAAATGAAAATCTATGCCACAATTAAGACAAATGAAACTAAGATTATAGCATGTTACCATTTCTGAAAAAGATATAAAAGGAAAAATTAAGCTGCATCTATATGCATAGAATATTTCAAAGAAAATTGGAAAGTGGTTTCATCTGAGAATTAGGTAGCTAAGAAATAGGAATAGGTGGGAGACTTTTCACATACTATACTTTTCATAGTTTTTGAATTGTGAATTTGCTGCCTCTGCAAAAAAATGAATGAATAAAATGTTAAAATAACAAATATTCACATATTTATACTCAACCATTTTGCTCAAAGACTTCAAGAACAAATACCAAAATATATCTACATCTAATACAATCAGATAAAATAAATGAGTGATACATATTTAAAATAAAACAGGAGAGGCCAGGCTTGGCAGCTCATGCCTGTAATCCCAGCACTTTGGGAGGCCAAGGCAGGCAGATCACTTGAGGTCAGGAGTTCAAAACCAGCCTGGCCAACATGGTGAAACCCTGTCGCTATTAAAAATACAAAAATTAGCCGGGTGTGGTGCTGCGTGCCTGTAATCCCAGCTAC
Source organism: Homo sapiens (assembly GCF_000001405.40). Lineage (NCBI taxonomy): Eukaryota > Metazoa > Chordata > Mammalia > Primates > Hominidae > Homo > Homo sapiens. The sequence continues at coordinate 40,815,166 of NC_000008.11, forward strand.
TCGAGTGGCTGATGCAGGAGAATCTCTTGAATCCAGGAGGTGGAGGTTGCAGTGAGCTGAGATCATGCAAATGCACTCCAGTGTGGGCAACAGAGCAAGACTCCATCCAAAAATAAAAATAAAATAAAATAAAACAGGGGAAATAAAATAACAATCAGAGGTAAGTCAAGCACAAGAAATGTGTACACAGCACCCTGTTTGGTTGCTGGATGTGACCATGAATTTGGTGTCAAAAGCAAATCAAAAAACAGAGTCAAGGGTCTACACTGAGCTGCCACTCAAAAGAGGAATGGCTTTTCTTGTAGAGGAGAGCAAAGGAAAATTTCTCTCAAACATCCATCTAAATAAGACTCTGGGATACCACAGGCAGTGCCCTCAACCACAGGGCACAGCTGAGGAGACCCCCAGGAGAATCCTGTCCTTCCATCTCCACGCAGAAGGTGGGATGGTTCGGGCTATTTAGCAGTGAGGCACAGAGCTCAGGACCTAGGAGACAGCTGGCCCCAAAAGGTAGGCACAAGAGAAATGCTATAGGTCAGACATGCCACTTGGCACACAGGCTCCAAGTTCCAACTGGAAAACCTCTTGTGTTTGATCAACTAAGTCAGGGGAAATGAAGAGAAAAGTCTAAGTCAATAGCTTGTTATTCTTTTGCCTTTTAGACAAACAGCACATTGTTTGCTTCCATTACCTCCCCGGCACTGTAATAAAATGGGCATCAGCTTCACGGCAGCTCCCAAACACTCGGTTTCAACAGTTGTTTCATTCATTTGCCAAAACCACTCCCTTTGGGAATCACAGTCTTTCCTCTCCTTCTCTTTCTTTTTCACCCCAGCATCCCCAGTGCAGGTCCTAATCACCACATTTCCTCCAGCATCACAGATACACAGTGCACAGAGACAATACTACGTGTTCACCAAACCAGTTTCATTTTCCTCCTGGGCATCCGGCAAAGTGACATGCCCCAGCCTCTCTACAGTAAGAAGAAAACATGCGATTGAGTTCTGGTCCATGGAACCTGGGAGATATGATATTGCCACTTCCAGGGCTGTCCCCTAAAATGTCCTGTGCAGTCACCCACAATCCCCATCAGTTCCCCAGATACCAGTTGGATTTTGATACTCAGGGCAACGTCAGAAGCCTCTGCCAGCCCGAGTTCTAAATAATTTTGTGGCCCAAAATCCCCCTCCACTAACATATAATGACTATAATGTAAGGAAGAAAGAATTTTTTTTTTATTTCTAAGATGCTGAAAGTGTTTGTTGCCAGAATTAGCCTGCCTTGTCTAACGTAGATATTGGGGTTATCCTTAAACAAACAAACAAAAAAACCCTAAAAATATGACATTGGCTTGGCAGGTGGGTAGTAAATGGGGATGGTTAGGATATTGTAGATCTAGGTTATATGGTAGCAAAATACTGGCAAAACTTGCCAACAATACTCTGGAAGGCACACTACCTGCCTACGGAGCTTACAGTTGTAGGAAAACCAGAAGGTTCTATTCTAGGACTTCTAGGACATGGATAGAGTTCTAGAAGAATTGGAAGAGGATGAAGAATACTTTGATATATGTTATTTTGTTACTATATTCATTACTAATTGTCTATTTTAGTGTTTGGTCAAGTTTTTCAAGAAAAAGAAGTCAGAATGCAACTGACCCATTAGCAGATAGAAGTCATATGAAAGAGACAATCCATAAATTTGGGACATAGAGAATTGGAAAGACCATTTGCCAATTGCTTCTAGACATCCAACCATGAGAGACGGCATTTTTAAACACATTGAGTGTTGGAGACCCAGGGAAACTTCTCAGTTGAGCATGTGACTCAGGCCTTTGGCAAAAATCAAATGAAGGGCATAGCCTTTCCACTTGCTTTTTTAAGATAATCTTAAGATACCCACCATTAAATTGGAAAAAAGAAAGACAATGCTTCCTCACATGGGTAAGGAAGCATTAAAATAAACAAGCAGTCTTGAAATTGTATCTAGGAGAGAATTGTTTTGTTACTGATACATGGAACTTTCTAAAAAATAAATCGGAAGCCTTTTTACATTATTAAAAGAATAATATTACTAAAGACATTATGACACTAAATTAGAAACACTTCTAATATTCTGCAAGCCTTAAATCAGTCTCAGGAAGGAAGTAGACTATGAATGCTGGCAGTCCCTAGGAGGAGAGAAGACCCAAGATCCATTTCTGATGTGGCCAGGAGAATAATGGACAGGAAAGAACTCCAGGGGTCAGTGCCAGGGGTCATTGGGAAAAATGAAAAAGAAAAGTCCCTCCTGCAGAGGAAGATCAGATTCTATTCTGGGAACTTGCCCCACTTTATGGAAAGGGAAAAGTCACAGTGTCGCCCTGCAGGATACTAGCTTTGCTGTGGACCAGCGATTTCTCTTTGTCTTCATTCTTCTTTTTTCTGGTTGAGAAATGTCACTGTTATCGTCACCATTGAAAAGTGTAGGGGAAAGCAGTAGTATTTCTCTTTTGCTCATAGGTCACTGGACCAAGGGGAGCCACATTCCCACTCAACAGGGAGGCCCACTCCTGGAGATCCTGAAATGTGAGCTGAATACAGTGATTGGGAAGAACTTGAGGTCACTCCTGTTAAGAGGGGATGTGTGTGTTCTATGTCAGGGAAAGAATGAGATGGATAGTTGGTGGCCAGAAGGGCAGACCATGATAGAGATGATGCTATGTGTTTGTTAAATCCATTTCCTTTTACCCACACATTTAAATTGCATTTTCCAACTTCTCCTGCAGGTAGGTGGGCTATGTGACTGAGTGCTAGCCAATGGGATATGGTCTGACTCCTAAAATCCACTAAGTGACATCAACGGCTGTCTGCAAATGAGAACTCAGGCTACAGAGCATACCCTACCCGTGTCCTCTTAATCAATGAGCATGAAGCACATCATCTAACAACTGCTCTTAGCCGTGTGCATATTGCCTGAGTTGGGTGTGCTCTTCAGCCTATTGTCTACTTCGTTATAGCCTCTTACCAGCAATTCACTTTGTGTTCCAGTGAACTATTTTGACTAACAATGACTGATAAAAGGTAAGATGCCCATGCTGGCCCTGCTGGAATAAAACAAAAGGAAAATATAAAAGTAGTTAGAAATCTTACAGAAGATTAAGAATCTTCAATAAAATGGACAAGGAAACAGAAGTTGAACATTAACAGGCAATCAGGGATAAGCCACCACACCACCAATCATCCAAAAAGATCTTCCATATGGAATAATTGTATTTATCATATCAGAAGTATTATCTGTGTAGTAAGTCCTAGGATATTACGAAGATATTACCCTGGACAAATGTACCAATAACTGTACTAACATCATCTGGGAGAAATTAAGCACTCATGATGCCAAGACGTTCAAAAATACTGAAACAGTGATTCTCAATGTGTAGTGCAAAGAAGGCATCCTCCCAGGCATCCTGCCATAAAGACTTTTCCTAGTCTTTACCCAGTTAGCACTTGCATCTCCTTGAACACTTCACCTGCATTACCCAGGGTAGGTGTGGGCCTAGCAGGCCCCGACAGTACTCAAGTCCGGTTGGGGCAGTGCTGGGTGGTGCTGACAGGCTACAGTCACACCGCCTGATCTAAAACCCACAACTCTCACGCATCAGAAGGAAGTCATTTAGCCCGCATGCTTACTTCGGGCTATTAGAAAAAAGAAAAAGCAAAGGTAACAAGAAGAAGGTATGAGAGTCTATGGGAGAAAAGGCAACAAAGGCATTAGCAGCTCTGGAAAGTCATGAAACTTTAATCAGCACATTTTAAGAATCTTAATTTTCACCTTTTTATCACTACCCACAGGACACTTACACCTGATCTCCAACCTGACTTACAGAAGCTAGAAAATGCCCTTCCAGCTATTCCCCTGGATTAAATAGAAGCTAGCCAAGGCCAAAGTTCTGTCGGAAGTCAATCAGAACAGCAGAAACAGAAAAAATATACATGTTTTGGCATGTCTCTGTAGGTCCAATATGCCTGCTGCTACCATGATGAGAGAACAATACTAGATTCTGCCATTCCCAGGTGGGCTAAAAGGGCTCTTTCACCAGTACTGATATTCACCAAGATTCAGAGATGTTTGAAAACTTTCCCACTGGCTTGAAGAAATGCCTTTGCCATAACTATAAAACTATCACCCATAACCCATATCTTGACATTGGGGTCTCAAGTACAGACCAATGCTCAATGTATTAATACATCATCCCTTCTTCTGGTGCAGACACCTAGGCCTTCATCAAAATTGTCCCACCCCTCCCCTCCTCCAGTCTCCCCCACCTTCAGCCCCTAGCCTGTGCATCCCCTGTCAGTGTCAGTAAATGACAGCCAGGAGCAAAGCTCTACAGGGGGGAGCACGGGAGGTATGGCAAGAATGCACAAAAACACTCAGCACATGGCTCCCACCTGCCCTCAGGAAGCTTGCAGTCCTCTTGGGAGGGACGAGGATGCCTAACCACTGATTTCATGAGACATGTGGCACAGCAACACAAGGGTTATTAGGGTTCACAGGAAGGGACAAGCAACTGGGCTGGTGCATGTATGGCTGGCTTGATGGGATCTGCCCAGCAAGAGTTCTTCCCGCTCTCTTAGGTCTACTCAGTACCTTCTTCCTTTGGCTGTGTGTGTGTTTATGAATTCCTTTATTAATATATATGTGTATATTCTAAATATATATTTTAATACATAGAGAACATATAGCAAATATATATGTTTTTATATGTTCATATATATATATGGAGAGAGAAAGTCCTTACTTAACATCATCCATAGGTTCTTGGAAACTGAACCTTTAAGTGAAACCAGGTCTAGAAGGTCCTCAAGTAACATCATTTCATTCAATGTAATTTCAGTATAACATTGATGAGGAAAAAAATTGGTTCCATTATACACCATTTCACTTAAAATCATAGTTTACAAAAACCCATGCATAACATTATGGACTTTCCATGTGTGTGTATATGCGAATATGTGTGTGTGTGTGTGTGTGTGTGTGTGGGCGGGTGTGTATGTGTGTGTTTATGTGTGCATTTGTGTATGTGTGTGTACGTGTGCGCATATATGTGAGTATTGGTGTGTGTCTGTAGATGTGTATTTATGTGTGTATGTGTGTGCGGGTGTGGGTCTTTATGTGTGTATATGTGTATGTGTGTGTTTATGTGTGTGTTTGTGTGTGTCTACGTGTGTGGGTGTGTAGAGGTGTTTGTGTGTATGTGTGTGAAAGTGTGTGTATAGTGTGTGCTTATGTGTGTATTTGTGTGTGGGGTGTCTGGGGGTGTATGTGTGTTTATGTGTATGTGTGTATATGTGTGTATGTGTGTATTGGTGTGTATATGCATGTGTTTATGTGTGCATTTGTGTGTGTATGTGTGTGAGTGTGTTTTGGTGTTTATGTGTGTATCTGTATGTGGGAGTGCATGTGTGTGTATGTGTGTGTATGTGTGTGGGAGTGTCTCGGGCATGTGTGTGTTTACGTGTATGTGTGTCTATGTGTGTGTGTCTATGTATATGTTTATGTGTGTATGGGTACGTGTGTATGTCTGTGTATGTTTATGTGTGCATTTGTGCATATGCATGTGTATATGTGTTTATGGGTGTGTCTGTGTGTGTATATATGTGTGGGTGTGTGTATGTGTATGTTTATGTGTGTATGTGTGTATGTTTATGTGTGTTTGTGTGTTTATGTGTGCATGTGTATGTGTTTATGTGTGTGTTTGTGTGTATGTGTGTGGGTGTGTGTAGGAAGTGGGGGGCATATATGTGTGTGTCTGTGTGTATGTGTGTATGTGTATGTGTGTTTATGTGTGTGTATGTGTATATGTGTTTATGGGTGCGTGTGTATGTGTATGTATGTGTGGGTGTGTGTGTGTTGGTGGTTTGGGGATGGGTGTGTGTGTATGTGTATGGGGGGAGTGTGTATGTGTGTACACACACATATATCATCTTTCTGCCCTGTACTTTTTTCTTTTTCCTACGTTGCAGAAAACCACTCCTTCATTCATACAAGCAACTCTTTCCCTTTGCAGGAAATTATTCTTTAGCCACTTGAAACTGCAGCAAACCACACAAATGGCCTCCCTGGGAAACTGTTTTTTTACCCCCGTAACGCTTAGGCCCTTTCCTTTGAAAGCTTTCTCTTCCTTCTGTGTCTGTGTCTACTTGTTCTGTTGACTCAGACTATTCGTCCAGTGAATAGAGACAACATCTAATTATATTTCCTACTGAAATGTTAATGTGTTCTTAACGCTTAGCAAGAAAAATAAAAATGCCTCTATGTTCCCTATTTTTTTTCACCTGAGGACTTCATATGCAAAAATAGATTTTTAAAGCATAGCATGTAAAGGTTTGGTTGGTTAGACATATATTAGGTTTTTCTGTCCTCTCGTGCAAAGGTTCAGCCTTTTAAATGGGGTGTGCAGCTATTAGGCATTAACCCATCTGTTTTGTTTTGCTCTCCTACTTTGGAAGATTAACACACTCGTCTCACAGCAAAAGTCATACCAAAAGCCATTCTCTTCCCCAACAATATGCCCTGACCACCACCAACTATCTATCATTTAGAAATATTCAGTTATAGAGTTATGCTGCCAAATGCTTAAGAGCCTCACAGATTCCAAACTCTTCTTTCCTTGATATCCTGACCCCATCCTTTCCTAACACAATGATGCCAGGGTAGCCCTCTCAATACTCCTTAAAGATAGATACCAAGATTTTTCTCATTCCACTCGCCCCTAAACTTAACCCATTTGTGGAGGCATGGATAAATCATGACATTCTCCAACAAGTCTTTCTTGGCCATAATAGCTCTAAATGATGCTTCCCTCTTTTAAAGTGTAATATGCAAATATCTACGAAGTTAACAGCACGATGTAATGTACAACAGGACGCCAAGTGGGCAAAAGAACTAACACTTTCTTTGTATCAAATTCCGTCAGTAGCTCCTTAAAAGCAGACAGCAGAATTCTACAGATCATGTGCTTGGAATCATACAGGTATTTTTGCCACACTGAACTATCGGTGACTTTTTCTCTCGATGAAGTTTATGAGCTTCTCAGGGACAAGGATCATTTCTCATATAGGTTCAGAATCCCCTGCAATAACTAACTCTAATATTGCTGGATATACAGAAAATACGCAGTGGATTCTCACTGATTTGCCCCATAAGGAAGCTGAGAAAACTATCAGGTTGAACTGAAAAATGAAATCATACTAAAACAATAAATCAGTAATAGGGCATGGAGACTAAGTGTGACAGCAATTTCAATGAATTGAATGGAATTTCGATCTCCTAGAGACCCACTCCATAAGTCACTGCAGCAGGGAAGGTGTCTCTGGAGAGAAGAGGCAGATTGATAGAAACAGAATATCAGTTTTCAAATGGCCTTAGAGATCATCTGATGCAAGCCATCTTCTTAGAGAAAAAGAAAGTGCTGGAGAAACCTCAACCAAAGCTGGGGAGGCCGGAAATTGATATAAGGTATCCTCAGTCCTGACTGTGCCCTTTTCACATGCTCAGCAGCTTTGCGGCAAGAATGCACAGCTCTTTCTCACTGTAGGAAGGGCCTTACCTCTGCCTGGAAGAAGGGAGGGAAATATCATTCAGAGTTCCCATCCACAATTAATGGGAATGCATTTAATGTTATCTCGATGATGTGTAACACTGTTAATTGCAGATCTGTTGTAATTGCTTTATTTTCTCTATGTCATCTAGCTACATCCAACAAACACTAACACATTCTCTAAACAATTAGATTGTGCAACAGCGAGGGTACAGTATGTTAACAGGAAAACGTGCAAAATATGCAATCAAATAACTAAACACTTCATTGAGCAGCTGAATTTTTTTCTTCCTTTAAACAATTTTTCATTGTTTTCAATGTTCTGACGTTACTTTTCTAGTCAGGCAGTGTGGGGCAGGGTCACCAGTGCAGTTTTTTCACACACCCACCCCCTCCACGAACCCTCACTGAACACCTGTCATGGGCAGGCACTATTCCAGCAATTACGAAAGATCAAATGAATAAAACTCTGTTTCTGTCCTCATGAATCTAGTAAGATGATTACAAATGAACACAAAAAGTCTAATAAAGGAAGAACATAAAGTACTAATGGGAGGCTATGGAATTTCAGAGCAGGGACAAATTCCCCCATTTCCTTAACTGGGGAAAACATACTAATAAAAAAATCTGGCCGGACACGGTGGCTCGCACCTATAACCTCAGCACTTTGGGAGGCCAAGGTGAGCAGATAATGAGGTCAGGAGATCGAGACCATCCTGGCTAACACGGTAAAACCCTGTCTCTACTAAAAATACAAAAAAATTAGCCAGGTGTGGTGTCACGCGCCTGTAGTCCCAGCTACTGGGGAGGCTGAGGCAGGAGAATCACTTGAACCCTAGAGGAGGAGGTTGCAGTGAGCTGAGATCGTGCCACCACACTCCAGCCTGGGTGACAGAGTGAGACTCCATCACACACAAATATACATATATATACACATATACATATACACACACACACACGTGTGTGTGTGTGCGTGTGTGTTTATGAAGCCATAGCCACAGAAATTTGGAAGTCCTTAATTTCAAACGATGGACTTTTTTAGATAATTCTTTAAAGCTCAAATTGATTTCTAACACTTGGTTGCCTTTTAACAATGACTATACGAATTTTTTCACAGGTGCTGATTTTAAAAGTTTTCATCAAACATTTGCTTTCATCAAAACATTGCTGCAAAGGAATTAATGATGAATAAGCATATAACTTTGCATATTTGATAGACTTCACAGCTTCCAAAGCATTTTCACAGGTACAATTTCGATAGATCTCATTTGGTCACCACAAAATCCTGAGGAGTATGCAGGGCCCATTGACTGTCTTTCTGGGTGCGTATGTGTGTGTGTTATTATAGTTATTTTTATTGTGCACAGAGGAATCTGAGGCCCAGAGGAGTTTGAGGAATGATAGTGACAACTGGCATTTGTCAGACTTGTCAGACAAAAAGAAAATTGCTGGATAAGCCTTCCAATATAAAATTACTTACAAGTTCTTACACTTGGAAACTCATGTTCTTAGCAAGACCCAGTCTCTACTAAAAATAAAAGTAAAAAATTAGCTGAGTGCAGTGGCATGTGCCTGTAGTCCCAGCTGCTCAGGAGGCTGAGGTGGGAGGATCGCTTGAGCCCAGGAGGTGGAGGCTGCAGTGAGCTATGCTCGTGCCACAGCACTCCAGCCTGGATGACTGAGTGAGACCCTGTCTCAAAAAGAAAGAAGAAAGAAAGAAAGTAAGAAAGAAAAGAAAAGAAAGAAATTCATGTTCCTACTAGTATATGTTCTTTTGAAAGCAGAACATGCCCTAGTAGCTCTCAGCATCTTGGGATGCCGCAGCACTCCAGCCTGGATGACTGAGTGAGACGCTATCTCAGAAAGAAAGAAAGGAAGAAAAAAAGAAAGGAAGAAGGGAAGGAAGGAAGGGAAGGAAAGGAAAGAAAGAAAGCAAAGAAAAATAAAGAAAGAAAGAAAAGAAAGAATGAAAGAAAGAAAGAAAGAAGAAAGAAAGAAAAGAAAAAAAGAAAGAAAGAAAAGAAAGAAAGAAAATAAAGAAATTCATGTTCCTACTAGTATATGTTCTTTTGAAAACAGAACATGCCCTAGTAGCTCTCAGCATCCTGGGATCTCCCAGTTCTCTTTACTCAATCCACAGCACCTCATTTCTTCCTCATCCTCGGACACAGGCCAACCTCTCTCCTCTCATCCTCTGCTCCCAATAGAGGATCAAAAAGTGGTCTGTTGCTCCCCGATTCTAAACAGCCAGTGCCACTAATTTATGACTTTGAAGAGTATTTGCACTTTAAGACTTGGTTATAACTCTGCAGAAGGCATCTTGATTGTGATAAGCACATGTTGGGTATTGGCCATCAGGTGGAAGAAATTTTCAGGGAGGAAGTGGCCCACGGCTGCTTCATTACTTGCTGCTGTCTTTCCCTACAGTGTTTAACAAAGGTCTTCTGAGCTTATCTTTGGGGTCATAGGTGGAGACAGGAGCTGGCACAATGCATTGCACCCTGGATCCCTGAAAGGAACTTTGTGGATGCACAGTGACAGATTTAACAAGTAGAGAAAGCCCAAGCAGAGTCTCCAGGGGCTGAGATACAAATTTTAAAAAAAGGATCTGGGAAGCAGCCAGAGTCTGACAATGACATCCCCAACCCTCACTCCCAACCCCACACATATACACTTGTCCTGGCCTTGACCTCAGACTGTACAGGCTCAAGTCCTGTGGTTCTTCAAATGTGCCCCAAGTCCAGAAGGAGGATCCTGGAGTCCTACAACAATGACCCGGGCTGCTCCCTCCTACATTTGCAAACAGAGTGGGAAACGCTGTCCTTACCTCGTAGTGGGCCACACGCTGCGATTCGGAGATCAGCTGTGCACTGCACACCTTGCAGTAACTGTCTGTGAATAAATCCTGATCAATATCGGAGGACTTCATCAGGCTACAAGAGAATCAACAGAAAAGAAAAATGAGTCCACTGCTTTGATGTTTATGCAAGATATTAACCGTATGAAAAGCCAGGATCACAGTAACAGGTCTGACAATGGTGACAGAGGGGTGGATCTCCCTACACTCTTGACGTTATCATATCGATTAACCATAATATGTGCATAGGTTATAGTTTTCTCACAAATGCCCAACAGAGTTGCTTTACCCTAAAAAATAGAAATCCAGCTATAGTTTTTCTGTTGAACAAGCCAGACTTATATCTAATGCCTTGTCAAGAGTTTATGTGAGGGCAGGGCACCGTGGCTCACGCCTGTAGTCCCAGTGTTTTGGGAGGCCGAGGTGGGAGCATCACTTGAGGCCAAGAGTTTGAGACCAGCATGGGCAACATAGAGAGATTCTGTCTCTACAAAACTAAAAATTCTTAAAAAGGATTTATGTGAGATATTTTTGCATGTTATATATATTTATATGTTAATTAAATGTTGTAAGCACCTAATATATCCAACAATAGAAAGTGGGTTAAATGAACTTTGATATATCATCACACTAGAAAACTATGTGGCTTCCAAATCCAAATTCAGATAAATTATTCTTTCAGGGAACATTAGGAAAAGGTTTACCATTAACAAAAGAGATTTTTAAGTACATATAGCATTATACAAAATTTGTTTTAAAATATGTATAGATGCATTAAAAAACATTCCAGGAAATTATAACATAATTTTAATAGCACTTATCTTTGGGAAATGACAGAAAATTGCTTTTGCAATTTTCTTCATTTTTAAATTTTTCTTCAACAATCACATATTACTTTTGTAGTCAAGGAAGAAGTTAGCTTTGTCTAGAGCCTTTAAGCGGTATAAAATCTAGTTTAGAGTTAAATAGTTGCACTTAGAAAATTAAAAAATACAATCAGACTAAACTATAACTTTCCTTGTAACCCCATACTTTGCAACACGGGGAGACCTCACTATTCAAGCTGACTCTTCTCCATTTAGGGTGGTTGAATTCATAAAGGCCACCTCCACCACCGCACACCACAAATGATCCCACAAAGTAAATAAACATATTCTCAAATTCCAAACCCGGAATCAAAATGCAGCCAAGGATCTCAAGCTTCTGAAAGCGATCTGTCGGAAACGGATCTTATGGCAGCTGAAGGATCTCATGTTACCACCCTGGAAACACACCCCAGTGCATCCGATTCCTTCACCCAGCCCACAAACTCCACTTGTTTCACCTCCTACCCGTCAAGCAAGAAGTAAAGACCATGGCAGACAGCATGCTGTATGAAGAGGCAAAAGAATCTCAGACAACAGCAATATGGTAGGCACTTTGGACTTTATCTTATTTCACCACCATCATCTTACCTATAAGACAGTCCAAAGTTACATTGCTAGTCATTTGCATAGCCAAAAATATGGCCTCGCTTGCATGATTCCAATTTCCACAAGCTAGATCCATCCTAGGTCTGATGCTACCACATGGCATTGGATGAGTCACTCAATGCTCCATACCTCAGTTTCCCCCATATAAAAATTGAGATAATAATATTTACCATGCCTTCTAAGAAAGTGATAGTGAAGATCACAGGGAGAAATATATGAGAAAGTGCTATATCAACCGTAAAACTCTCTGCATTTGAAAGGGATCAGTAGTATATTTTTAATAACATCCTGATGTTGGCAAGATGTTGGCCAAGTCCTGAACAATGCAACAGTGAACTGTGTAAAGTAAAGTGAACTGTGGTTCACTTTAGGTGATTTTTGAAATGATCTAAATAACCAGACCACATTCATAAAGTATCTGCCTGAAATAAAAGGATGTCTGCCTCAAGTACTCCAATCTCACGTTCTGTCCTTGGCCCTGGCTCTAGTGGCTCATTCAGGGCATTTGTCTTCAGCAATTCAAAAGGATTCACAGTTTCTGCTCCTAAGAGACAATAATGCCTGTGGTTTTTCAATGCCCCCAGCAAGCAATAGTTATGCCAGGTACCACTGTGTCTCATGGTTGATATGGGCCTGTTATTTCAAAAAGGACCACACCTGGCAGGTGGCCCAATTGGCCTGGAGTCTAGCACCTGCTGTGCCTGCAGGTTCACCTCCTCCCCCACAAGGCAACCTGTTCCAGAGAGGGCAGAAGCTCTAGTTGTTAAGTTTTTCTTAGGTTGAATTAAAATCTGTCCCACCGTAGTTTTCATTCAGTGATTCTGTCATTAGGTACAACATGGCACCACACCAGTCTCCATTTTTTCATGAGATATCCTCCCTTGAGTGTCTGAAGATAACACTCTTCTATCTACTTCCAAGTCCTACCCAGCCTCATCATCTTGCCCTGAGTCTATTTCATTATAGTCCATCTTCAAAAGCAAGACCAAGAACAGAATGCGGGCACTCCGGAGATGGTCTACATGAGGCAAAGGATTGCCAATTCCAGTGCCAACCCACAATATCATAGTCATTTGTAATGGTCTCCATTCATGTCCCAGAATGTAAATGAAGAAAAGATGTTTTGATGATGAAGAACTGGAGTACAACATTTTGAAATGTCTAATGGGAAAAGAAAACTTACTAAGGTATATTTTTTAAGCCAAGCTCCTATAAGTGGTTGTGTTTAAATATTATCATGTTCCCTGCTATTTCTAATGAAGAAGCACACAAAAATAGATTCACGGATGACCTGGTTAATAGGAATCTCCAAACTCACTGCACACTCCTTCCTCATTATACAACCAACTGCAAAAATCAAACACTGTGAAAGGATATTCAAGGTACGTGTCGGACCAAGCAGGCCCGTAGGAGTCTGAGTCTCGGTAAAGCAGCTGTGCAACAGAAATAGCTTTAAAGGCAGAATATAAAATGTGTATACTAAAAAAAATTCAAGGGAAGAGAAAATATCTTGGCTTTTTCCACTGTTTTATATAAGAATATTGATTTGAACAAGTCCATATGCAATTTTTTAAAAGGCAATAAGGACCCCTCTGAAATCGATGACACCTGAGTGGAATATCTGAACAAGTCACATTCCAGTGGGAGGCAATTAGTGGACAAGTGTCAGCCTGTTTTGTACATGAGGGCTTTCCCTCCAGAAAAAGAGAGCGCAGTCCATGTAGGTCACTTTAGACAACCAGAGGGTCCGATTTATCATGCAGAGACTGGAATTCCCAAGAAGGGAGGATGTCACTTGCTCCCCTCCCCTGGTTTGTTTAGAAGAGGATTTTAGCTTCACTGGCCTTCACTGTCTTCACCAAGACAGCTGGTAAGAAAAAGGAAAAAAAAAAAAAATTTCCAGTTTTTTAGCCTTGTCCATGGTCCTGAGGAGCCCACGCGCTACTCCAGCAACTGGAGTAGAGACAGAGCCACTGATCACTTACTGGTCAGTCCAATCTGTCCCATCAGATCCAGTGTCTAGTGACCTCCCCCTGGAAACATTCGTATTGTGCTGTGCCATGAGGCCTTGGGACATTCTGAGGAGGGATACAAGAGTAGGGGAAGACAGGAATTTGATTTCCTGGGTCTGAAACAGATCTGAAAGAAAGCACCATCTGTACTCCCAGGCCCAGCACATTGCAAAGGCACATTGCAAAGGCAGGCACATTGCCAAGCAACCACTGGAGGATCTAAATGACCTCTCATCACTCTCCAGTACTCACAGAGGTTGGCACTATCTGCAATGGAGGTAAGAGGCCTCCACCCGATGTGGACGCAGTACTAGAGCAGGGAGTCTGGTCACATTTTCACGTGCTGTCCGGGGGTCTGAGTTCCTACAGATCCATGTGTATAGCAGTGATGGTGTGAGGCTCAGAGGTGCATCTAGGTATCAGGAATAAAGGAAGCATCAAGGAGGAGTGCTTTTATTGATTCTATAATGGTTTGGGGAAATCTAGCATGAGTGAGGCTCAGGGATAACAGAGGCACAACCCCTGTCTTCCAAATCTTGCTGAGCTACTGAGTAAGAAGAGACATACACACACCAACACCTAAGGCACAGGCAACTAATTCCAACAGAACTTGGGGGATGGAAAGTGATATAGGATTTGAGAAGACAGAAAGGATTATCAAGAATCTCTTCAAGAAAGTTCTACTAGGGTTGAAAATTTGAGGATGGATAGGATTAGAGTGGAGAGAAATGAGTTCCAACTCAGAAGCTAATTCTTTTCCCTGGCACAGAGAAAAATCTTACTACCACTAAGCATGAGAAGATAATAGGAGGGGCATAGGTGGGGTTAATTTGGAATAATTTAACATAAGGGGGAAGGCAGAAAAATGCAAGGAAGAGAATCTCAAAACCTAGATGGAAGAAAAAGAGGCTGGGGGAGAAGAGCCAGGTCCCGAAATGTTTCTTAAGGCGCAAGAAATGGCCTTTTTCAGGATCCTCAGAGGCAGATATGAAACCTTCCTTTCTGCTTCTTTCTGCTTCTCAAGAACAGATTGAAGGAATGAATGCAGGCTAAAATTCCAGAGAGACCTGGGGCTTCATGGAAAAGAGTCATATTCTTTTTAAATTTTTATTTTAGGTTCAGGGGGTACAGGTGCTTGTTTGTTACATATGTATACTGCATAATGGTGGGGACAGTACAGCTATCCTTCAAATATTAAACATTATACCCACTAGGTAATGGTATAACCCTCACCCCCTCTTCCACTCTTTCCCGCTTTTGGAGCCCCCAGTGTCCTTCTCTCCACCTTTATGTCTACGTGTACCCATTGTTTAGCTCCCACTTATAAGTGAGAGCATGCAATATTTGATTTTCTGCTTCTGAGTTAGTTCACTTAAAATGGTGTCCTCTACCTCTACCCTTATTGCTGCAAAGGACACTATTTCATTCTTTTTGTGGTTGTGTGGTATTCCATGGTATATATGTACCAGATTTTCTTTATCCAATCAACCATTGGTGGACACTTAAGTTAGCTGCATGACTTTGCTATTGTAAATAGTGCTGCAATGAACATGTAAGTGCAGGTGTCTTTTGGGGTATCTGTGTGGAGGAAACAAAAGCATTATGTTAAAAAGATTAATATTCTTCATTCCATTCCATTTCTGATGGTGCTGAAATAACTTCTGACTCAGAGAGCCCAAAACCCATGCAGGGCTCTTCAGAGGGAAAGACATTGGTTCAAATCCAGGTGTGGTTGCTTGCCAACTAGGTTGTTCAGCAACTTACACAGCCTCACTGAGCCCTGGTTTCCTTAGTTGTAAAATAGGAGGAAAATTCTCACAGGGTTATTGTGAGGATTAGAAATAATGTAGATAAACCATCTAGCACAGACTGTGGCATAGCAGAGACACGCAAAAAGGGGATATTACCATCATTACCATTAATATTATTAATTTTGTATTATCGTTATTCTTATTTTCAAAGGAATGCTGTAAATATTTAAGAAGAGAAATAAATAGAACCACATGAAGATAACATAGTCGGTGCATTGAAATCATAGCTTTTATTGCTATTATAGTCTTTCTCTTTTGTATCAACAATACCATCCACAAAGATGGCTCGTTTCCACTGAAATGCAGCTGCCCACTCCTCCTGCCAGCTGAAACTCAGGCCTGTGAAGACCCCGTACTGCATAAACATTTAAAAATCTATTTTTGTTGTCACAAGGTGCTGACCCTGACGGACGGAGAAGTTTGATGAGAACTTTGTCTTACCCTCTCGTCCTCCCACAAGTGCTCACCTCCCATGACCTGCTTCCCAGGGGGATGCAAAGGGAGAAGCATGTCATTCAAAATATGGCAGAGGGCCAGGGACTCCAGCAAACAGAACCCACAGCACTCACCGTGGCAGTCCCCAGGCGGCCGCAGCCATCAGGGCCCCAGGGTGGCATCTCCTCCAGCCCAGTCCCTTGAGGAGAGAAGCTCTTGGCTTGGTGTTCCCCACCAGGTGAGCATCCTTCTGTTACAGATTTGGGCTATTTCCCTACAAAGCTTCTCTAGAAGATCTAATAACCTACTTTCCACCCATACTATCCCTCACTGGCCCTTTAAAGATAGAATTTAAGACTCATGGACACTTCAACTGAAGAGCAGCTCTTGCCTTTAAGGTAGGATTTCTGAATTTCCAAACTGCCACTCCGTGTGACTGTGCAAGCTCTCCAGTATCGGGCATTGTGACTACTCTAACAATGATCCCAACAGGACCTGGCCCCTTGTGAGAGCTCCTGACCCAGAAGGAATAAAGATTTCACTGAAGTACTTCCCCTGAGCCAGGCCTTGTGCTGAGGGCTTTATATAAATCATCCGATTTAATTCCCTCAAAGAGCTGTGTAGACTTGTCAGCTTCATTGTCTAAATGAGAAGACTCAGGGTTAGCAATTAAGTAACTCACCCAGAGGTCACTCAGCTCCTAAGGGGCGCTCAGTTTTCCAAGCCAGGGCTGACCCCTGTGCCCACGGCCTTCACCCCTACTCTGGGCCTCTGTCCTCAGCACTGGGCATGCCCTTCAGTTTGTCCCCTGCCACCTCCAGCTCGCGACCACCATAAAAATTCATAAAAGGAAAGCCAAGGACAGACATTCAGTGCAGAATTAATATGCTGGGGCCTGAAGAGCCTCGACTGTCCAGGTAGAGCCTTGGAAGCTGTTTCTGACCTCAGTGCTCAGACTCTCTTTTCTGTGTTTGCCTGAACTGAGCTGGGATGGGCTAACATCTGCCTGGACATTCTAGTTCTGCTTCTGCCTGCACAACCACAATTCTGCACCTCTGCAACCTTACTCACCCTCAGTAGATCCATGACCTACTGCTGCCCTCCAACGTGGCCTGACACCTCGAAAAGCCGCTGTGCCCTCTGCCGAGTCCTGCTGGCCCTTCTCCAGCCAGTCTGGGACCTTCCACCAGATGATGCCCCCTGCTCACCCATGCCACCACCAAACAGCCTGGCCCCGAGCCCAGCTGCCCTTGGCAGTGCTGACCAGCTCACCAGCTCCCAGAACCCAAGGCAGAGAGGCTGAACTTTTCTCTCCTTCAATTTTGACAAACTCCACAGCCGACTAAAAATGCTACCAATTAAGATGAACTATGACCTGGTTATGAATGTGAAACAGACAGGAGGCCTTCCGCTGTTGTTTAAACTCAGCCAATTTTAAAATTATTCCTCTCAAAAAAGCAATTGAACTTGTTTCTACTTTGATTTATTAAAACAAAGGAGAGGGGCTAAGACTCTGCTCAGAAGGGAGGGAAGTATGGGAGTGAGGGCTGACTGGTTTCCATACTTGGTTTGCCCTTTTGTTATAATTTTGAGTTTTTATTCCCTGAACCTTAAACCCATATTTGGTACTTTGGTGGCTGTTGCCTGACATTTGCTCCCTTTCCCCTGCCACTGTCCTTCTGTGGAAAGAAAAAACTCTTTGCTCTCTAGGCTGTCTACCAACAATGGGAAAAAGATTCAGGAGGCAAGCGGGTGGTTTTCGTGATCATCTCTGCCATGCCTGCCAGTGCAGGAGCCTCAGAGGATGGGCTGGAAGCAGGGTCTGTCCTGTCCCCATCACACCTCTCTCCATGTGAAGGTGGTAATGCAGTGCTGGTTGCCGTGGCAGCAAAGCAGATTTAGAGGGGAAAAAAAAACAGAAACAAGAAAAGTACTCTAGAAATGAAATCATCTGGCTGGCCGTGGTGGCTCACACCTGTAATCCCAGCACTATGAGAGGCCGAGGTGGGCAGATTATGAGGTCAGGAGTTCGAGACCAGCCTGATCAACATGGTGAAACCCCATCTCTATTAAAAATACAAAAATTAGCCAGGTGTGGTGGTGCGTGCCTGTAATCCCAGCTACTCTGGAGGCTGAGGCAGGAGAATCACTTGAACCCGGCAGGCAGAGGTTGCAGTGAACCGAGATCATACCACTACACTCCAGCAAAAAAAAAAAAAAAAAAGACATGAAATCATCATGGTCTTCCATAAAATCATGCCAGAGAAAGGGAACAGCAGGCAGCTAGGGTGCAGCGCAGGGGAAGACGTCTGACCCCCACTCCCGGGACCACCGGCTCCAGCACACACTTTTCTTTCATTCACACACCACCTGGGTCGACAGGCAGGAGAATCCCCCATGCAGCATCTGAGAGCAGGGTGAAGGTCAAGTACACAGCCAGCTTGAAGGACCTTTTCAATTCCCTGTTCCTCAGGATAAGGATCTTTCTTCTGGTTTGAGGCTGTCTTTCCCATTCCTGATGTTGCTCAGATAAAGGAATCTGGCAGTCTAGGTAGCTTACCGTACATCACCCAGATGCAGGTGCAAGCTCTGCTTTCCAGCCTGAGCTTTGTTTAAAAAGAGAGAGAGGCAGAGGGAGAGAAAACTCCCCACACCACTGCCTTCTCCTGCCTGGCGTTGCCAGGAGCTGCATCGCTGACTCACACCACTTGAATAATTGCCTTTTAATGGCACCATTTTCTTCACTTATAAAACCAGGTTCTTTGATTCCTGACTCAGAGGCATCGGCCACTGCTGGGCACATGCACCTCACCCCAGCCGCGGGCCGTGGAACCAGAGCTGTCAGTCTCACATGGCACAGGCTGGCCTGATGACATCTGGGAAGCAGAGCAGCAAAGGCAGCCCCAGCCTGCAGGGCGGTTCTCTGGTCCAACCTCCAAGGGCAGGCACATGCAACTGATTCTTTGCCACCTCTCCCCTCTCTGATCCCTTGTCCTTTGTCTGCTTGGACAAGTCTGAATTGTAGACTCCAGGGGGCATGAGCAGAGCAGGTGCTGACCAGCCCAGCCCAAGGCTTCAGATTTTCACTGTAAATTCTATGCAAATCCCACAGATTTTCTATGTGATTCACCAAATGGCCTCTGCTTAAGTCCTGGACATACAACATCACTTGGATTCTCTCTTTATTCATGAAACGAATTTTTACTGAGCATTTACTATACGGCTGGTGCTGCTCTAAGCACTCAGTCTGCAGCAGGGAACAAGGTTCTGATCTCACGGGAAAGGTTCACATTCTGGGATCCAGCACACACCACCCTCCATAAACACAGACAGACTTCCCACCTGCTTCAACACATAAATAGAATATTCATGCCAGCTGGAAGACAATGGCTCTGGCAGGCCCACGTGTCATCCTTCTGGAACATCTCCTTACCCTGTAGGTCCTTGCTAAGGCTCCAGTACTGTACCTTTGCCTCCACCTAACAGGGAGACCAGGGATCTGAGTACCAGAGGCAGGTGGGGACTAGCAGAGACTCTGCAAGGCAAGAGCCATTCTATCTGGCTTTCCAAAGGTACCCTGCAGTGGCAGCTTTGGGGAGAGCCCAAGGTGTCAGGCGGTAATGCACAGCAAGCCCAAATGCACCCAGCTGATGGGTCCGGGCAGCATGATGGAGCGCAGATGTCAGGGAAAGCGTGGATGTTTTTGTAGAACACTAATGGATAAACTCCAGCACCTTCTCCAGTCACAGCGGGCCCAAAGCATCTGCTTTCTCTTTCTGCACTTTCAGAGGGATGAAAGTGAGTGACAGGTGGAGAGCTTGGATTTTCAACTAGTTTGCCACTTCAAGTCAGACCAAAAACAGAGCCCATATCATGGGGGAAAGCCAGAGGCAGAGAGAAACAGAAAAGATCACTAGCCTGCAAAGAGAAGCAGGGAGAGGAGGAGAAAATATGAGGGAATAAAACATGCTCCTTATGTTTCCTGTCGCTCATTCCATCACACCAAAGGGCTGTGCACCCAGGCAGAAAAGCCACTCACATTTTAAAGAATAGGCTCCTACCCTCCCCTCACTCAACGGAGAAAAGCCTACGTGGGTCCCCCCACTTTGCTATGTATTGGCTACCTGAGTGAAGCAAGTACCTGCTCCAGACAGGTGGATTTTCTTAACAAGCTGAACGACTACAGGACCCTTCCTTTCAATGTGAATACATGCCTTCAAAAATACAGTTTCTAAATAAGTATTCCATTACTGTAACTTGTTTACATGATTTATCTTCACAAGACTGCCCCTATGAAACCAGACAGATTGAGGGCAGATTTAAATGCAGCAATGGCATTCAGGGCCCAGGGAAGCAGAGTTCTGCACCTGTATTCAACTGCAGAGGAAGGCACCGACGAGACAGACCAAGCTGCTGCAGGGAAAACTATTATTTTTATTTGAATCCATACTCTGAGGTTGCTGCAAGTGCTGTCAGTCAGCCAGCAGACATTCTAGTTCCCTTCTCCTCTACCGCATATTAACTTGACTGGGCTTCTCCAAGGAATTCTAACTGCTCGGTGCTGATTTGTCTCCTGACCTTCCTAAACTCAGTGAAAATGTAGAGTCCATGTAAAAGTATGTAGAGTGGCCAAGACAGGAAGATACAGGAATTTAAATGTTGCAAAGGCAGAGGAAGGGACTCACTATCCAGTTTCTCCCTACAAATCTCTACACAGCAGCCTCCCCCGTCCATGAAATCTTTCCGTTAGAACTTCCTTTCAGATTTCAGAGCTGGTTTGACATCTTGTGACACCCCCTACTTTGGGATGCAGTAAGAAATCGGGAAAATAATGATTGGTTTGGGAATTCAGCCACCATGGGAAATTAACCATAGAAAGGTTATTGTATGTGTATTAGGATCATCAACAAACAATGGGGAGATTGTTGAAACTTAAAATATCTGGCCACATCAAGAGTTGAAGAAGGTGTGAAAATGTATACAGGAATTTGTATACATTTTCACAGGAGGATAAGCTGAAAGTTAAGCATCATCTCATCAAGCTGAACAACCCAGCAACTGCACTCCTAATTTCAGGCAAGAAAAAATCTTGCTCACGTACAACACAAGGTATGTAAGAGATGATGATAGTAGCATTGTTCAAATAGCAAAGCCTGTAATCAGCCCAAAAGCACACCTACAGGAGAGTGGATGAATAAACTGAGGTACAGTCACAGCAACAAACCAGAATACAGACGAATCATAGCAATCTAATATTTACATGAAGAATTTGAATCAGAAGATCACATCTACAAGATCCTTTTTATAAAGTCAAAAACAACTGAAATGAAAATATAGACATCTTGGGCATACATGTAGAAAAGATACAACTCTAAAAATGTTTGGCAGAGAAATGAGGACAAGATTCAGGATGATGATTGCCTTAGGTTGGGGAGACAGAAGGGATGAGAGAGAAACACATGGACAGATGTAAGCGGTTGCCAGATCTCAGCTTTGCTTTAGAAGATGTTGTACGGGTGCTCATTCTGTTATTAACGACGGTAACTGATGTTAGTGATAGTGAGATGATGATGATCGGTAGATAAATAGATAGAAACATAGGTAGATAGAAACTAGATAGATGATGGATTGATTGACAGAAATATAGATACATACATAGACAAATAATGGCTGGATAGATACCATGTACACAATAATGATGAGAGACGATTTTCTAGAAATGAATCTTCCACACCCTCTGCAATAGAGACATTGTTTTTTTCCTTTCTCCTGGCCACAAAAGATCAGACTGAATTTCTCAGCCTCCTTTGCAGTTACTGCACCACATAATTGAGTTCTGGCTGATGAAATGTGCACAAAAATGATGGACACAGTTCCAGGCCTGGCCCTTAAAAACCTGCTGTTTGATCTAACCTCCTCTCCTTCTGCAGGCTGGACGTTGCAGTCCTGCTCAACTTTGGAAGCCACATGGTAAAGAAGGCAGGGTCTCTGAAAGTCTTGGTTCCTGGATGACTGTGTGGAGCAGAACTCCCTTTCCCCAACCCCTGGTGCCCACTGGACTTTTGTGTCAATGGGAACTAAACCTCTAAGGCACTAAGCCACTATGATTCCAGGATTTATCCAGCATGACCTTAACTAACTCTACTTGAACCTGAGTCACTTGGCATGGCTGGGGAAAAAGAATACACAAAGTGCACTTTTTACCCAGTGAAACCTCTTATGTGCTTTGTAGGGGAGCATTGGAAAAAGCCAGAGATATTCAAGGGTCTGAGAGTCCAGAGACCAAACCTAATCTCTTGTCTCTCCAGCTCAGCTCTCTGGGTCATGGCACTAAACAGTGCAGACCTCACTGAGAATGCTCATTCAGGTCAGTACCGCTCGATTTCTCATTTGAACAGAGTGTGGCTTCTGGGGGCTAAAATCAAGCAACTCGTGGGAAAGCAGAGTATCATCGCAGGACAAGGCGTGTGTCCTGGTACACGGGCTGGGAGCATCTTTACAGATGAGCCAACCAGGAGGATGTTCTCAGGTACCAGTGGCACCTGCCAAGAAGTCTGCTCTGTTTCTCTCTGGTTTGGAACAGACCCATGCTCCTCACCCCTGGCACATTGGTGTTGGTGCCTTGCAGAATCTGCTTTGCCATCTTGTGAGGGGCAAACGGAGCAGATGGCCCTGACCACTGGGATGCCAGGTAATGATCAAGTGCCACACATCGAAGTCGCAGGGTCTTGTCACCTCGCCAGAGATGACAGACAGCTGGGCCATCTGGCAACAGCCCTGATGCTGGGGAGGAGGCACACATCTCATCACTCCACCGCTTAATGTAGTTACACTGTCAAATTCTTCCCTCAAATCCGTTCTTCACGCCTTTTAGCTGAGGTGAGCAGCAGTTGGCCAGTTTCCAGGAAATGAGACTGCATTGATATAGATTCATTCCCTGGCTGGGAAGTTCCTGGCTCTGGGGAAAGCACGGAAGCATCACTGTGAGCTGGTGATGCCCCTCTTTTGTTTATTTTTTTATTTCCTGAGACAGGGTCTTGCTCTCTTACCCAGCCTGGAGTGCAGTGGCATGATCATGGCTCACTGTAGCCTCAACCTCCTGGGCTCAAGCAAACCTCCTGCCTCAGCTTCCAGAGTAGCTGGGACTACAAGTGTGTGCCACCATGCCCAGCTAACTTTTTGATTTTTTTAAGATGGGGTCTCACTATATTGCCCAGGCTGGGGGTGATACCCTTCTAATGCACTCCTCACTCTCCTCGTCAGCTCTGCTTAAGCCTGGCAGTGAACTATTGGTGTCTTCAACCATCCTGCCCACCTACCATGGCCAGACTGACTCTCAGTCAATGCCACCAGCCCTGCCCCTCCTAACACCCTCTCACGCTTGCCAGGTGGGGGAAAGAAGACCAGCATCAGGGAAGAGCTGGAAGGAAACAAAAGACATGAACAGTTAGGTGGACAGTGAAGGAAGGATTTGGAAGGTGAAGAGGCCAAAATAAAGGGGCGGGACATGAAGGCAATTGGAACTGAGTGGCTTAGAGAGAATGAGGTCACATTAATGATGGAGATAAGAATGAAAACATCACAGCACCAGAAAGGGCCATAAGGACCATCTAATCTCACCCTTTCACATTCCCAAATAATATGGAAAAGACACCCTGGAAAGTGATGAAACTTATCCAAATGTACCCTGTACATAAAAGGCAAAATGGAGATCTCTAACTCCTGAAATAATGTTCTTTCCCTGCAGCTCACTGCCTCTTCCAGAATATTTACTACCTTCCTTTGAAGAATCACCTTGGGCAGGCAGAAACCAAAAACACCTTTTTAAGCTTTGGAGAAACAAGCCCTCTGTGACTCTGACCAGCAGAAGCAATGGTGCAGAGATGCCTAAAAAGACCACCTTCCAGGTCAGATCCCCAGAGGCTGGCGAGACGAAAGCAAGGGCCAGCGACAGGCAGCTGTGCTCAGGTGTGCCTTGCCTCTTCTGCCACCCTCCAGAAACTTACAAGTAAGCATTTTGTCTAGAATGGCAAAGCCCAGAGGTTTGTGAGACGTGAAGATGTTAAGGTCAAATTGGAAAGTACATTTAAGTACAGATTCCACCTCAAACTGAGTGCTAGCTACAATCCCACCACCAGGTATCTACCCAAAGGAAAAGAAATCAATATACCAAAAAGATACCTGCACTTGTATGTTTATTACAGCACTAGTCATGACAGTGAATCGACCTAAATGTCCATCAATGAATGAATTGGTAAAGAAAATGTGGTTTACCATAGAATACTATGCAGTCATAAAAAGAATGAAATCACACCTTTTGCAGCAACATGAATGGATTGGAGGTCGATATCTTAAGTGAAACATGCCAGGCACAGAAAGTCAAAAGCCAGGCGTGTTCTCACTCATAAGTAGGTGCTAAAAAATGTATAACACATGGACATAGAGTGTGGAGTGAAAGACAATGAAGTCTTGGAAGAGTGAGGGGGTGGATGATGAGAAATTAGTTAATGAATGATGGCTAACCTAAAAGCTCTGATGTTACCACTATGCATTCTATGCATGTAACAAAACTGTGCATGTACCCCATACATTTGTATGAATTTTAAAAGGCAATTCCTGTTATAAGCAGTAATTCCTATTTCCCACCAAACAAAACTAAGTGGTGATCCTCCCAAGTCAGTGGGCTGTGAGATGCCTACTGATGGAGTGGCCTGGACTCACATTAAAATAAGTACTTGGAAATCTTGTGGTGGACAAGGGAGATGCATGGCTGAGGTGCCCTTTCAAGGAAGAAATGCTTGCCTCTATTTGCTGAGAATACAGTTGGCACTCAGCCTTCAGCAGCCTGTCCCTTCAGGAACGGCTTGCTTCAGAGAGCCATGCCCCCAAAATCACACTCCTCCGGGGCACCCATGGCTACTAACTGACAGCTGCAAAGGTGAAAAAGCCCAGTCAGTGCAACACAACATGGACCAACCCTGATGGGCCTTTTCAGCTCCACGACTCCCCATGCAGTTGGCTGAGGCTACTATACCTGCACCAAAGCCCAGTTTCTCCCTCTTTCCAATCCTGCTTCTGCTCCTCCCTCCACAGATATCCCTCCCAAGAGCCACCCGGTAGGCACCCTGAGCACTAAACTCTGCAAAGTCTCTTCCCTGGCAAACCCTGACTGTGGCATTTCTTCTCACTCACCTCCCCATGAAGCAGAGCTCACACAGCCCTACTGTGGACCTCACCTCATTAGACATTGGCAACCTGCTACCTCCGTTAGTCAGAGAGCAGATCCATTCCCAAAGATTCAGAACTCCTCCAGGAGTCCAGAAACGTATTGTCTGAGTAGCATTTATGCAGTACTAGGCAAGGCATTGTTTCTGGTGATGCTGTATTCTGAGATAGGTTCAATACTGCTTAATCATATGCAAAAGAGAGAAATAAGCTAGTGCCGAATTCTGGTTCCCATTCTTTTGATCTCAGTCCCCAATGTAGTTACAGTTACTATAGTACCATCTGACTTGAACCGATGATTCTAAGTTCCATAATGTCAAAGAAGTCATATTTCAATAACACTTCCTACCCACTGCTAAAAATATTGTTTCTTCCCACACAGCCATTCCTAATGAGATATTACAAGCCACCTGGCACCCGGGGGAGTTCTTCGGCTAATTTTCTGTGGAGCCCCACATAATGGAAACTGTGTACAATAGAACCCTGTTGGATGCTGGCGTCAGGGGCAAAAAGAAGAGCAACATCACAGGCTACTTAGTCCTATAGGAACAACGGTCCTTGGCAACGTCATTCGATCTGCAGCATGACTCCAGGGTGAAACGTAGTAGAGTCTAAAGTGTTTTGCGGTGAACTCTCCAAATGAGGAGCTGGCCCCAGTGGCGGTTGCACTCTCCCCAGGACCTCAGCCTACCCCTCAGTTTCTGATAAGAGCCAGTTTGAAACCTGAGTAACTGCTAACTCCTACTGGATGTAAATGCATCTGGGACCAGGCAAGGCCTCCAGCTCAGCTGCACGACCAACCAATCCCAGCCACTCCAGAGGCCGCCCCCCTGCCACCAACAAATGTGCCTGCTCCCTGTCCCTTCCACGTCTTGTTAAATGCTAGACTGTGTTCTCTCCTCTGCATCTGTCATGTGCTAAGCATTGCCTCTCTGAGACATCCCCCTACTCCTCTTACCCAAGCTGGGTCAGTGCCCCCTCCCCAGGCTCCCAGGCTCCCTGTGCACCCCCATAGGTGTGCACGCCCGACAGGTGTCGTACACCCCTGCAATGCTGTGCTTGGCTGCCTGCTCTTCCTCTAGACTGTGAGCCCTTAGAGGCAAAAAGTATCTCTCTTCTCTGTACTCAGCACCCAGCACCATTCTAAGCACTTTAGCCCGATAATAATAAACTGATAAAATAACAAGATAAAATGCACTGGGAATGGAGTAATAAAAGTAAAATGCACTAGTGTAATCTATTGCTTCCCAGTAGAACTCCCTGTTTCTATTTTGGGTCTTACCCTGAACATTGTTAAGAAGAGTCCAGAGGGTGGTCCTAAAGAGATCACCTGCAGGATGCGCTTCTGCACTCTCCTGGGGCAGAACAGTCTCCAGGAAGAGCCTGGCAGCACGTGCCCACAGGTGTAGACATTCCAGTGTCTAGAGCCAAGGGAGGAGCTCCACTTTCTGATTAGAAAATGATGCCTCTGTGATCAGAAACAGGTCTGGGTAGAAAGTATTAGGTCTTCCCTCCCCCAAGCCCCACAAGGCCCTCCTATAGGTGAGGCACCTGAACCTGTAGGTGATGCTAAGAAAAAGAAGCAAGTGTGGCTCCTGGGGGCAGCAATGGTGGTCCCCCAAGGGACTAAGCAAGTGCATCAACTGTCCCTCTGCCCACCAAGTGCACCTCTGTTCTGAGCTATACCCTCCCATGGCCTCATCCACTATTCAGACCACAGTGAACTTGCAGAAACAGGGCAGCGATTCAAGCCCACGTTTCCGGACTCCAAATCCGGGGGTCTTTCCAGAGCTTTTAAATCAAATTGTTGGCTTAGCATTTCCTTCAAGGGTCTTGTAATCCTTATTAAAGCACTCCAGTTATCTTCCAGTTATCTTTCTTTCTTTTCAATTGCTGAAAGGAGAAATAATTTGTGGCTCTGACAGAATTCCGGATTTCACAGTCAGAAAAGTCAAAGCCGATTGCAGGCTGCAGTCCACCCAGCCTTGCACAGTGCCTGCCTGCACTCTTCCACTTGATTTGGGGGTCAAGAGAAAGCAGTGATTTACAAGTCATCCTCACCTGCCAGTGACATAGAAAGTCCATGAACAACTAGGCACTTCTCATCACTTAATTCCACTTTGAATTTCTGCAAGAAGAAGGTAATAATGATGGAGCTGTGACATGGCTGGTCCTTGTCTGGTCTTTAGTCAACCAGAGTCCTACAGGATATTATAAAATACATTTAGTTTTTAAGATGGAGTTTCACTCTTGTTGCCAAGGCTGGAGTGCAATGGCGCGATCTCTGCTTACTGCAATCTCCGCCCCCGAGGTTCAAGCAATTCTCCTGCCTCAGCCTCCGGAGTAGCTGGGATTACAGGTGCCCACCACCATGCCTGGCTAATTTTTTGTATTTTTAGTAGAGATGGGGTTTCGCCATGTTGGCTAGGCTGGTCTCGAACTCCAGACCTCAGGTGATCTACCCACCTCAGCCTCCCAAAGTGCTGGGATTACAGGCATAAGCCACTGTCCCCGGCCTAAAACACATTTTTTAAATGACTTCTCCAAAGCATCTGTAGCTCTGAAATGCAAGCCCCTGACAGAGAGGCAAGGCCAAGAAGCAATTTTGGTTTCCTTCTACCCATCTCTTCTAAATGGAGCAAAACTGTATCAAAGTCTCTCATTGCTAGGACCTTGTTTATAAATATGAATCAAGTCCTTCATTCTAACACATTTCATTTGGGCAACCTCTCCAGTCACTGCTCGACCCCACAGCCCCATGACAAAGGCCCCAGATGTACAACTGACCAAGAGCTGGCTGGATCAGAGACCCAGCAGGAGCTCATGGGGCCCTGTGTCCAGCTCACTCCTAGGTGGCGTTTGTATGTTGCAAGATGGGTCAGAACTGGAATGGAGCTGAGGAAGAGACCCATAAGATCCTGCTTTTACAGGGGACAGAATGCTTCCCAGGAGAGTGGACACTTCCTCTTCCCACTGGACTAAAATCTCTTCTCTGGTCTTTCTAAAGCAGCAGCAGCAAGCCCTAATATTTTGGGCTTTTATCTCCAGGTTCTTAGCACTTTTCCAGCCTTCAATACTCACAGTGGTTACTCCACAGAAGTGCAATATTGACTCAACAGCTGCTAGCTCTAGGATCTCAAGGAGACTCAAGAATCACACCTGAGACTGCTCCTTGTCCACTCTCTGCAGAATGTGTGCATGCAAGTCATCACTACATCCTGGTGGCATGAGATGGCAGAAGCTATCAGAGAAATGAAAATCAGTTGAGTGGGTTTGATGCCAGCCTTGAGTTTTGGCTGATTGGGCAATTGGGGCATGACTGGAAAATAAATCCAGCAAGAAAGTGCACACATTTTTAAGATCAGTCCCTTCTATCTTTCCCCTCAATTTTATAGGCTATGTACACAGTGCACCTAGAAAACGGAGACTCACATAACTGGAAATGGAACAATTCAGCAAAAGTCCAACTGATAGACCCTGGGCTTCTTCTTTAGCCCAGCCTGGAGCACTCTGGAAAGTGCCCAATGATTCCACCAGCCGACCTAACCGCTGAAGAGTGACAGGAGAAGAGAATATTGTTTTTTTCTAAAGAAAGGAGGTAAATAAAATAATAATTTACCACATGTGATAGGTAATTTTATGTGTCAACTTGACTGGGCTAAGGGATGCCCAGAGAGCTGGTAAAACAGTATTTCTGGGTATGTCAATGATGGCGTTCCCAGAAGAGATTAGTGTTTGAATTGCGTAGACTGAGCAGAGATCACCTCCACCAATGAGGATGGGCATCACCCAATTGTTGAGGGCTAGAATGGGACAAAAAGGCAGAGAAGGGTGAGTTTGCTCTTTCTCTCCTTGAGCTGAGACATCCATCTTCTCTGGCCCCTGGGATATGGGTGCTCCAGATTGTCAGTCCTTCAGATTCAAGCTGAATTACATGACTAGCTTTCCTGGTTCTCCAGCTTGCAAATGTCAGAATGCAGGCCTTCCCTTGGCCTCCATTATCATGTGAGCTGATTCCTGAAATAAATCTCATATATGTATATATACTCTTTCTCTCTCCTCTCTCTCTCCTCTCTCTCTGCATGCTCTCTCTCATTCTGTGTGTGTGTGTGTGTGTGTGTGTGTGTGTGTGTGTGTGTTCTGTTTTTCTGGAGATCCCTGGCTAATACACCTTGCATTAGCAATAAACTTTCCAGCATTCCAAAGTGATCCCACATTCATCATATTTTAAACTCACCTGGGGTAGTAAAAGTGTCTTTCTTACATCTGGCAGATGAAGAAACTGAGGCCTCAAGAAATTAAGTGACTTGCATAATGTCACATGGACTGTGACAGAATCAGGGTAAGAACTCAGGCACCTATTGATTGCATTGGTGTGAGCTCAAATAATAAGATTCTTCCAGCAAGGATGGTCCACTGGGTGACCTCACGACCATAAACTGCACATACTCATGCACCAGAAAGACAAAAGCAAGATACTGAATTCCCTGGTCCACCAAAGATTCAGTTCCCGTTAACATGACTGCAGGTGCCGAGCGAGTCTCTGGGTAGAATATCAATCACCAATAAATATCGCATCTACAGCTCTTACAACTTCACCTTTCAGTGAGCTCAGTTCCTCCACTTTCATGCAACTTGGATCTCCTCCTGAATGAAGTGTGTGGATGCCCTGGGTCTGTTCCCAGATCAATATGGCCAAACAGCTCCAAAAAGAAAAAAAATTTAGGCATCTTCATTATTATTTTCAAAAGCCTTGCTTCTCTAGAGAAAACACTCTTATTTCAAGATTTGACAGTCTGTTGATTGCCCACAGAAGAGGACAAAAAGTTAGAAGTTATTAATGGGTATCTCCAGGCAATTAAAAACACGCTGCCCTCAGATTCTGGTCTCTCCCAGACACCGTGTGCCAGTTGACAATTTTTCTGCTTCTGAAAAATAATGCGGCTTTTGCTGAAGTTGGTAAAATGGTCTATCAATAGGCAGATTATAGCAGCCTTCTGAAAAAAAAAATAACAGTGTCCTGTAATCTAACTACAGGCAAGACAGGGGCTTATGTTCAGGCAAGATAGTCCTGACACAGTGAGAACCCCAAGAGACCACTGGGAAGACACAGTGAAAACCTGTGTTTGCTGTCCCAAGGAATTGCAAAAAAAAAAAAATTTTTAGAAGCCTGCTATGAAATGTTTCAACCTCACTAGTTCAATACACTTAGTAGTTAAAAAAAAAAAAAAAAAAAAAGAGAGAGAGACTAAGGGTGGAGGGGGCAGGGAGGGTGAAAAATGTACTTAACAATGATAGAGCCAAGCATCAATTAGGAGCGGCCCCAAAAGACAACAAGATGTCAAGAGGAGAACCAGCCAACTGACAGATGGCCCTCCAGCAGAGAGGAAGCAGGACTTCTCCTAATCTGTGAATCCTGGAATTCGAAGGTTTGGACTTCAGCCTCTTTCAAACTCCAGAGAGAGCATCTCTACCACAGCCTTCCCAAGGTATTAGGAGAGACAGCAGCTGGATCTGTCAAACTTTCACTAAACAGTCTGCAAACCAGCCAGCCCCAGCTGAGACCGGGAGATAGCAACTATTTGTACACCTTCTTCCAAACGCACCACCCCCCTCCCTACCAAAATAAATAAATAAATATACTTGGCGGTGTTTCTTTTCTTATATATAACCTTTTACATCTCTCTCTCTCCCTGATCCATGATCCATTCCACCATGGCCCCTATCATCCCACTCAACCCAATCCCCAGCCCACAAGGAAGCCAGATTCTCCCATTTCCATAAATTCTTCTGGGACACACAGGGAGAGCAAAGGCGCAGAGCTCAGGGCTGGGACAGCAGAGCTCTGGTCCGCAGAGGGAGAGGGTGTCCTGGGCAAGGCTGAAGCTGCCGCGGAGCTGCCTGGCTCTGGATTCCATAATTAAAGTCACTGGGTGTTTGATCACCTCCTCGATGCAGAGTAATTAAAATCATTGCGCTGTTTGTTTTTCATTTCCTTTGATAAATGGTGAAAACTGCTAACGAGCCACGGCAGCGTCGTTCCACCTCACTCCCCCTTGGCGTCCCCGTTTCCAGGAGCATCCTGCATCTTTCCAGGTTGAGACTGACTCAGGAACTGCAGGAGCAGGGCTGGGCATTGCCAAAGAGTGGGGACTTGGCAGGGCAGACCCGCACAGCTGCTGCAAACGTGTATGAGGCTCACCTCTCAGAGAGAGCTGCTACCGTCCGTTCCAATGTTTAACGGCAGGAGGAGTTCAGGTAGGTCATCATTTTATAGGGAACACTAAAAGCATAATTCAGGCTGTTCTGTATGGCTTTTAAACACACACACCCTTCCCAATCCCTTATAAAAAAGGAGTGGGGAATGCCAGGCACAGTGGCTCATGCCTGTAATCCTAGCACTTTGGGAGGCCAAGGCGGGCAGATCATTTGAGGTCAGGAGTTCGAGACCAGCCTAGCCAACATGGTGAAATCCCATCTCTACTATAAATAGAAAAACTAGCAGTATGGTGGCATGTGCCTGTAATCCCAGCTACTCAGGAGGCTAGGCAGGAGAATCGCTTGAACCAGGGAGGCACAGGTTGCAGTGAGTCAAGATTGTGCCACTGCACTCCAGCCTGGGCAATAGAGAAAGATTCCATCTAAAAAAACAAACAAACAAAAAAAAAAAACTGGGGGAAATCCAGTCACCTTGGAGAAAATAGCCTCTGTAAGTTTCAGCCTCTCCCTCTAAAAAATGCGTAGAGTCATATTTGCCGTTGATTACACTAAGATGTTAATGAGAATTAAACAACGTGTTACCCAGGAAAGCGCTCCTCAAACCACAATGTCTACATGATGTCAGGAAGTTGCTGGCATTGTTCTTGCCTCCTTGCAACTCAAGAGTGGAGAAGCAGAGAGCTTGGCTGTTTCCCAAAGCAACTTAAGCCTCCCTAGTTTCAGCCAGGTGCGCTGAGGAAGAACAGGGAAGGGGAGGACGTGGGAAGGCAATGGGCGTTCCTGGGAAATTTCCGCTTCTTCCTCTGCAGCATGTCAGGTATGCTCTGAGACCTCATTATCATGGCCCTTAGGCTTGAGGCAGCCAGCAGAGCTTGCAGATCACAGACTGCTTTCCCAAGGAACTCCTTCCCCCCTAAATTTCACGTTCCCTATAATTGGGCTGTGAGGGAAATGAAGGCACCTGCAGAGGTGACTTCTGTCCCAGGAGTCTTCCCTGGCATCCCCTCTCTGTGGCAGCTGAAGTCCGTCCACCAGTGCAAGCCAGCCCTGCTTAATCAAACCGATGTCTGCAGGGCTCCAACAGAAAACCCTGAGGTCAGCCTTTCTTTGCCTCCAGAGAGTGCTAACCTACCCACAGATTACGTGAAATCATTTTGAAAGCACACATGATGTGTCCTCTAATTTTAAGTTCCAGGCTGTTTCTCAGACCCACAGGGACCAGGCTGCCTTCTGGCAGTGGGCAATGTTGTAAATGAGGAGCGGTTTATCTGCTGGAACACTAGATTTTGTCTCCCCTTCTGTCTACCTGCTCCTTGTGTCATCCACTGTCCTGGGAAAAAGATGTTAATAACCCAAACAAAGGAAAACGAAACCCAACAGCCTAGAGAAACAAAAGGAGAGGGCTTCCAATGGTGGAAAGTAATAACTGTTGAAGAGAAATGATTGTCCCAAAGCAACACCAGCCCATAAGAAAGAACACAAGCCTATGGGTGACACATCTGCCCTCGATGTGGAAGTCAGACTTTCCACTGTAGGACTCCACCCGTTGTCCATCACATCTGATTTTTAGTGTGATGATTCTCAGGAACACAATAAAATGTTTGAATTAAGGATTCTACCAACACCATCACTGAAAAAACATAGTGATTTTCTTCTGTTGTTTGGAAGAATCTGAACCTCTTGGAGAAAAGTGGGAGGTGGCCTGGGCATGAGTCAGGCAGCTGTACATGATTGAGGAGGAAAAAGCACAGGCTCTGGGGACACAGGCAGCAAGCTGTGAATGCTGACTTCACCATTCACTAGTCATATAACTTTGGGGAAATCATTTAATCTCCAAGCCTCAGTTGACTCATCTGTAAAACAGGGATAATAATAACCACATCATCACACTGTTACAAGGAGAAAAAAATATAAAAAGTACCCAATGGTTCTTGGTGCATAGTAGGAATTAAATAAATGGTCGCTACTATTATATTTATTACTACCAGTACTATTACTCTTGGTAATACCAGTACTGTTACTCAGGAATTGGGGGTGGTTGTATAATTCTTTATTCATTTCCTTCTTTAATTCAAAAATCCGTCCATTGTGGTTCCTGGTTCCACAAAAACAAAGTCGGCACCTACATCATTCCAGCCACCCCCAAATGACCTGCTTTGGAAATGACTCCAGACTCAGCAGCAAGGAGCTCTCCAAGGTCCCCTGCAGGTCACCGCTCTGTGTCCTGACAGATGGCGAGCCATGCGGGAGGACAAGCTGCTGTCAGGCTGGAGGTGCCGTCCCATCCCATGCCATCCCATCCCATGCTGGCATCAGAAGTTCCCGGGTCAGGCCTGCACAGCTGCCTAGAGACAGCCAGGAACCTAGCCTGCAAATCTAGGAACAAAGCTGGGGGCCAAGGGGCGTGGGAGGAATTGACAAAGCCTGTTAGCCTCTTCCCTGGCTCTGCACTGGCCTCAGGCCACTCTCAACACACAATTGCCCTGTTTTCATCATCTTCTAACCAAACAAACACAGCCAGGCACTCCACAGAAAAACAGGCTTCCCTTCTGCCTTTCTGAGTCCTTTCATTATTTACTCGTAACATATTTATAAGTAATGACATTTCCCCACCCACCTCTCTCCCACAGATCCAGGAAGAAAGAGTAACTTAAAATGCTAGAAGCCTCCCAAGAGAAAGAGATAAAAGATGTTCTATTTAAATCTCTTGGGTCCCAAAAACTTGCAAAATGATTTCCCAGGGATGCCACCTGTCCCCTGAAGAACACACACCTGCCTGGATTCTCAGATGTTCTCTTGTTCCTCCGTCACCCACAACATATCCCCAAGAAAAGGGTGGGGAGAGAAGACAACTTACCCAGATGGCATCACTCACTCTGTTCTCTCCATGTCCACAGCACCAAGACGGGAGAGAGGGATCAACATGATCTTTTATTATGTGCGTGTGTGTGTCTCATTCATGAGGATCTCCTTCCGTGTCTAGATCAGTGGTTGGCACAGAGTAGATATGTGACCACTATCTGCTCAATTACATAGCAGTTTATGTGCCTGGATATCTAAAGGGGCTCAAACCTCACTTGAGCCCAAAGAGTTCAACCAAATGCCATCAGCAAGTGTGCTGCCCCGGAGGCTTCCCCACCTAGTACCTGGCACAACCATTCACCCCGCTGCTCAGAATGGAAACCTGGGATCGCTCCTCATCCACTCCCTTTTCTTCCCACCCATCTGATCTATGAGCAGGACATGTCGCTTCGACCTCTGCAGTCCATGCTGAATCTGACAGTATGTTACCGTCCTCAGGCAGCACACCCAAGTCCTAAGCTGCCACTGTCTCTCACCTGGAGGACACCTGCCCTTCCTGCCTTCATCCAGACATCTCACAATCCATTCTTCATGCGGTCAATCAGAACCCGGCCCTCCCTTGCTTCAAGCCTGGAAATGCTACCTAGGCAATGAAAATAAACTCCAAGGCCCTCCGCTGGCCTGTGAGCCCCACCCAATCTGCACCCTGCTAGCCTCCCCCGCCACTCACTGCCCTCCTTCCACACTAGCCTTCCCCTCATCGACTGTGGAGCAAGCACAGATGAGGAATGTCCCTACAGCGAGCCCCCATCTGCACGGCCCAGGACTCCCCTGCCAACATCATTCTACTCTCCTTTCTCTGCTTCACAGGGCGGATCACTGCAGACAGTCATGGAAAGTCTCTGTTTATGTGTTTTTGTCTAACTTCCGCCCCCCAAAATGTAAGCTTTGTGGGGTAGAGATCTCTTCTATCTTATGGATAGCTGTATCCCCACTGACAGGCACACAATAGGCACTTGGAAAACATTTGTGGGCTGGCTAAATGAAGTGCTTTATCTAGAGCTGTCTCCAGTCCCTGAGTTCTTTCTCACTAAATTTAGTTTCTCACACTCGTGCATTTACAGATCACGTGGGGTGGGATTAAACTCCCCAGAGACATTACGTAAACCCTCACCTTATGCCTCTCCTTACAGTCCGGCAGTTACACATGTAAACATTCTCCTCATACAGAATATTCTAGGTCAGCACTTCTCAAGTTTTTTATTCTCAGAACGCTTTTATGCACTTAAAAATCATTGAGATTTCAAAAGGGCTTTTGTCTATGTGCGGCATATCTATCATTATTTACTGTGTTCAAAGTTAAAACTGAGAAATGTTTAAAATCTTTATTAACTCATTTTAAAATAAAAATAAACCATTACATGTTAATATATGTAATATATGTCTATAAGTTAACTATATTTTGGCCAGACATGGTGGCTTACATCTGTAATCCCAGCACTTTGGGAGACCGCGGTAGGCAGATCACGTGAGGTCAGGATTTCGAGACCAGCCTGGCCAACATGGTGAAACCCTGTCTCTGCTAAAAATATAAAACTTAGCTGGGTGTGGTGGCACATTGCCCGTAATCCCAGCTACTAGGGAGGCTAAGGCTGGAGAATCGCTTGAACCCAGGAGGCGGAGATTGCAGTGAGCCAAGATTGCACCATTGCTCTCCAGCCTGAGTGATAAGAGCGAAATTACATCTCAATAAAAGGAAACAAACAAACAAAAAAAAACTTAACTATATTTTAAATGCAATGTAGTATCCTAGGTTGAATCCTGGAACACATAAAGGATATATAATAGAAAAACTAATTCAAATAAAATCTACTGTCTAGTTAATAGTTGTGTACTAATGTTAATTTCCTAGTTTTCACAAGTGTACCATAGTCAGGTAAGATGTTAACACTGGGGAAAACCGAGTGAAGGGTTTATAAATACTCTTTGAACTATGCTTGCAACATTTTATTTTTAATTTTTAATTGACACATAATAATTGCACATATGTATGGAGTACCTAGTGACACTGTGATACATACAATGTACAGTGACCAGATCAGGGTAATTACCATACATACATATCTCAAACATTTATCATTTCTTTGTGTTGGGAACATTTAATGTCCTCCCTTATAGCTGTTTGAAGCTATACAATATATTATTGCTAACTATAGTCTTCCTATAGTTGTAGGATGTTAAATCAACAGAACTTCCTATAGAACACCCTATAGAACACCAGAATTTGTTCCTCCTATCTAGCTGCAATTTTTTATTTATTTTATTTTATTTTTTGAGATGGGGTCTCACTCTGTTGCCCAGGCTGGAGTGGAGTGGCAAAATCTCGGCTCACTGCAGCCTCCGCCTCCAGGGTTCAAGTGATTTTCATGCCTCAGCCTCCCAAGTAGCTGGGACTACAGGCGCCTGACTAATTTTTGTGTTTTTTGGTAGAGACGGGGTTTCATCATGTTGGCCAGGCTAGTCTTGAACTCCTGACCTCAAGTGATCCACTTGCCTTGGCCTCCCAAAATGCTGGGATTACAGGCCTAGCTATAATTTTGTGTCCTTTAACAAATCTCTCCCTATCCCCCAGCCCCACTGCCCCTCCCAGCCTCTAGTACCCTCTGTTCTACTTTATATTTCTATGATATTAACTTTTGTTGAGCTTCCTGCAACTTTACTTTAAATATAAAATTATTTTAAAATAAAAGGTTCATTTTAAAAAGCTGTATTTTTAGAAAAATTATGAGAAGAGGGACATGGTTTTTACATTTTTGCAAATCCCTTGTATGTCTGCCTTATTAAACGATAGCTGGATTTTCTCATCTGCATCTCTATTCAATCTGTTGTGATATACTGTCTTAGTTGAAGTATGTGAAGAGAATCCAGCTTCACACAGATATATAGTTGGAAAAGGGAAGCTTTAATAGCCTTATCAGGTAGTTATGAATGTTTTTTGTTTGTTTTTTCACCAAAACTTGACAAGGGATAGCTCCTTAAAGGTTACTTGCAATAGGCAATATGAAACCATACCAATGAACTTTTTGTACTCCATTGTAAAACTTCTTTTGGTGTATCTTGCACTTCAGAGAGATCCTTTACCCACCCATGATTTTGTAACATCATGCATTGGTAAAACTGTTCAGAGTTATGTAGATCTTCCAAATGTTGATACATTTCATTATATAATACCCAAAAAGAACACTCATTAATATCAACCATTTCATCAGAAAAGCCTTTAAGATTTGGGAAGCTGTCAAGTTCATCATGATGGAATTTTCCAAACTTTAACACAATTCTAATTTTTGCTTGAGTGATTGAATTTTATCACGGGCAAAAAAAAATGTGGTCAGTTATGTTCCTTGAAATGGCAGGCTCATTTCATGCCATTTTAAGAAAACGCCTCCCAAATATTTAAGTCTGAATAGCCATGGTTTGTCTACCAGTCATTTTTTTTCAGGTAAAAATGACATCCCATGAAAATGGCTCTAGGTCATTTCACAACTCAAACAATTGCATTAAGTGTTTTCCCCAAGACAATCTTTGTACTTTGGTAGGAGGCAGAAGTCCTTTATGTATGCTTCTCATTTTGCAACTCAGAATATTAAAAAGATGTGTTTTCAAGGTTGACATTTAATACAATTAATAATTTGTGGGCTGGGCGCAGTGGCTCACGCCTGTAATCCCAGCACTTTGGGAGGCCGAGCCAGGTGAACCATGAGGTCAGGAGTTCGAGACCAGCCTGGCCAACATGTGAAACCCCATCTCTACTAAAAATACAAAAAACTTAGCTGGGTGTGGTGGCAGGCACCTGTAATACCAGCTGCTCAGGAGGTTATGGCAGGAGAATCTCTTGAACCCAGGAGGAAGAGGTTGCAGTGAGCCAATATTTTGCCACTGCACTCCAGCCCGAGTGACAGTGCAAGACTCCGTCTCAAAAAAATAAATAAATAAAATAAATAATTTCTACCACTTCAGCAAGGACATTCCTAAGTAAAACTGGCAGTCTTTGTTTGTTTTTGGTTTCTTTTTACTGTGGGTGTGAGGCAGTTGCACTGATTTTCAGTGATTTGGTGCCATTGTCTTGATTTGGATGAAGGCACCCAGTTTCACCCATTTTGCTTTTACCTCATCAGTCTAAGCTTCAACACAGTGAAAAAGGCAAATAATGTTTTAACATCGTTAAGCAAGTAGTTTTGACCCGAGAGAACCTGTGAAAGTGTCTGTATTTGTCTGTATGATGCTATAAAGGAATACCTGTGGCTGGGTAATTTATAAAGAAAAGAGGTTGATTTGGCTCATGTTTCTGCAGGCTGTACAGGAAGCATGGTGCCAGCATCTGCTTCTAGTGAGGCTTCAGGACACTTTTACTCATGGAAGAAGGTGAAGGGGGAGCAGTGAGTCACGTGACCAGAGAAGGAGCAAGACAGAGAGGAGGAGGAGCCAGTCTCTTTTTAACAAACAGATTTCATGTTAACTCATTACCATGAAGAGAGTGCCCCCATGACCCAAACACTTCCCACCAGGCGCCACCTCCAATACCAGAGATCATATTTCAACACCAGATTTGGAAGGGACGCATAGTAAACTATATCAGAGTCTTAGGAAACCTGAGTGGTCTACGGACCTTATGTTCTGAACCACCATTCTGGATGACTTTCCAGTGAGATACTCCAAAATGAAAACATGTATTGAGCACTGACTTTATGTAGACACAATTTGAAATTCCTATAGAGAGTGAAGCTAGGACAGCTCAAAGGAAATGAAGACCAAAATACTTCCCTTTAAAATATAGTTATGCAAATAGCAGATTGGTAAAACAGCTCCGAGGAATATAAGAGAACCTCAGTGATGACAAAATGGAGGTTGTGGTAAGAATTCTAAGTACTGAAAGCATGCAGACTGTGGACCTCAGGGAGTCCAATGCATCAGGCAGAAGGGATTCCAGGAGTCCAGTCTTTCGGCAGAGTTAGCTCAGGCTTGTGGGTTTCTTCTTCCACCTCACTCCTGAGAATGGTCCCCTGACCTAAGAGGATCCCAAAGACCAAGGTCTCAGCCCACAGCCTGCAGGTGGAGCTGGCATGGATAAGGCAAAAGGATGGCAGGGAGGACAGGTGCACACAGCTCCTGGCAGTTAAAACAGTACGGAAGGGAAAGGCAAAAGCCCCTGCCTGGGTACTGGTAGTGGTCAATTTCTGCATTTGGAAAAGAAAGGAGGAGAAATACTGCGAGATACCCTAAAGGGCTAATTACAAAAGGACTAATTATTTTTTAAAGGACTCAATTTTTTAAAGGGCTAATTATTGTTTTCACACACACACACACACGCAGAAAAACAACAAAAATTGATTTAATGAAAGATCAAAATCCAAGGACAGGTAGGGCATTTTTGAGATGAAGTTTATGCCAAATGCATACTGTACACCAACAATATCTGAAACTCCCACAGCTAATTTGAACACAGTGGCATTCACGGGTTTTTGCAATCCCCCGCTGTTTGTGTTCATTTCAAATGACACTAGACTTCAAAAATTGGCCACCTGCCCACTTAACTTAGGCTCTTTGTAAACGGTGTGTCCAGACCAGGAGCCATTTGAGCCTGTATTATTTTTCTGACAAGCTGTGGTTTTACCCTGCAGAGCTAGAACATCCTGCATCCTAACGGAGCCCACTGGAGCCCATCAGAGGTGGTTATGGGCTTTTCTGCTGCCTGCTTTTGGCCCTAGTGCCAAATGACTCAAAACCCCTCTGGCTCTCTGTTGCTAGGCTCAGATGATTCCAAGCAGAGGGCCCAAGACATCTTTAACAGAGATAAAAACTGTCTCTCTCCACAAAACTCCACAGGTTCTGTAGGAGTAGAGAACCAAAGTGTTCCACTAGGTAGCCAATGCCCCTGGATCGAATCCAAACCAGGTCTCATGGAAACTGGGGCATTTTCCCAAGCAGAATTGACCAGTGACAAATCTTGGTGACAGTAAAATTTGTCCTTCAGTCCTACACAAGACCTACAGGTAGCTCTGTTCCACCAGCATTTGGTGTTGTCATTCTGTTCACCAAAACTTTTTTTTTTTTTTTTGAGACAGGGTTGCTCTGTTACCCAGGCTGGAGTACAGTAGTGTGATCATGGCTCACTGCAGCCTCAACTTCCTGGGCTCAAGCAATCTTCTCACTTCAGCCTCCTGAGTAGCTGGGACTACAGGTGCATGCAACCATCCCTAGCTACTTTTTATTTTTTATTTTTTTATTTTTTTTGTAGAGATGGGGTCTCGCTATGTTGCCCAGGCTGGTCTCCAACTCCTGAGCTCAAGCGATCCACCCACCTCGACCTCCCAAAGTGCTGGGATTACCGGCATGAGCAACTACACCCAGCCACCACCACAACTTTTTAAAGTGGGATCCAATTTAGTTATCCCTGCCACAAGACCCTCCCCCCGGTAGGGAATAGTACATGGGCCCCAGTAAATCTTGGTTCACACAGGCCCACAGGACAGGCAGAGGGGATGTACAATGAAGTTTAAATCATGCGGCTACTGATCTCTGCATTTGTGTTTGTCTTAACTCTCTAAACAGATGGCGAGCTTTTCTAATGGGGAACCATTAGGAAAGATGTGAGCGCCAAAGGAATTTAGAGATACTAAGTAGAGGAGAAAGAGTGCACTGCTAGATTTGGTGTCCTGAGAAGGTTTCATGGAGGAAGTGGAATTCAGGGGTCAGCGCAAAGATGGAAAGGGTTGGAAAAAGAAAGCAAAAGGAAGAGAGAACTCCAGGTAAGGGAGGACAGCATGGGCAAAGATGTGGACAGAGAAATTTGCACAGGATGGTCTGTGTACCACTTGGCAGGAGTACAGGTTAAAGCATGGAGGTAAATGGAGCTAATGTGAGAAAAGTAGCTTGAGGCCATAATATAAAGGAAATTGAATGTCAGACATCTGGGCACTGCAGAATCAAAGGTGATTATGACTACAGGCAGGTGGTAGCATAAAGCCAGGAGACATCAACCCTGAAGACCTCTTGAAGGATGAATCCTGGAGCATGTTGTCATAAAGGATGTCATATTTCCCCAGGTGACATTGGGAGATGGGTGGGCATCCCCTTTCCAGGGACAGGGAAGAGCATTTTGCATTCAGGGGCTGGAAGGGAAGGTGAAGGAGATGTGGGATGCTCTACACATGGCTGGCACCAGGTCAGGGAGATCTGGTCAGTAGGTGGTTTCCAGCATAGACTCCAAAGAGCACAGGAGCCCCGTGGATGAACCCCAGAGTCTGCCACTGGAAAGGGATTGCAAATGGGGATGGGGGAGAAGCTGGCCTCATCCATTTTTTAACCAGGCAAGCTCTGCTGTGAAGAAAGTGTTCTCCACTAAAGTCATAAATAATTAAAGGTTTGAAAATCCTGCTATTGGTGTTAGTTATTACAGATTTTCAGCAGCAAAAGATCGAGATGATCAGGAAGCTACCTGGGCAATACCAGGAGCCTGGTTACCTGGAGGGAGGGAGGCAAGTGAAGAGACCACTGCCTAGTTCAGACAAGTTGATAAAGACTGGGTTACAAAAAAGTATATAAGACTGGGTTACAACTGTAGGCCAAAAAAAGGAAAGAAAAACATGGATCTATAGTCCCAGCTACTCAGGAGGCTGAGGCAGAAGGATCGTTTGAGTCAGGAGGTGAAGGCTGCAGTGAGCTATGGTCATGCCTGAGAATAGCCGCTGCACTCCAGCCCAGGCAACATAGCAAGACCCTGTCTCTTAAAAAAAAAAACAAAAACAAACAGAAAAGATGGGTCTAAGAGACAATGTCAAGAAATGATTCTCTGGGACTTGATGGTTAATTTTACATGAAGGACCACAATGGAATTCCACTACACATTTGTTAGAATGATTGCAATTAAAAAGGCTGACAATACATAGTGCTGGGGAGGAGGCAGAGTCCCTTGAACTCTCATGCACTGTAGGTGAAAGGAAAAAATGTTTCATCCACTTTGGAAAACTGTTTAGAAACTTTTTGCTAATATGAAATATATATCTACCCTATCACTCAAGGATTTCACTTCTAGAAGTTTATCCAAGAGAAATAAAAACATATGTCCCCAA
The DNA here is from genome assembly GCF_000001405.40 of Homo sapiens. Classification (NCBI taxonomy): domain Eukaryota; kingdom Metazoa; phylum Chordata; class Mammalia; order Primates; family Hominidae; genus Homo; species Homo sapiens. The sequence goes on from NC_000008.11 coordinate 40,857,710, forward strand.
AAAGGCTCATATAAGAATATACATTGAAACTTTGCAAAAAAACTGGAAATATCCCATATGCACATCAACAGAACATGAATAACCACACTTTGGTATATGTATACACTGGAACAATTAAAAAATCAGCAACACAAGGAATGAACTACAAATATAAGGGACAATCTCAAAAAACATTATTATTGAAGCAAAAGAAGCCAGACATTACAATGTGCATACTGTATGATCCATTTATATGAAGTTGAAGGGCAGACGAGACCACCCTATAGGAGAGAAATAAGAACAATGATTGCCTCTGGGGAATGGGAGTTATTGACCAGAAAGGGGTGATGGAAAGGTTGTATATTTTATTTGGGTGGAGGGAATACAAGGTAAACATTTGTCAAAGCTCACTGAGCTCTACACTTAAGATCTATGCGTTTTATCGTATGCTTTAAAATAGACCTCAATACTTTTTTCACACGAGAAGACATGAAAACGGGAATGTCAAAGTGACTCAAGAGCTCCAACAGACAGACCGGAAGAAGAGATTTGCCACTAATGAAACAGGGAAATCAATGGGGGTGAGGCGGTGCTCATTTTCACCTTTTATGAAACACTCTTTATATTTTGCAACATTGTTTTTGTCTTTTGCCTCCTATTAGACCACAAGCTCCCTGAAGTCCCCTTAGTACAAGGCCATGTGCAAAACAGATCCTCAGTAACTGGAAGCTGGCTTGGAATTGAGATCTGGTGGTAATTTTCCTCTTCCTTCTGGATCCTAAGATTGACAGGTTTAATAAGCAAGTATATGGATGCATTAATGAATAATGTCAGGCTAAAGTGCTACACTGGCTGAGAAGATGGCTTCATTTCTTTGGGTCTTAGAGAGATTCAATGCCTTGACCCAGAGGAATGACTAACTGGAAAAATTTTAGGCTCCACGGAAGATCAGTCACAGAGCTAGGGTGAAAAAAGGTTCCCATACCCCTCGGTTCACAGGGCTCATTCCGCCAATGAAGAGCCCACCTCAGTCTTCAAGGTACTAGCAAGGTCCTCTCATTAGAGATTTCTTCTCCCTACTCCTCTCCTCTTCTCCACCGTGCTCATCTTCCTGCCCCTGGTCCTCCATATCAACATGATCAAATACAGGAAATCTGTCCATGCTCATTTGTACACGGGTCTTTGCCATTCCCTGGGAGACAAAAGGGGACCCTGCAGAACAGCCATGTTTACGATCCATGGTGAAGCATGTCCTGTCATCCTCTCAACATTAGGATGCACTTTGTTTGCACCTAACTAAACTGAGGAGACTCCAGAAACCCAAGGAAAGCCTCTGCCATCACCCTTGAGGAGCAAATAAACACTATGTAAATGCTGTTTCTTCCCCAGCTGGACCAGGGCTGCTGGCGCCTGCCTTTCCGGTCCTGACCTCAGCAACTTCAGAAGGATTGTGTGTTCCTGGGAAATTAGATTTATGCAAAATACCCAGTGAAGTCCTGTGCCTTCAAGGTGCCGTGATTCCCCCTGCCTCAGAAGCTGCAGAGGAGCCATCCCAGGTAGCTCTCCCTTGCAGGAATGCTGTCCCCACCCTTGTCAGCTGGTGACGAGGCTGCTCAGGTGACACAAATTCACAAAATGAAAGGCAATGCTCCTTCCTTTGCTTCTGCCCTTTTTCCATCCTCCTCCCCTGACAGGAGTGCATGTATGGAAACCCAAATCTTCAATCCCTCAAAATCCCTGCCGGTGGCAGTAGAAGTGTCTAGCAACGCACACACACACACACATGCACACACACACACACCCCTTAAGGATTCTGAGTTAATTATCGGACAAGGGGAATTACAGGCCCAGCTATTGCCTTCAGTGGGCTTTTAACATAAGCAAGACAACCCCAATTAAGGACAGAAGCTCCAGGTAAGAGGCAGTTTCTCCTCTACAAGTCTATACATGTCCCATCAAATGTCAAAGCAAATGCTGTGTGTGCACGTGAGAGATGCACTAATTGCCAATGGGCGGTGGAGAATGTAAATTACCCTGCAGTATAACCAAGCTTCTAAAAGAGCCCTTGATGACTATGAGCAGCCAAGTTAGGTCATGAGGGGTGAGTGGAAAAAAAAAAGGCAGGAGAGGTCACAGAAGTTCCTGTTTTGGTGTAATGAGATCAGAAGAGCAATTTCTGCAGCACCTCCTGGATCTACTTTCCAGTCTTACTACCCAAGCAACTTTAAAATAGAGAGAAAGATGTCGAGGTTAGGCTGAAGGAAGAGATTGTTAACTCTATTGAATGAAAAGTAACAAATTTGTATGTAATATGGTCTAGAAAAGGATTCCGTGTGGCCAGACCCATTAAGGACTAATCCCAGCTCTGAGAGCTGTGCCTGGAGCAAGACATAGATCTTTTCAGCCTCAGTTTCCACATCTGAAAATATGGAGAATAATATTTGCTTATATAGAGTCAGCGTTCAGTAATGACACCTGCCACAAAAGGCTGTTTTGTAGATATCTCCCAATTAAAAAGAAAATGATGATGGTTCTCATGGCTTTTACAGCCTGAGGGGAGGTTGGGACCACGAGATGAGCAGAGGCCAAGCTGGGACCATGAGATGAGCAGAGGTCAGGCTGGACCCAGATAGGATCCAGTATTTATCAAGGTCATTGCCACACTCTGTCCGCAGGATTTACAGGCATAATTAACATATTGATTAAAACAGACAATTTTTCACTTCATTTATCCAATATCATCTTAGGTCCTTCAGAGAATATAATATTCCTTTTCACCATGATATTGTTACATTGGACAACAGCAATATTCCTTCCTATGAGCTTCCAGGCCCACACATGAAGCTCTGTGAAGAGCCACAGGGTGAGAATAGCACCCAGCCATAGATCTGTGCGTTTGCCACCTTGGACCTTAGGATAATAGCTCCCAAATCTTTTCAGTCTATGGAGAATTTTGGCAGAGAACACAGACCACATACTACATGTCTCTCACTTGACTGGGAAGAGCTTCTGGCTTTACCCAAAATGGTCCACAGATGTTCATGAGCGACCCCTTGTCTGTTTGAAATGGGAGAAGCAGCAAGCATGGCTCTGCCTGGTCGTCCTGGAGTCTGCAGTCTGGAGGTGGAGAGCTACATGCAGTGCAATCGGACCAATGACTGACCAGGGGAAGCACCTGGCCCTATGTGAGCCCTTAGGAGGCTGTTGCACCCACCATCGGGAAGGCCAAGAAAAGCTTCCCAGGAGAAGTGGTGGGAGACAGACCCAAAAAAGGAGCAGATCTCAAGGTCATTGTCACTTCCTCAAGGAAGCCTGTGCTGACCACCCCTCCTAATCTAAATTCAGAGCTTCTGACACTCTCTTACAGTCCCTGTTCTTTCTCTTACTGATCATTATTGGTATTTACATATTAATAGTTCATGCTTCCTCCTCGATTAGTCTGAAACTCTGCTAGGGCCAGGGGGGACCCTGTCTCTTTTGTTTAGCAGCACTTGGTCCAGTACCTGGCACATGCTAAGTGCTCGGTAGGTATGAATTAGATGAATCATGACTGAGAAAACTCTCCTGAAAGAACAGCCTGTGCACAGCTACAACCATCTGATCTTTGACAAACCTGACAAAAACAAGCAATGGGGAAAGATTCCCTGTTCAATAAATGGTGCTGGGAAAACTGGCTAGCCATATGTAGAAAGCTGAAACTGGATCCCTTCCTTACACCTTATACAAAAATTAATTCAAGATGGATTAAAGACTTAAATGTTAGACCTAAAACCATAAAAACCCTAGAAGAAAACCTAGGCAGTACCATTCAGGACATAGGCATGGGCAAGGACTTCGTGTCTAAAACACCAAAAGCAATGGCAACAAAAGCCAAAATTGACAAATGGCATCCAATTAAAGAGCTTCTGCACAGCAAAAGAAACTACCATCAGAGTGAACAGGCAGCCTACAGAATGGGAGAAAGTTTTTGCAATCTACTCATCTGACAAAGAGCTAATATCCAGAATCTACAAAGGACTCAAACAAATTTACAAGAAAAAAACAAACAACCCCATCAACAAGTGGGCAAAGGATATGAACAGACACTTCTCAGAAGAAGACATTTATGCAGCCAAAAAGCACATGAAAAAATGCTCATCATCACTGGCCATCAGAGAAATGCAAATCAAAACCACAATGAGATACCATCTCACACCAGTTAGAATGGCAATCATTAAAAAGTCAGGAAACAACAGGTGCTGGAGAGGATGTGGAGAAATAGGAACACTTTTATACTGTTGGTGGGACTGTAAACTAGTTCAACCATTGTGGAAGACAGTCTGGCAATTCCTCCAGGATCTAGAACTAGAAATACCGTAAGACCCAGCCATCCCATTACTGGGTATATACCCAAAGGATTATAAATCATGCTGCTATAAAGACACACGCACACGTATGTTTATTGCGGCACTATACACAATAGCAAAGACTTGGAACCAACCCAAATGTCCATCAATGATAGACTGGATTAAGAAAATTTGGCACATATACACCATGGAATACTATGCAGCCATAAAAAAGGATGAGTTCATGTCCTTTGTAGGGACATGGATGAAGCTGGAAACCATCATTCTCAGCAAATTATCGCAAGGACAAAAAACCAAACACCGCATATTCTCACTCATAGGTGGGAACTGAACAATGAGATCACTTGGACACAGGAAGGGGAATATCACACTCTGGGGACTGTGGTGGGGTCGGGGGAGGGGGGAGGGATAGCATTGGGAGATATACCTAATGCTAGACGACACGTTAGTGGGTGCAGCACACCAGCATGGCACATGTATACATATGTAACTAACCTGCACAATGTGCACATGTACCCTAAAACTTAGAGTATAATAAAAAAAAAAAATTAAAAAAAAAAAAAAAAGAAAATTTGGCACATATACACCATGGAATACTATGCAGCCATAAAAAAGGATGAGTTCATGTCCTTTGTAGGGACATGGATGAAGCTGGAAACCATCATTCTCAGCAAATTATTGCAAGGACAAAAAACCAAACACCGCATGTTCTCACTCATAGGTGGGAATTGAACAATGAGAACACTTGGACACAGGAAGGGGAACATCACACACTGGGGCCTGTCATGCGGTGGGGGGAGGGGGAGGGCTAGCATTAGGAGATATACCTAATGTAAATGATGAGTTAATGGGTGCAGCACACTGTCATGGCACATGTATACATATGTAACAAACCTGCACATTGTGCACATGTACCCTAGAACTTAAAATATAATTTAAAAAAAAAAGAAAGAAAGAAAGAAAGAACAGCCTGTGCAAAGGACTAATGGTTGGAAGCAGGTGATGCAGCCAGTGCAAAGAAAAATCCATTCTGGTGAAGCAGAGGTCATCTGAGGGTGAGGAGAGTGGCAAGACCGGAGGCTGGAATAGCAAGCAGTGAGCAAGCCACGCAGCACCATGGAAGCCTTGTTGAAAGGGTCTGGGTGTGATCCCAAGGATGGCGCGGACCTCAGAAGAGCTTTAAGTAGGGGAGTGAGGTGATCTGATTTGTATTACTGTTGCTACAATGTGGAAAATGCTCAGAAAGGAGAAAAAAAAAACTGGTAAAAGCATGTAGATTAAACCATGTGAAGGATTATGGAGGGCTGTTCCAGAAATGGAGGAGAATTTGGAGAAGTGGAGGTACAAAGGAAATCAGTATGAAGTGGAATCTGCATGTCTTAGGCATCCTTTGATGAGGTAGCTAAAGGGAGAAGGAGAATCAAGAACTACCCTCTGGCACGTGGTGTGAACGGTGGTGCCTTTCACTGGGGCAGAGAAGAACACAAGAGGAGGTGGAAGTGGAGGCTGTGAGAAGAGCTGTAGATGATGGGTTCAGTTCACAACCAGCTAAGTTGAAAGTTCCTATGCAGCTTCCAGTAGAAATGTCCAGTACTAATTGCTTGGACCACAGCAAAGCAGCTCATAGCAAGATCTAGACAAGGGGTAGAGAGTTTTAAAAATCCATATGAGGACAGTCATTGATGAGGGGAATACACAAAATTACCCTCAAAATTAATTAGAATAGTTAACTTTCATGAGATACCAATTATGGAAGACCTTGTGAAAATCATTATGTCAGAAACCAAAGTAAAGCCATCTATCACCACTACTCATGCTCTACTATTCATATTTTACACACACAAGTTTATTACAACACTTACCTATATCAAAATAATTATCACACATTATTTCAATTAGATCATAAAGTCCTAGAAAATGGGAATGTACTTTTGTCCATATTTATCTCTGTATCTCCTGTGCCTCACATGGTGTCCAACATAGGGAAGGTACTCAGTCACCATGTGCACTGCATGGAATCTGATTCCCGGATTAAATAACTTTCTTAATTCTTTTCCCAATTAATGAATGCACCTGACCTGTGCTTGGATGGACGTAAACCAGAGGTGGGTGTTCCCGGGTTCAGGAAATCTGGCCCATTTCATCTTGGAGCAGAAAGAAAGGCATTTGCCAATCTGCCTGAGCCACGAAAATCAGCAGGAAATGACCTCGCCTGGGATTCCTCTTTCCTTGAGAGTTTCCTGTTCTCCTCTTACTATGCTGGATGTACACCCTCAGATCTGATATTAATATGTCACTAGAACTTTGCATAAATGAAAGCATTTTTATTTTAAAAGCAGTTGGAGAGAAGTTGAGAAAAGTGGGTCTCTAATGCTGGGGTGTCACGCAAGATGGTCTGAGGATGACAGGTGACCAGGATGGCACACCTCAGGTCCTCCCTATGTAGGTGGGAAAAGATGATTCTGGCAGCTAATGCAATGTGGTAGCAGGGACAAAAAAGTGAGGCATCACACATACCCTGTGTGGCCTGGGTACTCACCCCAGTTGTGGCAGTGATGAGCTGGTGATGACATCATGACCCCAGGTCATAAAGGTGCCACAGTGTCTCCATTTTAAATTCTTTGTCTCAGTGATGACAGTTGGGTTGTGACCTACCCCAGTGACTGGTATTTTTATGCACTGTGATGGTATAACTTTAAGTTCAGCAAAAACATAGAGAGAGCCTCTAGCATGTGAGGAGATGGCTGTAAAAAGTCTAGCAAATTATATTTCCCAAAACCTGAACTATATGTCATAACATTTCAAAAATTGAAAATGTACTGAAGCTGATTTGGATATAAAATTCCAATATTTATGAGGTACGAAGTTCCTAAAAATATAAAATTCAGAAAGCTTTTATTGAAATGCTTACTGAAATTCTTCCTCTATTTAGGAAGTCAGCTTTTTAAATAAAAGGGTGACATTGCACACAGCCCAGAATTTTACTCAATGAATTCTGTGCAAGGTCAAGCAAAAATGTGAAATTAAATCTTACTGGCAAATTTTGATGCAAGATTCCCTTTAAACGTACGCTTTTTGCACGGACATATCTCAGCAAAAGTGAGGGCTGAAAGAATCAACCTTTTGCTGCATTCACACATTCTCAACGGCTTGTAGCAAGAGTGACAAATGCCACTTATTCTCTCGCTTCGGAGTATCACACAATGTTTTGCCTTACAAAGTCCAAGACAAAAAGGAAGACATGAAAGCAAAATACAAGGTGCAAATACAAGCCACGACTGATATCCCTCTGAAAATGTCACCTTCCAGAAAAAAGAAATCTTCCCCGAATTCGGCCTGCATCACCACTGCAGCCTGTGCTAGGCCGTGCAGATCTGGGCCATGGAGAGGAGTTGGAAATGACCAATGGCAGAGGGATCTTCCAGGCAGGATGTGGCTTCAGCCTCTGGGAAACCCTATGAGTGAGCCCAGGCCTCTCTGCTCCAGAACCCTCAGAGGATGGACAATGACCATCAACATCCATCTGCCATCTGTGCCATGCTGCACAGCCAGCTGGGGGATTGAAATACACGGTCTGCTCTCCCCAGCAACCGTGGTGGGAGGGATTATGCCTTTTATATTCTACTGGCACTCAGAAGAAAACTGGAATTTAGAATGTTGGTTACCTGCAATCACACAGCCTCAGTTTCTAAAGCTGGGACTCGAACCCGGACTTTTAGACTCCGTCTTCTGCTGTTTTCACTGTACTACGCAGAATGTGGAGAAGTTTGGGCCCTAAGGGACATTCTTTCTTCCCCCCGCCATTTGCTAAACAGCAATCTGATCGTCCCAACCAATTTTTAGATTTTAGAAGGCCAAACCAACTAACTTTCCAGCTGCTCAAAAGAAAAGAGAGCTACGATGCAAGCGACTGGATTCGACAAAGCCTCGGCCCCAGGAGTGCCCTCTGTGTGCCAAGTGCCAAACAAGCTTAGTGCTTCTGAATGTCTCCTGGCTGAAAGCAGGGATCAACAATTCTGTTTAACAGCCTTCCTAGAACAAGGCATTCCGAAAATACACTATCACCAACCCTGACCTTCAAGGGCCCCTAGAAAGAAAGTGATTCCTTAAAGTTCTTTCACTTGAATTTGTATCTATCACTAAACCAGGGATGATGGCTGCAGCTGCACTCCTTTGCTTTAGTTCTATATCTTGTCTTTCTGGTTTTAAGAATTGGTGGGCACAAGAGGACTTAGGGCTATGGGCACAAGGGTTCTGCACACAATGCTGGTGCCCCAGGGCTGGCACTGGGACGCCCCAAATGCCACATTGTGAGCAGAAACATTTCCGCTAATAGCTGGTGAATGTGCGTTCTGAGCCCACTGGCACCCCAGGCACGTTTCCAACAAACAATGTGGCACACATAGGAATTCATCCAAACCAAGCAAAAATCACTTAGCTTAATAACGCTGCCCTGATTTAATTTTAACTTTTCATAAAGCATGAAAGATGAGTGGGGTGTGCTTGGTGTTTTATAGATTACTGATGAGACTGGGCTCACATCTGGCTGTTTTATCTTTTTTTCCCCCTAAGTTCCTAAAAGAAGAGGGTTAGGAAAGGAAGTTGATGAATAATTAAGAGGAGGGCAACACCTGCAAAATGTGCAACCAAATGCAAGAGGGAGTTTTTGCTTCTCTCTGGTGTGTAAATAGCTGGCAAGCACCCGGGGAGTCCTCGAGTAAGAAATTCAGTGCTGTGTATGTGGATATCCAACAGGATACACATATAAACATGCATACACACACATGCATATGCATGCATGCATGCAACATGTGAACATATTTATACACATACATATGGCATACAAATCCCCCTAATCTACATTTAGACAGCACTCGGAGGGCACAGTGAGCTCAATGGCTAGCCACAGAATGACTAAGATCTGCAAGAGCTAGACTGGTATAGATGCTCTAACTAAGTCATCCTTAACTCTTCTCTTTCTTCTTCTCTAACTTCAAAATGTATCCATCTCTTTTCACCATCTCTACAGCCTCCACCATTGGAAGGCAACATCGCCTCTAGCCGATGTTATTGCAATGGATTTCCCCCTAGACCTTCTGCACCTGCATCTTACCCCTTAGGCAGGGGTGTGCAATCTTTTGGCTTTCTTGGGCCACATTGGAAGAATTGTCTTGGGGCACACAAAAAATACACTAACACTAATGGTAGCTGATGAGCTAAAAGAAATATATATATATCATAATATTCTAAGAAAGTTTAAGCATTTGTGTTGGGCCACATTCTAAGCCATCTGGGCCACGTGCAGCTGGTGGGTTGCAGGTTGGACAAGCTTGCCGTAGCGTCTGTTTTCAAAGTGATCCTGGTGAACATAAGTCAGATTATGATTCCTTTGCTCAGGCCTCCCCAGTGGCTTCTCAGTTTTCTCAGAGTAAAAGCCAAAATCCTTGGAGTAGCTGCAGGGTCCTGCATGATCTGCACCCTCCACCCTCTGCCTCTTCGTCCAAACCATTAACTCTCTGTCCTCATTCCTCCACTCCAGCCATACCAGCCTCCTTGCTGCCTCTCACATACAGCAGCACAGTCTGCCTTGAGGCCACTGGATTTGGCATTTCCTGTCCCTGGAAGTCTCCTTCTCAGATGTTCACACAGCTCAATCTCTTTCACTTCCTTTGAGTCTTTGTTCAGTTGCCACCTAACCACCATCTGTAGGATTCCATTCCTCTTCTGCAAACCTTTCCCCAGACTTCCCAATCCCTCTTCTTACTCTGTTATTTTCCCACTCTGCATTTATTATCTTATAAAATACTATAGAATGCAGTAAACCACCATGGCACACATTTGCTTATGTAACAAACCTGCATGGCCTGCACATGTATCCCAGAACCTAAAATAAAATATAAAAAAAAAAAATTAAAGGATTTGCCTAATTATTTTTCTGGTTGTCTCCACTTAGCAGACTGTAAGTTCCATGATGGCAAGGATTTCTGTCCTTAACTGTACCCCAGAGGCAAGAATATATTAGCACAAATATATTAACAAATACATTATGGACATATATATGATATATAAATAACACATATCCATAATATATTTGTTGAGTGCAGAATGAACAAATGTTTTGCTCTGGTTTGCAAGTGTATTTACATGGAAAAAAAGCCATTTAGGTTTCCATTTATAAATCTCCTGTATTCAAAATAATAAAATTAGACAAAATCAAGAGGACCACAGGATATCAGGAGACAGAGTGCTGTGCGGGCCACAGCAGCTTGGAAACCTACATTATATAAGGAAAACAAGCCATTCTCCTCTGTGCCTGCAGCTCCTTGCAGCTCCAGGACTCTGCCTGCAGGAGCAGCTAAGCCCTGCTACAGAACCACAGGGGAGGAAGTAAACCTGGCACCCCACCTATGTCTGCACTGTCTGAGGGCTTATCCCAGCAGTTTCTCAGGATACAACATCTCACTACCCTAGGACCAGGGTCAAGAAAGTCCACCCACCACAGACTGCACTTGGGCACCAAGGAGGGCTCAGTGGCAGCCAATACAAGAAAACAATAGGAAAGAAAATGAGTGGGTTGGAATTATTAAGGCAGAAGAGGGTCCAAGGTCACCTGACCTGTCTACTCTCTTCTCCCATCTTCAAGCAAAGATTATCACAAATCCCCCCTGTTCCTAAAGCTGACTGGGTGATCTCTAATGCTGCATTCTTGCCTTAACAGGCTTTTGAGAAGTGCCTGCCCGTGCCTCTCCACTGCCTGGCTGCCACCAAAAGCAGGCACACCAGCCAGCCTCCCTGACTTCAACTCCACTTGTCTAGTTCATACTGCACACCCCCGCCAGAAGATTCACAATCTTTAAACACCATCACTGCATGTGGTGTCCCTATTTTAAAATCGGCAGTATTGCCCATTATACCAAACTGCAGTGCCCCTTCCTGATCTCACAGTCCTGCAGGGATGGGCTGCATTTTCTCTACCTGTCCAACCCTGTTTGCTATGAATCCCCCAACCTGAGCCCACTGGTTTAGACGCTGTTCTTCATTCCCTCACATTTCCCATGTCTGGGCTTGTTTTCTCTTCTATTCACTTATGTTTGTATTACTCCCTTTACCTGGAAAGCCCACCCTTTAGACATATAAATATGAGCCATGCTTCTAGAAGATCCAGACAACCTTCATCTTCATCAAGAAACTCTACTTATCTTATGAAACTTTACACCACCTCGAGTCTGCATAACACCACTGTCTTATAGAATATTAGTTGAGATCCCCAGTGAACATTTACCAATTGGCTGGTGTCTATTTCCCTTACACTGATATCTAAGGGGATTTTTGTTTTGTTTTGTTTTTGTTTTTTGCCCACAAGAAAGGAACATAATGCTGGGCTTTGGTGTCGGACAGATCTAGACTAAAACCTCCAGCCTGCCAGGCACTATGGCTGGATTTGGCTAACACATGTAATTTCTCTCAGTCTCAACTGCATTATCTAGAAAAGAAGAATAAGAATATCTACATCACAAGATTATTAGAAGAACAAAAGGAGAAAAGGAGATAATCTTGAAGCTCTATTAGGGCAGGGATTTTACCACGTCCACCTGAGTGCCCAGGACAGTAACTGACACTTAGTCCTTCACAATCACGAGAAAATGTGAGTGAATCATGTGCATACAATTCCTCGAACAATACCCAGTGTTATATCCTCAAAAAGCAGCTATTCCTGACGTCTTATTCTTAGGCAACTGAAGAACGATGCATGACCACTCAGTGAAGAGTTCCACACACCTGAGCACCATTAGCAGGGCACCGATCCGCCTTCTCTCCTCCTGGCTGAGACAGCATGGACTTCTGGGTTCTTTCTTACTGTGCTTGTCCCCTGATCTTTTCTTTACCATCCTTAGGCATGTTTCCAATTTTCCACATGTTGGGGCTCAGGACACACCACCCCAAAATATGATAGCAGGAGACCAGAATATGCCACCCCAAAATACACTTCTATAGCATATTTTGGGCTGGTTATTCTAGGAAACTGCAGACACAGGAGTAGCTCTGAAAAGATGTCCTTTTGTAAAATAAATGTACACCTATAAAGGAAATCTGATGAGTGAATGTATCTGTACCAGGAAAAGGGCTGCTCCAGACAACTTTTATTCCCTAAGAGACTTTTTACCTGCACAGCAAGACAGCCTTTGTTCATCATGCATTTCCTCCCCTCGCCCTCCAGTGGCTGGTTGTGGCCTCCCCTGGAGGCTCTGGCCCCTCTTCCTTTCTGTAGCCCAGGACTCTGTATCAGCTTCAATCATCTGACCCTTCCTCAAGTCTCATATTTGGTGGGACTCCCATGTGTATGCATGTAATTAAAATGTTTTTTCTCCTGTTAATCTGTCTTACGTCAGTTTAATTTGTAGCCCAACTAAAGAACCTGGGAGGGCAGAGAGAAGCCATTTTTCCCTCCCCTATACACACAGCTTAAAAATTAAGAAGTCTGATTAATTCTAGAAGAGAAGATTATCCTTCCCTAGAAGTGAATTATTTATTCCAGTTGCATCTTTCTTGTGTTGCTAAAGCCCTCAGTATGTTTCTTTCCTTACGTGTCCTATGTCCTCGTACAAGACTGAGAATGGATTCATAGAGCCCAAGAATATTTCTGGCACCAACATGTCCTTCAAACACCAGGCACATGATAGAGGCTGAAAAACATAATTGCTGAGTAACTGAATAAAAAGAGGCAATTGACTCAATAAAGCCATTTTATAACTGTGGACCTTAACAATTCAAGGCAGAAATGGGTCTGCATTGAGATTTTGCAAATAAAGCAGAGATTCCCTTACCAGGCTAAAGAAGAGGATGCTGGAGCCACAATGTCAGCAGCTGTTGTGTCCTGGGTCACTTGCCCATTTTGCACAGTGGTATGAGTGCATGTACATCACTCTTCTCTCTCTTTACCAGCTCCCTTATTTGTAAAGCAAGCCCCATAACCTCTTCAGTGACCTTCAAGGGAAGTTGCTTGACGAATGAGACCATTCACTTGAGACATTCTCCATCCCCAAAGGAAAGGGCTACTCTATGGGAAGATACATGACTCCACTGCCCACTCATTCAGGTAAAGACAGAGCTTGTGCCTTCCTGCCCCACAGAGACATCAGGCACTAGTTTCTCTTTTACAAGAGTTGCTACAACATTTGCTTAAATATGCTACAGAGCAAATAAAGAGGCCCAAGAAGAGAAGATTAGTACAATTCTATGAGTGCACAATGTCCAAAGACTCCTTTCCACTTTTCATTTCACCTTCCCCTCCTCTCCCTATAAAGCTAAATCTTTCTTTTCTCTTTCCTCCCTACTCCATCCCTACCCACTCTCAAGTCCAAAGGGATGTGGAGAAAATAGACACAATAAGGCTGAACTTCAGGCACCAGAAAAAAAGACAGCCATGTTTCTCTAACTTCATATCCAGAAATACCAAAAGCATAAAGTTGCAATATACAAGGAATTCTCAAAATCTCCACTGAGCTGCAGAGAAGGCTGGGGCAGAAGGGAGGCAAGGGAGTAGTGGGAAAAGGCAGGGAAAAAAGAGATTCCCAACCAGGACATGGAGCAATGAAGGGTACCATTGCCAATAGTGAGTTTGGTCTTCCCAAGAGGAATAAGACAACCCACCCGCTAGCTAGCCCAGGACAGCACTGAGGTGTGGACTCATCCTTCATTGACAGCATGCACAATTTCCCTTTCAGCACTTCCTCTGCAGGGAAGTCTGTCTCTTCCACCACGTGGCTCATTCCCTCATGCTCTTTTCTCCTCTATAAAAATGCGCTCTCAGGAAAGGATTTGACAAACTACCTCCTGATGAGTTAAAATGAGTTTCCACTCCTAAATATACTGGTTTTTCAGCTCAGATTAAAGCTTAATGTGAAAGAAATTCATCTCAAATTTTAGACTTTCAGGGAAAAACAGGGGACTTGATTTCAAAGTAGAAGAGGATATCTGAAATCAGGGCCAACTGACAAATTCAGAAGTTCTGGCAGCTGCAGCCATCAGCCACAGGGGAGGGAGTTTCTGCTTGGAAGTGGGGAGCACCTTCCAGGACCTCTGAGGTTGCACTGACTGAGGAGCTGCTCAAGCAGCTTCTCCACTCCCATCACATCCACCGTATTCACAAGTGTACATAGTCACACACATGTGCATGCACACACGCACACACTGAGCAGGCAAGCCTCTGCTCCAGGCAGAAACAGTATCCCACAAGGAAGAAGTCTGAAGGGGGCATCCCACAGAGCACCACCAAAAGCTGCCCAGCCCTCCAGGTGCCAGCGGAAACATCCTTCCTTCAGACACAAGTCATGTCACAGGATGTGGCTGTTGCTAAGTAACAGTGACTCCCCCTCCCTGTAGGCCTCGGGGGCCCCAGTACCCCCCCCAACCCTGGAGAAGGAGAGTAAACAAGCTGGGAAATGCCACCAGTGTGCTCTCAAAGCTCCTGTCCTGGGCAGGCAGGCACCTGTCCTCTCTGCCTTAGTGAGCTGTTGGGGGTAAGGGGTGGGCCTTAGGGGGCCAGGGGGATTGCCAAGGGTGGCACAGTGGATCAAAGGTGCTGGTGACAGCAGAGTACTCCTTCCAGCAGTCCCTCACTCCACACCCCCTCAGATAATGCCCGAAGTAAGCTGTCTGCAACATTCTGGGTGCTTAGAATTATAAGACAATTATCAAAAAGACAACACTGGATTTGAACTCGGGGGGATGGTTGATGCCAATTGGGGTAGGGGGTGGAGGGGCCCAAAGGAGATTTTGCTTGTCTTTAGTTTTTGTTTTTAGTTTTTGTCAGCTGTTTTGGAATTTAAAGGGAAAGAAGTGCTATTCCACACAGCCCTTAACAAAACACAGACCACTAGAGCCGTCAGCAGGGTTCAGTCAGCTCAACCCTCTGTGGACCAGCACAGCAGAAACCATGGCCTCCAGGATTCTAAATAATCAGGGCTTGTCAGTACCAATAAGCCTCAGTCTCTGAAGCCCCAAGAGGTTAAAAAAAAATTATCCATGCAAGGTGACAGAGAGATTTAGATGAAGAATCCTTGGGAGGAACAAAGGGGGCAACTGCAGCTTTGAGGGATGTGTTGCCTTCAGCCCATCTGAGAAGCCCCCTGTGTCACCTGATTGGCAACCCAAGTCCCAAATCAGCATTCCTTGGATGCACTGCCACATGTGCACAGAAAAGATAATGCTAATGTTGCTTCCTATTTGTTTTTCTGGCTACAAAAATGCCCACTTATCAGGATTTAATGGCTCTCAGAAATAAAGCTATTTTAAAACATTATACAAAATGCAAATGAGTCACCGAAAGCTGTTGCCATGACCTTTCCTGTGGCAGGGCAGATGTTTCCAAATCAACGACAGCCTTCTGTGATGGCCCCACTCAGTGCAGGGATTCCTTGACTTGGCCGTGGAATGCTCATCCCTCACCCTGGCTTTGGGGAGTGAAAGACCCCAAAATGGTGCATGGGTCCCTTGTTTTACAGAGGAGTCTCTGTGACCTTACTAGGCAAGATGGCTTCTCCTTCAAGAGGTTGATTCCTCAGTCTACCCATCTCTGATGACAAAGCTAGGTCATCCAGCAACAAAGGAGCCCCCACACCTGCCTGCCATGCTCTGCCCATGGAAGATCTAGATTCACAGGATCTGGTCAAACAAGGTCACCCCACAAAGTAGTCCCAGAGGATCTTAAAATGGTTTCACTTCATCAGCGGTTAGGACATGTGACCTTTTGGAGAACGTCCGTCCTCCTCACTATTTTTAACTTCTATTGTTTTTGATGATGTAAATTCCATTCAGACAACCTGAGCTTTCCACCCTGGGATGCTGGTGAGAGGGGGTGAGGACCTTAATTAACATTAACAGAGTAAGCCCAGCGTGCGTGATCCTGTTCAACTCTCACCACAATCCTACTGCTCCCATTTGAGATTAGGGAAAAGGGAAGATGATGAGTGACTCTGTGGGATTTGAGCTGCATTTTCTCCTATCAGAGGTCCTTTCCGCCAGGAACACACACTCAAGCACACACTCATCTTGCTGCTTCTTTTCTGTAACTTCCGCCCCAGACACTACTCCCTATAAAACACTCAGACCTGTTGTCAGCCTCTTTCATGGCTTAAGTTCTGAGCACTCAGCACCCCAGTGAATGCCTGCTGTGCCCAGTGCTCCTCCAGAGGCAGAACTGGTGCCACCCAGTATTGCACCCACACTGGCCACACCCGTCACGTCCAGCTGTGGAGATCAGCACTGGGCATTCTTTTGCAGAGAAGAACCTCCTGGCAAGAGTTAACTTTGGGGCTCACCTGAAGATGGTGGGTGGTGGCTATTTAGTGGGTTCTGAAGAAAGTGTTTGTTTTGGTTAACAAATGGATATAATGTATACTGGGAGTAAATGTCAGCATTCACCTTAACCCTTTCCTACTTCCCCAATGGAATGATCCACCTGCCTCGAATCTCACAGTTGGGTCTCTGGCACACCCAGAGAAGAGCAGTCCCTAAACTACACACATGCATCTTTCCCTTGCTTCCCCTTCTCTCTCACCCACAGGTGAAAATTATGAAAATTCTGCTTTATACTTAGAATGTGTTTCTCTGTAGCCCTCTCAGGGCAGGTAAGCATACCCAATTTAAGCACAATTTATTGATGGTTACACTTTTGCACCTGGATGGTTTCTGGCTATTGGAATTTATTTTAGTAGTTTTATCTGAACAGTGGCCCAAGCCCTTTCCTAATTATAACTCTTGGTCTGAGCTGATTGGACTGCAGCAGGCGTGGTTTCGGACATGGCTTATTTTAGTAAACAACATCAAAGAAGGCAGTGATGGCTGGATTCAGAATTCAATGGAAGAAAAATGCCTCTCCCTCTTCCAATTTTCCTACTGATTTCCAGTCTGTAGCACATGGCGCACTCCAGAATGTCAGGGAAGGGCAGGTGAAAGCCCCCCCAAAATGCACATATGCTGGCCAGTCCTCCACGGGCTGTATTTGTTGGTACCTCACCCAGGAACTGTCCAATATAACCCCTGCAACATCTGGAGAAGGCATTCAGACATCCAGGGACAAAGCTAGATGCTTGCCTCTCTGTCTATTCCTGGCCTTCAGAGTTCTAGCTCTCCCTGGTGGATCTCTGGCTTCCTCCTGGGCAAACATAATTGACCCCTTGAGTCCCTGCCCACGTGTCCCCTCCCATAGTACACATACAAACTCTTGTCCAGATGTGTGTGCTCAAATCAAATGTACCACTGGACTGCATCTTGCCTTTACCCAGGACCAACCCCCCAGGTGTGGTGACTGCAGGTTTAAGACAAGCGCATGTTGAGGGGGAGACAACAGACGAGCTGATAAGCTTGTTGTTGTTACAGGGGAATTGGTTGAAAAGAAAGAGTTAATAAGCATGGGTGCAAAAGGAACTGACAGTCAATACAGCATATTGGTGCTTGCAGCCACCCCCCTACCATCTTGGCAACAAAAATACCAGTTATTGCCTACAGGATTTCCAAATTGGAAAGAACAGTGGGAAAGCAGGCTAGAGTGTGTGTGGGGTGTGGTATCTTCATGGGCCATGGGGGTGGTGGGTGTGTGAACTGACAGAGTCAGCGCTTCAGCCCCAGGGCACCGCCAAGCCCAGGATGGAAGCTGAAATGCAACTGAGGTCATGCTACTCCCCCAGGAAGTACAAGTTCTGCCCACAGTGCCCGGGCCGGTCAGGCAGTAAGACGATGGAGGAGGTCATTGGTCCGCCCTTCTGTGCATCCATCTGGCCCAGGACCCAACCCCCCTGAGACTTTCCTTGTAGGTGTCCACGATTGTGTTGAATTAGAAGAGCTCTGTACCAAGGGGAGGCCAACAAGTGATGTGGGAATGGGAAAGACGACGGATATGTCATGGCCTTGAAAATGGCTATTAACCCACTAGACCAAGGGTGGCGACAGGCTGTTCTCCACCAGCACCACAGAAGAGGAAATGGGCTTAGCTATAGTAAAGGGATTGGGCTTGTAGAATTAAATCTGAAAATAATGTGAATTGTGGAACTCACTCCTTAGTGAAAGCAGGGGGAAAGAAATACAGTTGACCTTTGAACAGGTTTGAACTGCAATGACCCGCTTATTTTCTTATTTTCTTCTGTCCCTGCCCCTCCTGAGACAGCAAGACCAACCCCTCCTATGCCTCCTCAACACGAAGACAATGAAGATGAAGACCTTTATGATAATCCCTTCACTTAATGAATAGTAAATATAAATAGTATATACATTTTCTTTTTCTTATGATCTTTTGTTTGTTTTTGAGACAGGGTTTCACTCTGTGGCCCAGGCTGGAATGCTTTGTGGCATGATCATAGCTCCATAGCCTCCTGGGCTCAAGTGATCCTCCTACCTCAGCTTCCCCAGTAGATGCAACTATAGGCAGGCGCCACCATGCCTGGATACTTTTTTAAAACATTTTTGTAGAGATGAGGTCTCGCTGTGTTGCTCAGACTGGTCTCGAGCTCCTGGGCTCAAGAAATCCTACCACCTCAGCCTCCAAAGTGCTGGGGTTATAGGCATGAGCCACTGCACCCGGCCTGCTTATGATCTTCTTCATAGTATTTTCTTTTCTCTAGCTTACTTTATAATAAGAAAACAGTATATAATACACAGAACATACAAAATATGTGTGATTTGACTGTTGATGTTATTGGTAAGGCTTCTGATCAGTAGTAGGCTATTAGTAGTTAAGTTTCTGGGAAGTCAAAATTTATTCATGTATTTTCGACTGTGCAAGGGGTTGGCACCCTTAACCCCTTCATTGTTCACAGATGGACTGTATTACGAATCTGGCAGCCTGGGATGGTTTAAGGAAAGTTATTCCCAGAGGGAGAAGCATTACCTAAAAGACTCTTGTTACAGGGTGAATTGTATCCTCTCTGAATTCACATGTTAATATCCTAGCCTCCACTCCTTCAGAATGCAACTTTATTTAGAAAGAAGGTCTTGACCCAGGTGTCAAATTAAAACGAGACCATTAGGGTGGGCTGTAATCTAAAATGACTCATGTTCTTATAAAAATGGAAATCTGGACACAGTGACAGACACGCATAGAGGGAAGATGCGATGAAGACCCACAGGGAGGAGATGGCCGTCTACAAGCCAAGAACAGTGGTCAGGGGCAGATCCTTCCCTCACAGCCCTCAGAAGAACCCAGCCCTGCAGGCACCTTGACCTTGAACTTCCAGCCTTCAGAACTGGAGACAATAAATTTCTGTTGTTGAAACACCCTGGTATGCGGTACTTCATTACGACTGCACTAGTAACTAATACAATAGTTAACGATCCTCTGTGTGGCTGTGAAGTCCCCAGGAATACATGAAAGGTATCTTCTTATGTTTCATCCCCAGGAAGGCTGGAACGATTGGCTGCTGAAAAAGGTGCCCTCTTGCTGAACTCTGCCCTCTGAAGACAGGAGCTAATTTAATTCAGCACCATGCCTGGACATAGTACGTACTTAGGCAAGTCATTTTGTTCTCCACTGTTGAAAAGCTTTTTAACTCCTTTTTTATTTAAATGCTAAAAAAATGAAAGAAACAAAACCACAGATGTGTTTGAACACATTCAAAATTTTTACTTCTGTTTAGACATGGAACTATAAACATATGCGTGTGTGTGTGTGTAGAGGGAAACAGAGACAGAGAGAGACGGAGTAGGGAGACAGAGAAAGACGGAGAGAGTTTTCTCCCAAGACTTTCAGTGGGTGGCAGAGAAAAAAATCAGCATCACACCAGCATTATAGCTGCTGTTTGGAACTATTTATAGAGCTGGCCACGGTCATGTCAGATCTTTAAAAGAAGCAAAACACCTGGGCGCATTCCAAAAGCAGGGAGAGGGAACCCAAGTCCCGACACACTGAACAGTGGAAAGCTGCATCCATACAGAAGTCATAATTTACATTTGCTAAACCAAACCTGGAGCCTCCGAGGATTTTAGGGAGCTCATTCTGGCACCCAGAGTAATGAAAGAATAACACAATAGCCACTGAATTTTCAAGCCTTAAAAAAGCTCTACAATGAATGAATGAATGGCTTCCAATGGCAGAAAACATATAGCGGCTCCTCAGCAAAGGGCCTCCAAGTGGCCAGTGGTCAACCGTCAATCATGAAAGCCAGTATCATTGAACGGAAGTCGAGGGGTGGCCTGAAACATTTCAGAAGGGGCAAAGTTAGGGCCAAAACCTGTCCCCCCAGTCCTCACTTGAAGTCAGGTGGCTCCCCCTCCTTGCCCCATCTCACAGATGATGGTGTTAAGAATGAATTAAACAAAAATATTTAAACTTATAGAACACTGGGGACATCTGCACTAAAAGAAAAAAAACACTATTTCTACAATATTTCACAGATCTAAAGCAAGTGTGTCCTATTTTCAGTAAAACCAATACATTTAAAAATTCTGATTTGAAACCAGATATATCAGAAGTAAGTTGTCCAACTTAGAAAAATGGGTTCACTCCACACAGGCCAAGGCCTCTATTTTATACTCAGCAGGGAATGTCTAGCACATAGCCCAAGACCTGACATGCTACATATCCTCAAAATATATTTGTTGTATAAGAAAATTATCTCTGTTAAGTAGCCCGTTCCCCTGGTGCACTCAATGTACCACAGAATTTACAAACATTTCCTTCCCATGGCACCGTTCTCGCCACGCAAGGTGCGGCAGGTGAGAGAAACCAGAGATGCAGCTCTGGCCTCGGAGGCCTGTTTCCTGGGAGATGCCCCCTCCTCTGGGCCCATCGTCTCTGCTGAGTGTTTTTCCAGCATCCCAGGCATCTCCAGCCCCATGTTCTATTAGCATTGAGTGGGCAGGGCTGCTTTTTTGTTTTAAGAAACTGCTTCCTGGCTTTCCAATGACAATTCTAAAGAAGAGAGGGCAGCTGATTTCCATTCTGGCTGTGGCTTTGCTACTGACTAGCACTTGGGGAGTCTACCCTGTCTGTGGCTTCCTGGAAGCTAATGAAGTTCAGGGCAGCATGCAAACGAGGACAGGCAATGCACTGTGCCTGATGCTGTCTCCACAGCACACCCATGTCTACCTCTTTGTTCCAAAATATTTGTTTCAGCCGAGTATGGTGGTGCGTACCTACAATCCCAACACTTTGGGAGGCCAAGACAGGAGGATCACCTGACCCTAGGAGTTCAAGACCATCCTGAGCAACGTGGCCAGACCCGAGCTCTACAAAAAATTTAAAAAATTAGCCAGGCATGGTGGCTCTCACCTGTAGTCCCAGCTACTCAGGAGGCTGAGGCAGAGGGAGCCCTTGAACCCAGGACTTCCAGTCTGCAGTGAGCTGTGATCACACCACTGCACTCCAGCCTGGGCAACAAAGTGAGACCCTGTCTCTTAAAAAATAAAAATGAAATAAACGTTTGTTTCCATCCCCAAAACATTTGTTATTTCCATGTGAATCAGGGAGGAGTAAAAAACGGTTCCACACAAAGCCTTCTGATGGGCTTCTAGGAAATCCATGCCAGGACGGATCCATAGTAAAACACTCACTTCCTAAAAAGGGGAACGACTCAGAGGCAACTGGGTCTCATTTTCTTTCTGTAATTTTTATTATTTGTGTTATAAAAATGAATAAAGACTCACTGTAAAATATTTGAAAACCGCAAAAAAATATATAAAGAAGAAAACAAAAATCATCAATCATCTTACCATCCAGAGAGAATCTCTATTAGCATTTTGGCGTATTTTATTTACATTTATGCACATAGACATATTCCATTAGCCAGTTTGAAGATATTTCACTTTCAGCTTTATGAGCATTGTCTCACATCATTAACCTGCTTCAAATAATTGTATATGGTAGCCTAATACTCCATTGTATGGACGTACCGAACTAGTTTACTTAACTAGTTCTCCACTGCTGGGGAGGTTGATTCCAGTTTTTCAGGAAGATAGATAGTACTGCAGTGAATGATTTTGTGCACGCATATTTCCCCACATTTCTGATTATTTCCCTAGGATAGGATCCTAGAACTAAATCAAAAGGTGCAGAAATCCGGCCAGGCATGGTGGCCCACACCTATAATCCCAGCACTTTGGAAGGCCAAGACGGGTGGATTACCTGAGGTCAGGAGTTCAAGACCAGCCTGGCCCACATGGTGAAACCCCATTTCTACTAAAAATACAAAAAATTAGCCGAGCGTCGTGGCACATGCCTGTAATCCCAGCTACTCGGGAGGCTGAGGCAGGAGAATCACTCGAACCTGGGAGGCAGAGGTTGCAGTGAACTGAGATCATGACATTGCACTCCAGCTTGGGCAACAAGAGCGAAACTCCATCTCAAAAAAAAAAAAAAAGTACAGAAATCCTAAAAAATCACGCTTTCCAGAAAGAGGGCACCAATTAAAGTTCCTTACTGTATCTCTGTGACACTGAGCAATGTCATCTTTAACCTTCAATAATTTTATAGCTGGAAAATGGCAACTCATTTCCATTCTAATTAACATTTTTATTATTGTTATTGTTGGAATTCTTATTGGTGATAAGTGCTTGCCTTGAATCATCTCCCTTCACCACAAAATGCCTATGAGGTAGGCCATGTTGTCCTCATTCTGAGAGGAAGAAACGAGGTACAACCAAGTAACTTGCAGAAGGCCAAACCTCTAACTTCAGAGCCGGGACTCCACGCTTGGCTCCAAAGCTACCCACCTGACTATGATACTATGCTAATTACTCAGGGAGTTAAACATCCTTCCATGTATTTTTAGCTGTTATATTTCTCTTTCTCTGAACTATAGTAAATTTATTTTCTGTGTGGAAAACACCCCCCAGAATGTTGAATGTTTTCACACTCTACGCTTGTGCCGAGATTCACACATCACCCCCTAACTCCTCCTCAGCTCAGCCCAACCCAAACAACCGCCCAACTCCCCACACCATTAAGTATGACACAGCGTCTTCCCTGTAGGTTAAGAAACATTTAAACTGGTTTCGTCTAACCTCTCTTGAGACTACTTAGAATGTTCTGGAATTTATGTAAGCCTTGATTGAAAAATACCAGTTCACTGGCTGGGCATGGTTGCTGATGCACTGTAATCTCAGTGCTTTGAGAGGCCGAACTGGGAGGATCGTTTGAGGCCAGGAGTTCAAGATCAGCCTGAGTAACATAGCGAGTCCCCATCTCTACAAAAATTTGTAGAAACAAAAAAATATTAGCCACGCATGGTGGTGCACACCTGTGGTCCTGGCTACTGAGGAGGCTGAGGCAGGAGAATCACCTGAGCCCAGGAGGTAGAGGTTTCAGTGAGCTGTGAGACACCACTGCACTCCAGCCTGGGCAACAGAGCAAGACTCTGTCAAAAGAAAGAAAGAGAGAGAGAAAGAAAGGAAGAAAAAGAAGAAAGAGAGAAAGAAAGAAAGAAAGAAAGAAAGAAAGAAAGAAAGAAAGAAAGAAAGAAAGAAAGAAAGAAAGAGGAAGGAAGGAAGGGGAGAGAGAGAGACAGAAAGAAAGAAAGAAAGAAAGAAAGAAAGAAAGAAAGAAAGAAAGAAAGAAAGAAAGAAAGAAAGAAAGAAAAGAAAAGAAAAGAGAGAGAGAAAGAAAGAATAATATCAGTTCCTTGTCAAAGCAGCAATACTTAGGAGCAACTGTATGGGGACTGATAACATGGATCAGCTTGAAAAAACAGCTCTCCCCAAAGCCCATGGTATCAGAACACCCATTCTTTTCCTTGTAGGAGGTGCAGCGCGAAGTTGATTGTATTTTTTCCATACAGAGATGGGAATAGCTCGGCCCAACAGTTCCCAAGACAATGTAGTGTTTAAGTGCACAGTCAGGCCAGCCACTCTCCATCACCGCCACTCCTCAGAAGCCTGAGGACACATGCCACCACCTCCCCCATGTAGCGCGCAGAATCACCTGGAAGGATGAGAGCCCCAGAAAGCCTGCCCAGGGCCTAATTAGAGGACACCCTTTCACCCAACATCAATCCCTGCACCAACAGCTGAAGGAAAGGTGAGGAGGGAGGGCATTTCTTTCCTTTGAAATCACCTGCTTGTCCAGGAGTTCATGCCTCAGAAAAGTTCTGCAGAATCATAAACCAGCCTTGTGGCCGCCTCGGAGCTCATTCTGCAACTCACAGCTGATCGTTCACTTGATTCAGCTCAGGTTAGAGAGATCGATAGGGTTTTCCCACAAATCACTTGATTAGTATGAGAAATCTATGTTTCTGCTCTTCCAAGCATTGCAGGAATTTTGGGTTCCCTTTAAATCTGTCTCAATATTATGGTTCTAGAAGCTTTCAGAGTTTCCTTTCCAGGATTTATTTTTCTGAAGGTGCTACCCTGGCAACGCTACCTTGTTCCTCTCCGGTGTCTTTCTTCCAAAGAACGCAAAAACCCTGGCCGGCAATATTTGGAAGGAAGTGCTGGAGCTGTGAAAGTCGGACACAGGTATTGTAGCTTTCTTACTTACCAACCCAGAAGCTCTGCAGCAAGCAGCAGCACAGGTTACCCATGACCTGGCCACCCCAGCCCCCTGGCCTGGCACACCGGGAGAGAGAACCCCTACATGCCTGCTGCCACCACCACCACCAGCAGCGGCTTTTATCACTTGCCATAAATCCTGGAACACTTTGTATGTTACAGGCAATACGCTAGACGCTTGGCACCTGCACTCCATCTAATCCCCCCCCATGAGACAGGTACCAGGTGTTTCAGAGCTGGGGACAGTGGGACTTTGAGCAGCCTCCTGGACTATTTGAGAGAAATCTGTGGAGTTACCTTGGATTAGATCAACTTCGGTTCGCTATAGCTCTGTGCTCCCACGTTCTCTATTTCATCCCAAAAAGACCACCGGGAGTCAGATGTGAAGAAAAGATGTGTGAGTTCTCTTCCCTGCTTAATCCTGAGCCACAAACTCCTTATTGCCGTTATCACTCTGGCACTCAACCTTGCCGTCTAAGTGAACCCAGTGTGCTGGACCCTTTGCAACAGGAAGAGTTCCCTCTCAGAGAAATTGACAGACCCAGGGCCAATTGCACATCATGAGGCCAAAGCCATTCCGGGCTGTGCTGATGGTGCACTGACATAAACAGGTCCCTTGGCACCCTTGCTGAGGCTCCCTGAGCAAATGCTGTGTGTCCCTTCAGCCTCAGTTCCCACCCTCAGTCCTGGGCAGAGCAGTCTCCACAAAAAGTCATTCTCCAGGTATGTGACCTTGGACGGTTCTCTTTTCCAAAACCCCAAGGCAGTTTCCTTCCTGACAAGTCACATGTTCCCTAGTCTGTTTTCCTATTTCTTTTCCTGTAGACATGGAAATAGAACCATTAGGTGTTCCATTTCGTCATGGTTCACACCAGCATTTCCCTCTTCCCGGACTACCTGGAATGTCGAACCCCTCTCCAGGAAGTCTCTTCCTCTCCTTGCCTCCCCTTCTCCCTCCTGGATGTCTGAGAGGAAGACAGCAAAGGATTCAGCTCCCACCTTCTGAGATCCACCCTCCCATTCAAATCACACAACCGTAGGTAAGTCCCTTCTCTCTCCAAGACAGTTTCTTAAGGTAAAAGTTAGAGAAGGTGGCCTTCCTCTCACTGCCTCCTCCCTCATAGGAAGATACTTTTAAAAACAAAGCAAGAGATCTCGAAAGCAAAAAGCTTTAGGAGGAGAGAAAAAAGTGCCCTGATCTCCCCTAACTCCCCCTGAGCCCAGGCCAATGGACTCTTTATTGCCACCTGTCTGACTTCTGAGGAGGGTTATTACTCACTCTGGGCAACAACTCTTGTTTCTTTTCAATTCAATCCTACGAGAGCTACCTCCGCAGCAGCTCCAGGCCTGTAGGAATCTATGAGACTGTTTTTGAGGATCTCGATCCATGCCCTCATCCTGGCCTTATTAATTCAGTCATAACTCTCCAGAGCTCACAGAGCCCCTTTCGCAGTGAAAAGCTCAAGTGATAGCATCGGCAGAAACCTTTTAATTTTGATTTAGAGACGCAGCACAACTCTCTGTCATTGTCTGGCATCCCTCTCGCTCTGTGTGCAGGGAGCATTTGTCTCCACCACCCGCTGGACTGAGGTCCTCGCTGTCCTGTCTCGAAGCTTGTGATCCACCATGCTACTCTCTGAGAAAAATGAAGGCATCCAAGAGGGTCCCCCACCCCGCCTCACCCACCCCATCACATGGCCTCTGGCTACGGACTCCTCTTCCCCTGAGAGCTGTCCAAGAGGCCAGGCCTCACTCCCTCACCCACTCAAGGCCATTCTCACCTCCGCCCCCACCCATCATCTTTGTACCCTGCCCACTGGCCCATTTCCATCCAATACAAACATCCCGCTACTTTTCCCATTTTTAAATAACCAACACTAGCTTTCACCCCATGTATCCCTAGAGTTGACATTTCATTTTTTTTTTTTGCACAGCTTTACAGCTCCACTCCTCCATGAAGCTGTTTGCATGCACTATCTCCAATGCCTCTCCTTGAACTCACTCCAAAGAGCCTCTCACCTCATCCTCAACCAAAGTGCTTTCATCAGCTCATCCACGGCCTCTACACTGCTCACGTGCAATTTTCAGTCCTCATCTTACTTCTTATGCCAGCAGGATTTGACCCAGCAGATCACTACTTTCTTCTGCAAAAATGCTTTGCTTAGTTTCTGAAGCAACCTCCTCTCCTGGTCCACCCCAATCTCCAGGCTGCTCCTGCTTCAGTCCCCATTGCTGGTTCCTCTCCAGTGTTCTGGATCCAAGGTCAGCAAACCTATGGCCTATGGGTGGGTTTCCGGCTTTGTAAATAAAGTTTTATTGGAATACAGCCATGCTCCTTCATTTATATGTCCTCTATGGCTGCTTCCGTGCTGCAGCAGCAATGCTGAGTAGCTGCAGTAAACACTGTGCAGTCTGCAAAGCCTAAAATATCTACTATCTGGCTCTTTAAGAAAGAGTTTGCAAACCCCATCCTAGATCTATAAATACTGCCATTCTCAGGATCCGCCTTTCTACGTCCTGTCTGTCTACACTCACTCCCTAGGTGATCTCACAGACACCATGAAACTCTGATCACTCCCAGGGTTGTCTAGCTTAGAGCTCGTCTCTGAACTCCAGACCAAAACACAACTATCTAGTGGGCATTTCACTAGAGCTCCAGCAACCCCCAAAACAAACTCGTTTCCTCCCTCTCTACTCCTCACAATTTCTAATTTGCTCCTTCTACAGTCTTTCCCACCATCTCAGGCCAAAAGCCTTGGAATCATCCTCGAACCCTCTAGTCTCTCAAACCCCACCTTCAACCCATCAGCAAATCCTGCCAGCTCTCCCTTCAAAGTACATCCAGGATCTGCCCTCTCCCTCTCCCTCCCCGCTGTTACCATCCGACCCGAGCCATCTCCCTTCTTGCCAGGACCAGTGCCTCCGAGGGCGCCTCTGCCTCCACAGAGCCCCACTCCACTGTACTGTCAACATAGCAACCAGAGTAACCTATTTATTCATTTTTTACATTTTTATTTATTCATGTATTTATTTTAAGACGAGTCTTGCTCTGTCACCCAGGCTGGAGTGCAGTGGCACAGTCATAGCTCACTGCAGCCTCGAACTCCTGGCCTCAAGTGATCCTCCTGAGCAATCGTTTTAAATCATGGACTGTGTTACTCCTCAGCTCAAAAATCCCAGTGGTTCAAGGAAGCACACCCTGTCCTCGCTGCTATTCCTGGCACCCCAAGTGTCTCCAGCTTCAGGGTCTTCTTGGGCTGGACTGCTCGTCCCCCAAATACCCACGGGGACCATCCCTCGCTGCCTTCAGGTCTCTGCCTAAGTGGCATGTATAAGTGAGACCCTCTCACTCCCTGTTCCCCTTGTGGGGCTTCACGTTTCTCCCTTGCACTCATTGGCCCTTCCACAGGTTTGCTTATGTGTTTGCCGTCCATCTCCCCCACTTGAATCTAAGCTCTGAGAGGCTGGGAACTGGGTCAGTTTTGTCCATTCTGAATCCTCTAAGTTTAGAAGTGTACCTACCAATTCCCAACATTCTGAGCACTGAATAAAAGAACACATAACATGTCAAAAGCTCATATCTCCTATTAAGGAAACTGAAGGATGGGAAAGAGAAGCACATTGTTTGCCTCATGGAGAAATCAAAGAACAGAGCCATGGCTCAGAGCTCACACAGCCCCAGAGCCAGGGTGTCCCTTGCTAAAGAGACTGAAGCCAAACAGTCCCCAGAGACAAAGGGGACAGATCAGGGAATGCCCTGCTGGCATCCTTCTTCAGGCCCCTGGGGATCAGAAGGGGCAAATGCAGAAGCAGCTTCTCTGGAGGCAGACAGAGCAATGCCCCAAATGCTTCCTTCCCTCGCTCCTCCAGGCCTCCAGAGTCACGCAGCTTGGAGTCCTGGCTGCAGCCCAGGAAGGGTGAGTGGACGGTGCAGCACAGCAGACGGCGCACAGGCTTGGAGTCGCCCACTCAGGACAAGTGTCACCTTGGTGAGTCTTGGTTTTCTCATCTGTAAAACCAGGGTGATGACCAAATGCTTAAACATCTGAAAACAGTGGGCAGGCAGCCTTAGGTTCTATTTCTTTCTTTCTGGTTTGTGTCTTATCACACCAAAAGTCTACCTCTAACTTTAAAAGAGATTACGCACAGGCTTGTTGCTGTGCCATGAGCTGCTCCCGAATTTCTGAACATCCCTCCTGGGTTCTCCAACAACTCCCCACTCTGCTCCCTTTTTTTTCCTTTTTATTTTTCTTGATGTCTCATAACTTCTCCTTTCTCTTCCCACATTCCGAAAATCCTCCTATCCTAACCTTGCTACATGAATGGTAACTGCTTGAACACTTGTGATTGGAATGACTGATTTAAAAAGCCCAGTTTTGAGGTAGGGCGCAGTGGCTCACGCCTATAATCCCAGCACTTTGGGAGGCCAAGGCGGGCAGAACACGAGGTCAGGAGATCGAGACCAACCTGGCTAACATGGTGAAACCCCGTCTCTACTAAAAATACAAAAAATTAACCTGGCGTGGTGGCGGGCGCCTGTAGTCCCAGCTACTTGGGAGGCTGAGGTGGGAGAATGGCGTGAACCCAGGAGGCGGAGCTTGCAGTGAGTGGAGATCATGCCACTGCACTCCAGCCTGGGTGACAGAGCAAGACTCCGTCTCAAAAAAAAAAAAAAAAAAAGCCGGTTTTGGCCAGGCACGGTGGCTCACGCCTGTAATCCTGTAATCCCAACACTTTGGGAGCCTGAGGAGGGTGGATCACCTGAGGTTGGGAGTTCAAGACCAGCCTGGCCAACATGGTGAAACCCCATCTCTACTAAAAATACAAAAATTAGCCAGGCATCATGGTGGGCACCTGTAATCCCAGCTACTCGGGAGGCTGAGACAAGAGAATTGCTTGAACCCAGGAGGCAGAGGTTGCAGTGAGCTGAGATTGTACCACTGCACTCCAGCCTGAGCGACATAGCGAGACTTCATCTCAGAAAAAAAAAAAAAAAGTATGTTTTCTGATTTGTAAAATAGTGGTTTGGTATAGGAAATTTGGAAAATACAAAAAAAAAGTTTAAAGAAATCAGAAGTCATGTGTTTCCCAAAGCATGGTAAGAACTGGCAGGCGAGCAACCCTCCCAGTCTTCCTTTCTCTCTTCCTGCAACCCCGCAGAGCAATTGCATTCTCAACAGGAACAAAACCCAGAGACACGGCAGAGGGGAAAGAACAGGTATGAGACCCCTCAACCCACTTCCCCTGCCTCTCGGCTCCCCCTCCCTTCGGTCCTCTCACAGCCATGTTATTGCAGGTGTAATAAACAGGAGAGACTTCTGAGACAGATCCTGGAATGCTGGGGCACCTCTGGCCATTGTCCCCTCCCATCCCCTTGTGGAGCCAATCTGCCCCTGAGGAGCCACACAAAGTTCACGCCAGGTCTCAGCTCCAGATCTCCACTTGTCCCCAGCACACCCCTCCTGCCTCCCATGAGGCCCTCATCCTTCAATGCTCAGGGCTTGGGACCCTCTGCCTCCATGAATCCTGTGAGTCCGTGTTCACCCTCAGCACTATCCACTTTTCTCAGCACCTACACTCTACCTCAGCTGAATACACCCTTGGACCCAAAGTCATCTCTTACTCTTAACTCCTTCAGCATAGGCCAGGGCCGAACAGAGTGCTACTCCACACCCCTCCTTCTCCAGAAACATCAGGTAGGCCAGCAGGAAGCCCTTCTCCATGACAGGTAGGGCTGTATTTGCAGACAGAAAATCTAGCTCATTCCATGCCTGGCTATTATGCCTGCTGCCCTTACAAACTAAGGAGAGTGGCTTTGCCTTTCCAAGTATCGATTTCCCCCTCTGCAAAATGGGGATGCCAGCACCTTCCCCACCCACCTCTGAGGCTTGTAAATACAAAACACCACACAATGAGTTATTATTAAAATAAACAGAGCAGCAAACAGCCATGCAGCCTACACCACTCCTCTTTGTCATGCCCTACCTTCAGGCAGGCCTGTCCACTTTTCCCAATTAGCCTGTGAACGGTCCAAAGGCATGCCCATCAGAGCCGTCACCTGCACTGCTTAGAGAAGGTGCCCCAGAGCCCCCAGGTGGCCCTGGCACCCATCACAGAGCCAGCCAACTGTGACTTTCACCCCGTGGAGACTGTCTCAGGCTGCCCAGAGTTTATGCAACAAAGGAAACCACAGCAGGGAGCAAACACATTCTGGAAAAGCATTAACAAATGCGACACTCCATCAGGAGGAGACCCAGAGGGCCACCTCGGGGGGGCCCGCAGTACCCAAAGTCCCTGCTGTAAATGGAATAGCTGCCACACATGCATTTGGTCTTAATTAATAAGTGGATTAAGCCAAAGGCATGGCTTCTGGGAAGGAAGGATGACAGGAAGGAAGGGTGGCTTCACACCTTCTTGCAGAAATCTACCACTCACTTCTAGAGCACATGGAACCCCCAGAGTAGCCCACTCTGAAAAGAGCATGGTGTGGGGCAGTAAAGTTTCTTGTTTTCATACCTAACAAAACCACTCACTGACTTTGTGACCCTGACCAAGACAGCCTTTTGCTCGGAGCCTCAACTTCTCTGCTTGTGAAATGAGCAGATATATGTGATGCACCCCTTGAAATGCTAAGACAGGCCTGACCACTGCAGGTGACAGGGCCCGGAGGTGGGAATGCAGCGAAGAGGAAGGAACAAGGATATTCCCTGCACAGGGATCTTGCACACTTCACACCTGGCTGCAGCAGAGGTCCAGCCCTTACTGACAAAGCAGGCGGCACTTGCCGCATTTCACGTGAGCGTTTATCTTCTCCCACCAAATGGACTCAGGATGCAGGCATTTCACATCTTAGTGAACAGCATCGCACCCAGCTTTGCTACATGGATAGTCACTGCTTGAACATTTGTGGTTGGAATGACTGATTTAGAAAGCATGTTGTCTAATTTGTAAAATAACATGTTTACTGGAGGAAATTTGGATAGCACAAAAAAGTTTAAAGAAATCAAAAGTCATATGTTTCCCAAAATGCAGTGATAACCACCATGAAAATTTTGATAATATAATATTCTGCTCTAGTTCTCAGGACTACATACACCTTTTGTTTTAATTGCAATTATACTCTATTTACTTTTAAGTCTTTACTTGCTTAATATATATTATTAGCATTTTCCCATATTCTTATGTATTATTCAATGTAATTTTAATAGTTTTCTTGATTTCCATTTTATGGAGGAACCATAATATATTTAATTAATGCCTCCATGCAATGTTTGCTGTAATGAATAATGCTGAAAGGAATATTCTTAATTAGAACTATTTTGCACATCTCTAACTATTTCCTTAGGATAAATTCCTAGAAGAGGAATTGCTGACTGGTTCAAAGAGTATATTTTTTTGAGACACATCTCCTATGTTTCCAAATTATCTCATTTCACATATCCACCAGCTAAGTCTAAAAATGTCCATTTCCCAGCAACACTGGATATTACATTATCATTTTTAATTTCTGCTAATCTGTTAAATGGATAACGATAACTTGTTTTAATTTCACATTTTTGTTATTAGTGAGGAGAGACACTTTTCTTTTACATATTTTTCTTACTTCTTTTGTTATGTGAACTGTCTATTCCCATTCTTTGCTCACTTCTCTATCAGGGAAAGGCTGATTTTTAAAAACACTTTTTGAAAAAGAGAATGAATCCACAAACCCCTTGAAAGATCCCATTCCCCACGTCTCACGAACACCTCCACTGAAGCATTAATTTAAATGTCCAGTGTGGATCCTTCTCCTATAGTTTAAACCCATTTCCTCCCATCCCATCTTCAGAGGGAACACTGCTCTCTCTTTCACCTAACACTATGACCTTTCTTTGTCACCTGTCAGCTTCTCCTCCCGGGGATGAATAATTCCTCTTCATTTTTCCCTGATCTAGTGTAACTTATGAAGTCAAAGTATCGGCTTCTGATGCTGCCCTCCTCCCCCTCCCCATTGCCACTGTCTTCCTGCGGGCCCTCGCCATTTCTCACCTGGACAGCAGCAAATTACTTCTGAACTGGCCTCTCCCCTTTGCGCCCCTCTCAAACCTCACCTCCACTCTTCATTTCACAACTGCTGGACCATTTTTCCTAGATGCAAATGTGAGCATGTCATTTCCTGCCTGACAGTTTTCTGCTCCTTCATGTGGCAGTGGCCCCTCCCTCCCTACCTGGTGGGCACCCACAACCCTACCTCCCCTTGCCCCCAAAACATGCCTCGTATGGGCAGATTCAGCAACATCCACATCTCACTGACACATTGTGCCAATCATGCGCTGGATGGAGTTTTGCTACCGTGGCTCCCTCTTTCTTACCCTCCTCCCATCCACCTGATGGTACCTATTCAAGCCTCAGGTCCCATTCAGGTGTTCCTCACTCCCAGCGGCTCCTCTGCCCACCCCAAATAAGGAGAATCATGGTGTACCCTACACCCAGATGCACTCTATCCACCTAATACACCTGACTATATTCCAGTAATGTCTGCGGCATCAAAATCGAGGGCGGGGGCTGGATGCGGCAGTGTGTGCTTGTAATCCCAGAGCTTTGGGAGCTAAGGTGGGAGGATTGCTTGAGGCCAGGAGTTCGAGGCTACAGTAAACCATAATTGCACCATTGCACTCCAGCCTGGGCAACAGAGTGGGGAGAGGAGAGGAGAGGAGAGGAGAGGAGAGGAGAGGAGAAGACTTGAGAGGAGAGCAAGGGGGAAGGGGGAGGGGGGAGGGGGAAGGGGAAATTGAAGACAGTGTGGTGATCTCAGTGAACATCATTGTGAGTGGTAAGGACACATGGTGGTCACCACGTTGGCCACCCTGCCTGGTGTATCCCTTGGGTTCTCTCCATGGGCCATGTGGGCTGCTCTGCCCTCTGCAGATGGGCACTGTGGTCCCTGGGTTTCCTCCCTTTCTGGGCTGACGCACCGCTCTTCCCGCATCTGCACCTTCCCAAGCTTGAGCCTGTCTCACACCCTGGGCTCCCTGCCTGGCCCACCAGCCCCTGGCGTTCCCTGGGCCCTCTGCCCCTGAGGCTTCTCCACGCCTTGTCTCAGCCAATCCCTGGAAGGGCACCCTGCCCTGCTGCCTGAGGGGCTGATGGTCTCGCTGGGCCAGTTCCTGCAGGAGAAAAAACCCCTCTTCCTTCTGGTAGATCCCCTAGTGCCTACCTCCGTGCTGGGCACAAAGGCCCAGGATGCCTTTGTTAGCACAGGGACACCCTGGCCAGCCAGGGGCATGGAAGGGTCGCGCCTCCCCACACTCACTGCCGACCCTGAGCTGTCCTCTTGATGCCTAGCTCATCACTAACTGGGGTGCTTTCTTCTTTCTTCTCAGGGCTACACACAGAATGGTTTTATTTTGTGGTGCTCAGTTCACCAATTTATCTTGCTTCCTACTTGGCTCAAACCAACACAAAGCAAAACCCTCCACAGCTGGTCACGGCCTCATTCTCAAAACTGTGAGACTTCCCAACTTCACTGACAGCCTGCCTTTGGGTCCGGAGCTAGGCCACCACGTGTGTGGCGGTGTGCACTCTCCACTGGGCCACCACTCCACCCTCCCTGAACGCCCTCACATGGTATGTTTCATCCCGTTCCGTAAGGTAACAGGTGATGTGTCTTACCCAGAGTGATCCCATGCTATGGGCCCATCTTATTTCATTTATCCAGGGAGAAGTTTGCAGAGATATCTAAAGTCTTTCTTCCCTTCATAAGATTCAGATTAAGTATCTCATTGCTCCCATGTCTCTCTTCTCATCCTCTTCTGGTCTACCCATCCCCTCCTCTCAGCTCTGGTTTCTAGAACACATTCCCGCCACCCTGGCCTCACAGCCACACTCAGGAGCCCCCCCAGGGATGGGTCAGCAGCCCCTCCCAGCCACTCAGCCAGAACTAAAGAGTCATCGGCATAAACAGGGAAGCTGGAGTGGAGTGCATGGTGTTAGTAACAGGCACTCAATAAATATTGCTTAACCACAGGTGTTCCTGTCTTTGCCATTTGATTACAGAGAAATTAGGAGCCTAGAGAAAGCAAATGGTCTATTCAATTTGGAAACAAGAAGAAAATGAACTACAAAGCAAATAACACTGACTTGGGACATGGAGGACCTGGATTCTGGTCCTCCCTCTGCTATCAGCTCGCTGTGTGACAACGCCAAGGCCTGTTACCTCTCTGGGCATCATCTGCCACATCTGGAAGTGAAAGATTAGACTTGATGAATGATTCCCATGCAATAGACAGAATCTGCCAGTCCAGGTGGCAGCTGGTGCAGGGCAGGGGAAGGGTCTCTAGGCTCAGGGAAATAGGTAAGGGTTCTCATCAGCAGAGGGCACAGATGCCTGCACTCCATGGCCCTTGCCTTTCCCTCCTCACAGATCTGTGGCTCCTGCCTCAGCTAAAAGCCCCTGCTTATCCGTTTCCTAAAGATCATCACAGAGGCTCAACAACCTTCCCTTTTTAACATCTCTTGCTGATGGAAAATTCTTCCTCATACCTAATCTAAGTCCATCTGCTGCAATTTCTGTCTATTTTCTCTAGTTCAATCCTTGCTGGAGATGGAGAACAGCTGGTCGCCATCCTCCATATAACATCCCCTCCTAAACCAAAATCAGTTATTACATCAGCCCTCATCCTGTGCTTCTTCTGTTACAACATCTTCCGAGCTGCCCTCATGGATTCCAGCTCTGAAAGCATCGCTGATCACCATGGCCCGCACGAGAGGATGCTCTGCAGGCTCCGAGAGCTTCCAGAGCTGTAGCATCTGCAGTGGGATGTAGGGCTCTGTGGCAAAATCAAGAGAGAAGGTTGGAGCGGAAAGGAGCCTGTGAGAACGTAGTCCTGACCTCTGGCTCTATATCTAAGGGGACTAAAAGTCAGAAAAGGCACATAAGCACATGCCCAAGTTCAAATCTGAGGGATCTAGCTCAAGTGCCAGAGCCCAGATAGTAAGATCACAAAGCCCTGGGACACTGCAGCATGTTTTCAGCATGGGTCAGAGCAGGACCAGCCAGAGCTAAAAAGCGAAGGCCGCCGTTTCCCACTCTGCTCCCCATCCAAACTCAGTCTGCCTCTGCCCAATCCCACTAGCAGGTGCCTGGAATTTGACTGTGCACATCTTTTGTTTTCTTTCCAACTTTTTAATTTTACGTCCGGGGGTACATGTGCAGGTTTGTTATAATGGATAAATTACACGTGGCAGGGGTTTGGTGTACAGATAGATTATTTCATCACCCAGGTAGTAAGCATAGTACCTGATAGGCAGGTTTTTGATTCTTACCCTCGTCCCACCCTCCACCCTCAGGTAGGCCCCTATTGTTCCCCTCTTCATGTCCATGTGTACTCAATGCTTAGCTCCCACTTATAAGTGAGAACATACACACATCTTTGATTTCCTTTAAGAATGTAAATACCTCTGTAAGTAGCAACACTATTAACTGTTCACACCTTAGTATGAATGAGTAGATTTGATCCTTTCCAACTATTAACAGATTTAGGGGTGAGAACAAAGAGCAAAGAAACTGAGAGCACAGCAGGCAAATTTCCCTGCATGCTAATGTTTCCAAGGTCAGCTCTGCGCATGGGGCTGCAGCAGGCGCAGGCCTCAGGACAGTGGCACAGTGAGGGCTTGCGGCTGGTGGGACTCTCCAGGTGTCAGACAGGACTGTGCTTCGAAGCATCTGCCCTGTCTGCCTCATGCAGGTCAGCTGCACCACTCCAGGTGCTCTGGTGAGGTCTGCATAGAACTGAACTTGGGGACAGGATTACCTCATTGCTCCCCTAGGGTAGGCTCCTATCACATTCCACAATTCCTGATGTCCCCTGGTTAACTGTTTCAGGAGTGAGGTGCACAAAACATCTACAATTAGATCTCCACCCTGGGGCCCCCTGAAATGACAGGAAGGAAGAAACAAAAAGTAACCAGGAAAGAGAGGTAACCCTACATGTAGGGTGAATGGAGGAAGGGAGGAAGGGGCACGAGCATGGGAAGGAGAGTGAGTAGGATGAATGATTTAGTCATAATTTGGGCTATGAAATTTTCCTAAATGAAAGATGAAGAGGGAAAATAGCAGAGTGTGGTGAATACATTTCAGGGTCTAGGTTTCAAAACAGCCTTCACCCCACCTTGAATACATGGAAATAGCGTGCTCCAACCTCTTCAACTTTCTGAGGTGTTCCAGAGTGTTTCAAATCTCCAGACACACCTTCCCCTAGGACAGGAAGGGAATTCACACATCCACAGAAAAAAAAAACAAGACATTGTAAAAGCGTTTACCAAAACAGCGAACACAATAGGCGTGCTTATTAGATTTCCCCAAAAGCACAAAATTAAATTTTAAAGCAGAAGGCAAAAAGGCTCTTCTCTGATAAAAATTTTAATATGTTTTCAGTCTTATTTCAGGGGACAATTTTCTTTAACAGAAAAATCAGCACAAAATGACAAGATCAAAGTAGGTTGGCAAAAGATTACTTACTGATATGTTTATGATGAAAAGGGATAACAGAAGGATGACAGGGATGGAGGGACAGAGGGGTAAGGAGAGGACTTTTATTTGCCAGGTAACTCACGCAGGGCTTGGAAAAGCAGAAAGACACAACCCCTTCCCACCATAGTGGTTAAAAGAGAGAGAGATCCAGTTTGGCCAATTGGGAAGAGGAGAAAACGCTGGGTCTGTGGATAGTGCTTATCCAGGGTCCTGGCCAAAGCCATCATGTTTGATGAAATGACAAGTAACACATTTAATTTCCTAGGCATTCATCGGTCCTTGCATACACAAACAGGCACGCAGCTTCACAAGGAGTTAATTAGCCTAACACCAGCAATTAGATTCTCCAAACTGGATCGCAGCAGAGGCGCTGGGTCCTGGGTTTCACACCTCACCCCATCCAAGGTGAAGCTGTAATGAGGGTGTTTTGCACTTTGTCAATTATTTTTCAGCTCCTAGGATCCTTTTTTGGTCTAAAGTTGTTATTTTAATGATCTCTGTTCCGAATGGGGAAATACAAGAAAGAGGATTGAGGAGGAGGCAGAGGGAAGGAAAGCGAGCGCTCCAGCGTGTCCCACTTGTACTTTCCAAGGCCCCCTCCGCCCCCTCCCCCCACACTGCCTCTTCCCTCTGTGCATGACTCACCCTTCAGGAGCTGTTTCAAATGCCTTACTTTTAATGTTTCCTATCACGATAGAAATCCAACAGATTGGCATCAATTAAAGGGAACCCCCAGTTTTGCAATCCTCAAACTCAAAAGCATTTTCTGGTTTCCTTACTGCCTTCATGAAAACCAAGGTGCTCTCATGCAAGATCCCCCACGTGCTGGGGGCTGCCCCTCCTGGGCTCCCTGGGGGTCACGTGCCCTGGAGAGGCCACAGAGGACGACGTCCATGACTAACCATGCCCACCGGCTGGGAAAAGTTCAGCTTCCGCTCCAGGCCCCCCAAACACAAAAAGATTATAATTGGCAGGGCTGCAAAATTGTTTTGTTTACTGTCAGATAGGAAGTACAGAAGAGAACGCTGATGGTATTTTGACACCCCCCCCAAAAAAAAAGTGGGCAGGCATTTTTTTAACCATTGTGAATAGAGTTTCAATAATCACAGTTCCCACCCAAAATAGCTGCCTACAGGAGGTGGAGGAGAATCTGTTGTGGTGGTTAAAGAAAATAAGAATTAAAAAGTGGAAGGGATTTGTGGAGCTGGAGAATCAAGACTGTCATCTGCATCTCCGTGGAAGGGTGCCCTGAGGAAGAGGTGTCACTGGAGAATCCCTCCCAGAACATGCAGTCTTGTCAGGACTGGGAATCGAACTCCCCAGCTGCGGGTTTAACGGAAATCAGAGGGATGAAAATCATCTAAACTCTTCAATGCCCCTAGGACTTGGAAGATCACCCCCAGACTATCAGCTTCAGAGTATCCCGCAGGTAGGCAGCGCAACTGGTGAAGTGCGGTGGGCACACAAGCAGAAGCTGCCTTCGCAGAAGAGGAAGAAAGTTCGAGACCAAGCACATCGCCTGCTTCCCCATGGGTCCCTGCTTCCTAGTGACTCACCTACCTAATATCTCCCTTTAGCAGAAGCCAAAGGCGGAGGAGGCAGGGGGAGAAAGGAGTTTCCCAAGGGTCTCAGAGCAAGAGAGGCCCCTGAGGTCTCGCGATTTAGAATGCTCAAGGGTGCTTCTGGGCTGAACCAGCTGCCTGCCGGGGTGAGCTGTTTTACTTCAAGAGCAGTTAGCAGAAGCAGTGTGGATGGTGACTTCAGCACCACCTCTGCCACAAATGCACCTGTGCACCAAAACAACCTGCGCACCTACACGGAGCCACCCCCTCCACCAGCCTCCACCTCCCAGAGCTGCGGGGATGCTCCGGGCCAGGCACCCCTTCTGGGGACAAGGGTGTAAGCTTCACATGGTACCAAACCGAACTCTCTATCCCGTTTTTTGGCTTTTTCTTTTTTTTTTTTTTTCAGGATACCCCAAGCCTGGAAAGTCTTCCAGAGTTTTCGGGAGCTAATTAATTATGTGATTTCCTCTCCTCTGAGAACTGTTTTGCTGGCGTGTCACCAAGTTGTCACGTAGGTGCCCACCAGGTCAAACAGAATAGACCATCCTCACCCACCCACCCCGGGGAATGTCTCCTTCCACCAAATAAAATGAACTGAGACAGGCAGGAAGGAGGCAGAAGTTTGAGGAAGGACTCCAGTTGAAGGTCACAATAGTTTGGGGAAGGCAGATCAAGGTAATACGAAGGGGACAGACCCTATAGCGGAAAACACAAACAACCAATCACGTTTCTCTCGGAACCAGCCTATCCATGATGGGTGCACCAGGAAACAGCACACCCTGGGATCCAACTTCTTTCACCCAGCACACCCGAATCTCCACCCCAGCCCTGCAGACACCCTAGCCTGAGACCAGACCTATTTAGACAGACCTGAGCGCAGCTAATTAGGAGTAGTAAACAAGCCCATTTCTTGCCAGCGCAGAAGTTTCCCAAATTGTCCGCTTGTTTTCCTCCCAACAAAAGACAGTGATTTCCCACCTTTATCACATTCCCTCCCAGAAACTTTTCTTTCTGCAATCCCTCCACCTAGGCTAAACTGCAAAGCCACTGGCAATGGAGACGCAGGCGCTGCACCCCCGGGACGCAGGCAGAGGTACCTTTTCCGCGAGGCAGAGGGGCCGCCGGTGCCCAGAGGCCAGCTGCCCTGCCGAGCAGTAGAGCGAAGCTGTGGGCTGGAGCACGCTGAGGATTACACGTTCCTGTCTCTGCGACCAGACCTTTCGGCAGCTCGGACCAACTGTGCTAGCGATGCACTTAGCAATTATCTGCTGGCTCCGACGCCCCGCCCTCTGCTCTTGCGATTGGCTCTCCAGTCCCGGGCAGGACTGCATTGGTTTCAGCCGACCTCACTCATTGCTTTGGCTCCTACTATTATCTAAGCCATCAAAGGAAATAATTCCATGTTTCATTGACAACCTGTAAGGCTCTCCTCCAGCCCAATGTGGGGGCAGGACCGGGAGGCCAGTGGAGAGAGGGGAGAGGAGTAGGAAAATGTGGGGGAGCGGGGTGGGGGAAGGAGGTGGAGGGGAGAGGAAAAGAAGGAGAAACTGTGGGGGGGTAGGAGGGTAGGAGGGAGAGAGAGAGAGAGATGGAGCTATCAAGCAATCAGATTCTTGCTCTAGCATTTTAACTTCCACAAAACAGAGCCCATAGCAACAATTTTCTGGCTTTATTTTCCCCCTAACTGGTAAATGTTGCTGAGGGCAGAGAGAATAATAACTATGGGGTGTCTGCCGGCATGAGACAGACTCTAGAAAGCCGAGCAAGGTTGAGGGCTGAAGGGATGGAGTAATGCTTTTCACAGGGCCACCCTGGAGGACATGTGAAGGACATGGCAGATTGCTTGGGGAGCATAGTAGGTGCATACCTGGAGTTTATCTATCAGTACTTTATCTCACAGTCCCCCTCATCCCCCAACCTGAGGAGACAATTTTCCTTTGCACCCTGTCCAAAGAGTCTCAGAAGAGCTATTCTTAAAATCCATAAAACTCTGGAGTTTCTCACTGTTCTCACTGGGAGGTCCAGAAAGCCGAGCATTCTAGAGTGAATGATTCTGCTGGGACCCTCACTTTGGTTTATTCTGACATGGCTTAAATTAATCGCTTAGACTTTCATCAACAACCTACGCACGTGAAGAGAGAACATACCCATCAAAGGGTGGGGACAGCTTAAACACTTTTCCTTGTTCACCAAGAAATCATAAAGTCTCACCCTAGTTAAAATGGCTTTTATCCAAAAGACAGGCAATAACAAATGCTGGCAAGGATGTGAAGAAAAGAGAATGAACCCTCCTACATTGCTGGTGAGAATGTGAATTAATGCAGCCACTATGGAGAACAGTATTGGGGTTTGTCAGAAAACTAAATATAGAGCTACCATCTGATCCAGCAATCCCACTGCTAGGTATATACCCCCAAAAAAGAAATCAGTATCTTGAAGAGATTCCTGCACTGCCATGTTTATTGCAGCTCTGTTCACAATAGACAAGATCTGGAAGCAATGTAAGTGTCCATCAACAGATAAATTAGATGAAGAAAATGTGGTACATATGCGTAGTGGAGTACTATTCAGCCATAAAAAGGAATGAGATCCTGTCATTTACAACACCATGGATGGAACTGGAGGACATTCTGTTAAATGAAATAAAACAGGCATGGAAAGACAAACTTCACATGTTTTCATTCATTTGTGAGAGCTAAAAATTAAAACAATTGAACTCATGGACAGAGAGAATAGAATGATGGTTACCAGAGGCTAGGAAGGGGCGGGGGTGGAATGGTTACTAGGTACAAAAATAGAGTTAGATAGAATGAATAGGATCTGGTATTTGACAGCACAACAGGGTTATTACAGTCAGCAAAACATATTGTACATTTTAAAATAACTGAAAGAGTACAATTGGATTGTTTGTAACAAAAGGAAATGCTAAATGCTTGAGGTGCCAGATACCCCATTTACCCTAATGTGATTATTACACATTGCATGCCTGTATCAAAATATCTCGTGTACCCCATAAATATATACACCCACTATGTTCCCATAAAATTAAAAATTTTTAAAAATTAAGAAGAAATCATAAAGCACAAATTTTGACCTTCCCCTCTCCTTAATGTATTTGTCACCATATGGAAAAGACATCACTTGGCAGCTAAATTTTCTTAACTAGGTAAAATATTTATTATTAATGTTTCTAAAATGAAAGAGCTTTTATAAATCAATAAGTACAAGACCTATAACCCAATTCAAAAATGGCAAAGGACAAAATGGGCTGAATTTTTTAAGAGAGAATTATAAAAGCGTCTTTTAAAGAAAGCTTTTAAAATATCAAATTTCAGATGATCCAGAAACTAACCCTTCAGCCTTCTTATCCTAGGATCTCCATGTCTTTGGTGAGGCTCTGGTCCCAGTCCTGCCCTGGCCTCCCCTGGGGCCTTGAATGGCTGTAGTCCTTATCTTCAGCTGCGTCCTCTGCAGCAAATGGCAGGTGCCCCACTGCCTTGTATGGTGACTTTCTATTTCATGCATACATGCCTGGCTTCCCTAAATACATTTCAAGCCCTGTAAAGACAGAGATGGTATCATGCATATTTTTATCACTCCACAGATAGCACCTAGCACTCAATAAGTGGGCTGACTACTAAAACCCAATTCAAAGCATCCAGGGTGCACAGCCCTAAGCCTCATGCGACCCTCATTCCACTGCAACTACTCTTCCAGCAGAGCAGAGTGTGGAGGGGGCCCACTCTGGAGTCCAAGAGCTAAAAATTCAGGACTAACCACTGTGAAATGCCTGTGAAATGCGGCAGCTCCAGAGTCACTCGAAGCTCTCTGTGTTCTCTCTGGAAAATGAGGCAGGTCTTCACCCAGTACCTTCCTCCTCCCTCAAGCATTTGAAGGAAATGAAAGGATGTGGGATGCACATTTTACTTGTGAGGCATGACCTCAAAAAATGAAGTCCTTTCCATAATGGCTTTCCAAATATCAGCATGAGTAGGAGACAGTGACCGTATATTAGGAATTCAAAACTAGGGCAAGGGATGTAGCAAAATATTTGTTTTCTATTTCATTCCTTTGTCTAGGTGAAATCACACAAAGGCACAATAATGAAACTAAACTTAGCTATACATTTGAAATTGACACTGTCCTAGAAAATCTGGTGTGTTCAGTCATGGTGTAAAAACCATAAATAACACTTTTATTATTTAAGCAGTATGATTTTTACTTTCGAGTGAAAGTAGGCTTCAGCTTTGTGCCTTCATACTATCTCTTTTTCCACCCCCCTTAAGAAAATAAGAGAAATAAACTAAATTATAAGAACTCTCTTGAGTATCTATCAAAGGTTTAGTTGTCCCTGAAGGAAAGGGAAAACATTTCAAGTGATTTTCTAAAATGCTTTGTCTAAAACAGCATGTCCTTACATGTACTTTTTGCCTTTTGAAGATGAGAGAGAGAGAAAGAAAGAGAGCAAGCCTCAAACAGTTGTTTATGTCAGTGTCTTTTAAACTGCCTGGTCATAAAATATCCTCTTTGAGAGAAGGATTCTCCCTTTGTGTCCCATAGATCAACTGCTTAATTCTGAGAGTTAGAGAATGAATATTAAATATGCAGATTCCACTGGTACTTGCATTTGTATTAAATATCAGCTCCATACAATTTAAATTCACTGGGGTATGAAATGTACCAAATTCCATGTTGTGGGCCATACTCGGCAAAGCAGTCCATTTTGATTTAACAGTTTCAGGACATTAATGGTGGGAAAGACTTTTGGGGGTTCCTGTTCCATTTTGAGTAATTAGGGAAAGAATGTGGGTTTCTTTATTAAAACACAAATTAGACAGCAGCCGCCGGAACCTCCATCATTCTTGTGGGTAACCACTTGCTACAACAAATGACCATGACCTACCGTGGGAGGCTGGAGAAATCTTGCATTTACTTGTCCGTGTATGCCATTTTCTCAGTTATCATTTATTTATGCCAAATTCTGTTTCTAAAAGGGAGAAGAGGAGAATAAATCTAGGCAATGCCAAGAAAGAGGAAAATGTGTGAAAACAAGAGGAAAACAAAGGGGGTGACTTTCAACACTACATCTTTGCTTATTGACTTCAGCCCTACAATACCATTTCAATGAAAACATAATATTAGCAGGATTTCTTGAACCTAGCATTGGAAGAATGAAAGGTTGTTCAGAAAACTTCTCCCAGCACAGTCTCCTAAGTAGAGAAACTTGGAAGAACATTTTCATAGCTTTCTGTTCTAGCTGATAGCTGTTGTGAAATCAAACTCCCTCCCCCTCCACCCACACCCCCACTCCCACCATGAAAATCAAACCTGTGGAGCCAGTGACATTTTGACAAAGCGTAAGAGGAGACTGTGGCTGCC
Organism: Homo sapiens; assembly: GCF_000001405.40. Lineage (NCBI taxonomy): Eukaryota > Metazoa > Chordata > Mammalia > Primates > Hominidae > Homo > Homo sapiens. Next base: position 40,901,965 of record NC_000008.11, read on the forward strand.
AGGAGGGTGTCAGTCAACATGAACCATTCTTAATGATTTCATTAATTATTAATGAGTCTTTAGAAAGTTGGTATTAGAATATACAGGCTTCATGAGGTTTGAAAACAGTAAGGATATTTTATTATTTAACATACCCTGATGAATAAAGCAGGTGATTTTGTTTCTTTAAATCACAATCACATTTATTAGTGAGCCAGAGTTGTAAATAATCTGAAAAAGAGAAAGAGGAAGACAGAGACAGGGACAGATGGAGAGGTAGAGAGAGACTTGCAAAGCTAGATTGCCCACCTAAATTCTGTTTTACTTCAGTTAAATTCTTCATAAGAAATATGCAGCTGAAAGATGTCATGAAATATTATCCAGCGATGCAACAATTGACAGGGGTAGGGGAGCTGAATTAAGAAGGTCAGCTTGCCTTCTGTGAGGCTGGCAGGCCATGTGTAGTGTGAAGCACCCTTCTAGAATAAAGGTCTGCACACATGGAGACAGCTGTTGGACCCCTGCCAGACAGGACCCACGTTCTAACATAGCTGCTTTCTTGAAAGAACCCATTGAACATGTGTTTACAACACCTGCCACACACCATTTCCTCATTTATAAAGCAGAGTGATCATTGTTTCTAAGGCTGTTGAGAGAATGATGGCAAATAAACCTACAAAAGAAGACGCAGATGTCCTGCCCTTGATGTTAAGCCTAGTGACAATAGCAGGAATGTCTTGGCATGGGTCAATATTCTTGTGATGCATAGCCACTTGGCTGTCCTAGACCAGATGTTACATCCGCTCTTGGGGTGGGACCTGAAGATGCTCAGAGGGGCAGGAAAGCTGCTCTGGACATAGGGGCACAGCTGCGGGAAATTGTTGCCTAAGGAAATTCTCAAACTGTTCCACTGATTTATGCTGCTCTGTAAGAGAGGACCTGCGAATGTGAAGGTGTCATCCAAGTGATCTGCCACAAGCCAGAATTTCTTCAAATGTGCATGCTTTATTATTCAAATCATGTGGACTTTCTATTCTACTCCAAAATGTATCAACTTTGATATATGAGTTAAAGAAATGATTTGGGCTCGGTGCAGTGGCTCACACCTGTAATCCCAGCACTTTGGGAGGCCGAGGGACCAGCCTGGCCAACATGGTGAAGTCCCGTCTCTACAAAAAATATAAAAATTAGCCTGGCGTGATGGCACACACCTGTAGTCCCAGCTACTCAGGAGGCTGAGGCAGGAGAATCCCTTGAACCCAGAAGCCGGAGGTTGCAGTGAGACGAGATCACTCCATTGCACTACAGCCTGGGTGACAGAGCAAGACTCCAACCAAAAAAATAAATAAATAAAAATTTCTTGTTTCCATGGCGCAGACCCTTCCAGCCCCTTCCTTATGCAAATGTGCGTGCAGGCACACACCTATGTGGACACGCTGCGCACATTCTTCGCTGCTGCCTGCTTTGATCGGTCTGTGGTCCCCTTCATTCCATTTTGCTATATTTTGACTCAGTTAGTACCCAGACCTGAATTGACCAGCCGAGACTCCACCACTGCACTCCAGCCTGGGCAACAGAGTGAGACTCTGTCTCAATCAATCAATTAATCAATAGATTTGCCCCAAATATTTGTGTAGCACTGACTTTCCAGAAACACACTCCGTATTGAAGGAGGCTGGGGTTTAAGCATCCCAAGCCTAAAGCCCCTAGTTTGCCCTCAGCCTGGCTTCCGGAGATGGGTGAGATCTGTCTCCATCCTATCTGCCTAGCCTTATTCTACTCTCATCTTCATGTAACCCAATTTAATCACAGCCTTCCCATGAATCTGCACATTCTGACCTCCTGACCTTCGCATAGCTGCCTCAGTTTCTCCCTCCCACCTTGCCTTCTCGTGTGAGATTGCAGTCATCCTTGAAGGCCCAGCCCACATCTCCCCTTCCCTCACTACTCCTGTCTGCCCAGCCCTTTCAATTGTACCCTGCACCACAGAGTTTAAAATGAATCACATTCTTGTTTGTATTTTCATTATTGTTTCCATAGGAACCACCCCCACCCCCCACCCCTGCAATCCACAATGATGCCCACAGCAGTTAGAATTCTCCTAGACAAACATGTATAGAAATCCCAGCACTGGAGAGTTGATGAGAAAGTGGGCAGATCGGCTCTATTCACAGCTGGGGGAAACTGACCACTTTAACAAAAGGAAGAATGCTCAGGTAACATCTAGCCCAAAGGTCGCTCAGGAATGTTCAAAGCACTCAGGAGAGAGTGAAGTATCCCATCTTTGGGACACACAAGTCCCACTCAGCATCCATTGAAAGCGCAGCACCAAAAGCATTGAGATGGTGGCAGGACCTCATTTTCCCTCTTCTCTATTCCCTTACTCTTTCTCCAGCACAGAAGAAGCCTTGGTAAGTAGGGCCTGGGCAGTTGTGCTTTAGCAAAGACTGCATGTACATTACCCAGGAAAAGTATTAATGACAAACACAAGCAAGGAGACACTGGTCTGCCGTATTTGGAGGAAGCACTTTCTATCTCAGTGTTGCAGGGCAGGTATATTTGCCCCCTTTGAAATAAACGAGGAGTCCTGGGGGTGGGTGAGGTTGGGGTAGAAAAACTGAAGGGAGGTGAGAAATGAATTGAAGTGGAAGGCAAGAAAGGGAAGGAACTCCTGGTTGCTCAACAGAAGTGGTTACTGTTAAGATGGAACGAGTTGGTCACTGTTAAGATGGACAGGTGATTGATGGAAAAAGCAAACCAACATTTTTGAAGACTCCTCTGTACTCCTCATGTTCAGGACGGGCTCATACTAGAAGTCTTCTCTGACCAGTGATGAGCTGTACCTCTTTCCAATCACTGCAGCACAGCCAACTGGTTACATTATAAGGTGACTGGGGAAAATAATTGATATTATGGTGATACCCAAAATTATTAAGGAAAAATGAGATTATTCTAATGTATAGTCACTTCAAGACAGCATCACGTGTTTAGAAAAGACAGATCTCAAGAATAACTCTTTCTACAAGAGTTTACTATACAATAGTTGCCTTCAATAGAAGGTAGCTACAATAGAAACTACCTTAATCATCTATTTACTTCAAAGTTTAAAAAATACAAAATGCTTAGGACAAATACCTAATGCATGAAGGGCTTAAAACCTAGATGACAGGTTGATAGGTGCAGCAAACCACCATGGCACATGTGTACCTATGTAACAAACCTGCACATTCTGCACATGTATCCCAGAACTTAAAGTAAAATTAAAAAAAAATACAAAATGTTGTGAAGTGGAAATTAACTACACATCCCAGTCACGGGCTTTGGTTACCTAAATGTTTAGTTTGGTTTAGACTTAGAGAAAAACACTTTTATTCCTCCCATTCAGATCTGCTTAGAAGCACTCCCCAGCATCTGAACCATCTCTTCCAAGCTATTCCCCCAGAAGACAGGAAGACTGGGCGGTTTCCTCTGTAACAGCTCCCAGAACTGCAGCTTCCAGTGGTTTCTCCCCACCATTGCCCCTCTTGGTTTGCTGGTAGAGTGCTGAGCCTTTTATTCTATGTCTTTGCCAAAGGTTTTGAACAACCTTTCTCAAACAGGAGCTAATAAGATTCTGATAGGTTCTCCCCATTTCCCTCTCTCCACCAAACAAAAAACAAAACCTCTTTTCTTCTTCTTAATGAGAGTTGCTTCTATTTCAACAGCTAGTTTATAAGAAATGAGGTCTCACTGTGACGCCCAGGCTGGACCTCTCAGCTCAAGCGATCCTCCCATCTCATTAGCTCCCAAGTAGCTTGGACTATAGGTGCAGGCCACCACATGGCTATTTTTTAAAATTTTTTGTAGAGATGGGCTCTTGCTATGTTGACCAGGGTAGACTTGAACTCTTGGGCTCAGGGGATCTGCACACCTTGGTCTCCCAAAGTGCTGGGGTTATAGGTCTGAGCCACAAACACTTTTTTTTTTTACTTCACTTTATCATCATAAAAAGGGGGAGGAGGGGCTGTTTTAAACAAGGTCTCTTCCCACGTGTAAAAAGTAGGGAATGCCCAATTATGACCAACTGCCCTGGAGACCAGGGCAGGGGGGCGGGTTTTAAGCTGCAGCAGATGACAGATGGGCTGGCTATAAAGAGGCGATCTTGGATCCTAGACTGGAAGGCAGTGCCAGCCCCTCCGCAAATCTTAGGAAACAGGAAGACCCTCTCCTCCTGTTGGAATGCTGTCAAAGAGTGTTCCTGCAGGCGAGGCTTCCATGTCCCCTGGAGATACCCTCTCATCTTTCTTCCCTTCCTTATACTTCCTACTTTCCTTTTCAATTTCCCACATTAGACCCTCATGACAGATATTCCTAAAGGTAACTTCTTTCTCTTACAAATCAGTCTATGCTGATTTTTGAGCCAGTGAGAAGAAAGGGGACATGAAAATCTCATCTCTAGTCTTACTGGAGGGAATGCATCTCCACCTCTTCACCTAGATTTCCTAGGGGGGAAAAACAGAACAGCAAATACTTAATTTTTTTTAAAGATTTTAGGCTAAAAGTTATTTATGAGACCAGTATGACATACAGTCATAGCATAATGACTACAGAACACATTACTGATTTTTCTCAGGAGTTGGGTTGTGGGGGATTATTCTCAGGTAACCTCAGCAAATGACTCCTTAGTGCTGAAATTCATTAAAATTACTCCCATTTCTAATCAGGGTGGGTTGTCTGAGGGGGGCCAAGGATCAAGAAAGTGACAGATGGGAAAGAAAAGAATGACGGTGCCAACATTTCGGCTTAAATCCTCTTAACATCAGTTTTACAAAATGTCTGAGTGACGGAGTTTCAGAATCCAACTCTGCCTTTTAGCTATTAAAGAACTGTTAAGAAGGGCTTAGACTTCCAGAGGAAAGCTTTGAAATTGACACAAGCTCCTTAAAAAAGTCTCCACAGCCCAAGATACTGAAGGGCTGGAAAAGGACAGAGCTGCCAACATATTTAGAGCCACTGCTGTGCTTAGGGCTGGCCTTGAATCTTTTTTCCAACTTCTGAGGCACTGCTAGGCTTCTGTGATTTACAGGGTCTAGGAACCAGTGTTCTCTTCATGATTCTTCCTCCTTGGTGCCACTGAGGGTGGCATTTGTGTAAAGAAATATGGTTCTTCTGCCCTCGTAGTGGGCATAGTGGAATGGCCTGGTCTGCAGGAATAAGAGCACAAATGTGGATTCATGAGTGGAAGTTTTAATAAAGTTTATAGTCAGTTCCACAGGAAGTCCTAGCTGGAATTCACCATCCCGACTGGTTAAGAAAATATTTTCTGAGGTTATGAAGTAATCACAGATCTTCTTGGAGACTGGGCTTGGAAAATATGTCTGGACTCCTCATCCTGATGCTGAAGGTCTTGAGTGGTAGATAAACAAAAGTTCGTCAGAGTCCTGGCCAATAGAACATTCTGAGTCCCAAGAAGATCAGCAAAAAGTGTTTTTCAAGAGGTATGAGGGGCTGGGCCTGGTGGCTCATGCCTGTAATCCCAGCACTTTGGGAGACCAACGCAGACAGATTACCTGAGGTCAGGAGTTTGCGACCAGCCTGACCAACATGGTGAAACCCTGTGTCTACTAAAAATACAAAAATTAGCCGGGCATGGTGGTTGGCACCTATAATCCCAGCTACTTGGGAGGCTGAGGCAGGAGAATCATTTGAACCTGGGAGAGGAAAGTTGCAGTGAGCCAAGATTGTGCCACTGCACTCCAGCCTGGGCAATAGAGTGGCATGCAGTCTCAAAAAAAAAAAAAAAAAAAAAAAAAGGGACACATGAGGATGTAAGTGGGAGGATCTAAGCAAGCAGCTTCTTGATGTGACCAGAGCACAGGGGCTGGTGCACACTAGGGCTCCATAAATATTAATATTTATTGAAGAATGAATGAATGAATGAAAGAATTGTATCATTGACTTAAACCTTGGCCCATGTAGCATGACCTTTCATTTCCAAGTATGTTCCCAGGAAGGATTTTCTTTCTTGACTTCACATTTAAAGACTAGGAATGTCTCCTAAACATCACATCTTTGTAAGTTTCTATACACACAAGCAACTCTACACAAAGCTACCCTCAACTTTTCCAACTTATCTCCTCAAACATCTCCACCAAATGTTGAAGGGTCCCTAACCTAGCCTGCAACTACCTCAGGATGGTGGGATATATGTCATTAACAGAAGACCTGCTTAATGTTTTAACTTGAGTTGCTCTGGGAGATGTACTTCACCTCATCGCTGCTTGTTTATTTCTGATCACTGCTAAGGCCACTGGTGTTTATGAGAGATTAGTGAAGAGTTCTAGTTTTAGAGAAGAGTTCTGAGATATATGAGTGTGCTTGCATTCATCGTCTCAAACTACCGTTACAAAATACCACAGACCAAGTGCAGACTGAGTGGCTTAAACAAAGGAAACTTATTTTTGCACAGCTCTCGAGGCTGAAAGTCCTAGATCAAAGTCTCTCAGGGTCAGGCTCTGTTGAGGGCTCTTTTCCCAGCTCACACATGGCAGTTTTCTGGCTGTGTCCTCACATGGAGGGAGGAGAGGAAGCTCTTTGGTGTCTCTTCTTATGAGGACACTAATCTCGTTGATTAGTTGGTGTTTCTTCATATTAGGACACTAATCCTGTGGAATCAGGGTGGGCCCTATCCTTATGGCTTCGTTTAACCTTAACCACTTCCATAAAGGCCCTATTTCCAAATATAGTCACGTGGACAGGTGAGATAGGGCTTCCAACATAAATATGGGTAGGGGAGGGATACAATTTACTCCATGGGAGTGTTCCCTCACCTCATTAAAATAGTTTGAGTATAGGCCAGGCATGGTGGCTCATGCCTGTAATCCCAGCACTTTGGGAGGCTGAGGTGGGCAGATCGCCTGAGGCCAGGAGTTCGAGACCAGCCTAGCCAACATGGAGAAACCCTATCTCTACTAAAAATACAAAATTAGCCTGGCGTGGTGGCACATGCTTGTAATCCCAGCTACTTGGGTGACTGAGGCAGGATAATTGCTTGAACCTGGGAGGCGGAGGTTGCAGTGAGCAGAGATTGTGCCCTTGGACTCCAGCCTGGGCAACAAGAGTGAAACTCCATCTCAAAAAAAAAATTATATATGTAATTCTCCATGGAGATGAAAAAACGGAAAGGATGAGATTCCAACATCTTTTACCTTCCAAATTGTGATTGTTCGTGGTTTCCGTAAACTGCCTTTTCTTTCCTTTTATTTTGCCTCTCCTTTTTCTTGTCACTGTTGTTGCCATTAAGTTCACTAATTTTCTTTATTTTTTTTGAGATGGGAGTCTCGCTCTGTCACCCAGGCTGGAGTGCAGTGGCGCGATCTCGGCTCACTGCAAGCTCTGCCTCCTGGGTTCACACCATTCTCCTGCCTCAGCCTCCCGAGTGGGACTACAGGAGCCCGCCGCCACGCCCGGCTAATGTTTTGTTTTGTTTTGTTTTGTTTTGTTTTGTTGTTTTGTTTTTGTATTTTTAGTAGAGACGGGGCTTCACCATGTTCGTCAGGACGGTCTCAAACTCCTGAACTTGTGATCCGCCCGCCTCGGCCTCTTAAAGTGCTGGGATTACAGGCGTGAGCCACCGCGCCGGCCCGAGTTCACTAATTTTCAACGTTTGAACATTAAAAACAAAGCATGGTACATAAGCCTGACTGTAGGTTACAATAGATGGTATCCTACACTATTGGCAGCCTCCCCTCCTGCCTGCTATATTCCTGCCTTTCAGAGCCTCCAACTGTATCTTCAGTCTTTAGAGCCCCCTCCAGAATCCCGGTCTGCACACTTCTCCTTAAATTCCTCCTCCTGTTCCTGGCATGCTCTGTCATTCCAAGTCCTACAGCCTGTTCCCCCTTGTTGCATGAACAGACACACTCTGAAGGCAGAGAGATCTCTTCCACTGGGAGATCTCTGGAGGAGGGTCTTATACAAAGTGGTGCTCAATAAATGCTTCAAGGAAGAATGACACTTCTAACATAATTGCCGTTTTCGTAGCATAGCAGGATGGAAGAAAAGACTAGTGTACCGATATTTGGCTCATTCTTTTTCATCTGGCAAGTGCTGGATCAGGAGTCAGCAGATCTGGCGTTAATTCTCACATATGTCCTTTTCTACCCAGAGCTTCTCTAAGCTTCAGCTTCCATGACTTTAAAAGGTAATCAGCACCTATCTTACAACACTATTAAGGAGGGTTACTACATTAGATAATGTAGCTAAATTCATCAACACAGTGCTAGACATACCATAATTCTCAATAAATGTATTTTGAATTTGAATAATGTTACATGAGAGTAATGCATTACTTCCTGTTAATTTATATATGGAAGAGTGCCAAACCATTCACTGCTTTTCAGGTGAACTCTCCTTCACTGAAGTACATTACTACGAAGTATATTATAGTTTCTTCTTTATGAATTTTAAAATAATTCCTCTTAAGACTGTTACTTGAAAGGACTTTTGGAGGCCAAAGATGATAGTGATTTTTTATTTGTTAGGTATTACTTAGTGAAAAAATTATCAATCCTTTTAAACATGAACATTAATTCAAAAGAGACCATTCGGAAACGAGGTATGGGGGACATTAAACAATAAATACAACTCAGTTCTTTTAACACTTATCGAACTCATGTTAATCTGACCTGATTTTATTCTCCCAAATATTAGAGTAGAAAATTCTTTCAAATGAGTTTATAAATTACTTTTCTACTCAAGAATCTTTAAGATCTGGATACTGACTTGAGCATTATAGGGACATGTGTCAGTTTAGCACAAATAGTTTTTAAAATACTATGTAATAGAAACTATTTAATACAACTAGTGTTTTGAAGAAAACTCCTTAAGAATGCATTAATAAACAAGAATGCCTTGAAAACTTTTATTAATAATCAAAATAAAATAAAAATAAATATACTACAAATTAGAGACAACAAAATACGCCTAGAGTAAATTAATGTTTAATTAAAATAACACCAGAAATTAATAAATTTGGAAACTAAAACTGGAAGAATGAATTCCTAAATTATGACGCTTTGACTAAAGCAGACACTGAAATTAATAAATTGCTAACTCACCCAATCAAGTAAAAGAGAGAAGTACAATTATTCAACATAAGAGAAAATAAAATGGAAATAACCTCAAATATGTGATGTTTTAAAATATGCATACATTGTGGAATGGCTAAATTGAACTAATCAGCATATGCATTCCCTCATGCAAGCATTTTTTTTTTGTCATGAGAACACTTATTTACCTACTCTCCTAGTGATTTTCAAGTATTCAATACATCGTTATTAACTATAGTTACCATGTTGTACACTAGATCTCTTGAACTTCTTCCTCCTAACCGAAATTTTGTATACGTTGACCAACATTTCTCCAACCACCAACCAGCAATTCTTCTTGATAAAAATTTTTAATGATATAGGAATAAAAGGTTACTTAATAGAAAATGTAGAACTCACATATGTATATTTGTGTATATCCATGTATAGAGATCACCACAAAAGCCAGATAAATGTAGAAATATAGCAACTATTCTCATTCACATCAGAAACAAAATAGGTATATCTATTGCAACCGTTTTTACTTAACATTGTTCTGGAGACATCAGCCTATATAATTATATGAAAGAAAAAAGAGGTATGGATTTGGGGAGAAAAGAAGTACAGCTATTATTATCTGCACATAATATTATTGTATACTTGGAAAGCATAAGAGAATAGTTACAAGAGTACAAATAAGAAAATTGATAAAGATGACTGGGTATGTAATTAATATATCAAACTAAATACTTTTCATATAAACAAAAATAGAAATTGTTTGGGAGATATAATGAAAGTATAGTAACAATAAAGTAAAATACCTAGAAAATATATTAAAAATGTGTAACATCTATGTAATTAAAACTTCAAAATGCAATTGACAGACATAAAAGAACAATTTAATGAATAAAATGAGTGCCATGTGCTTGAAGAGAAATATGCAGCATCATAAAGGTGTCAATTATCCCTAAATTCATCTTAAAAGTAATGTAACCCACAGTGTTTGGGGAGGAAGAGGGACAAAGTGACAAACTGATTTTATTTTTCATAATAAACAAATAAGCAAGAAGAGTGAGAAATTTTTTTTAAGTAGAACCCCAACAACTATTAAAATACGTTGTAAACTATAGGAGTTAAAATAACGTAGTGTTTCTTGACTAAACAGACCAATTAATGGCTTCAAATAGAAAGGGCAGAAGTAGACGCAAATTCATGTAATAAAGATAGCATTTCAAATGAGTAAACGTGGATTGTTTTATAAATAATATTGGAACAGCTGTTTAAACACCTGCAAAAATAAAGCTATATTCTTTAGTGCATATTTTACATAAAATAAAGTTTAGATATATTAAAAGTTGAAATACAATAATGGAACTATTAAAAGTACTCAAAGTATACCGTAAGAAGATTTCATATTATAGTTTTTAAAGTGTCTAAGTATGACACAAAATCCAAACACAAATAAAGAGAAAGGTCCACATATTTGATCACAACAATAAAAAAAGCTTCTGCAAAGTTAATGGGGTGTGGGATCAGAAGACAAGTAACAAAAGGGATAAAATATTTACGCGTTATTGTGGCCTTGTAGTATAGTTTGAAGTCAGGTAGCGTGATGCCTCCAGCTTTGTTCTTTTGGTTTAGGATTGACTTGGCGATGTGGGCTCTTCTTTGGTTCCATATGAACTTTAGCTTTTTCCAATTCTGTGAAGAAAGTCATTGGTAGCTTGATGGGGATGGCATTGAATCTATAAATTACCTGGGGCAGTATGGCCATTTTCACGATATTGATTCTTCCTACCCATGAACATGGAATTTTCTTCCATTTGTTTGTATCCTCTTTTATTTCATTGAGCAGTGGTTTGTAGTTCTCTTTGAAGAGGTCCTTCACATCCCTTGTAAGTTGGATTCCTAGGTATTTTATTCTCTTTGAAGCAATTGTGAATGGGAGTTCGCTCATGATTTGGCTCTCTGTCTGTTATTAGTGTATAAGAAAGCTTGTAATTTTTGTACATTGATTTTGTATCCTGAGACTTTGCTGAAGTTGCTTATCAGCTTAAGGAGATTTGTGGAAGTCACTGTGGCGATTCCTCAGGGATCTAGAACTGGAAATACCATTTGACCCAGCCATCCCATTACTGGGTATATACCCAAAGGATTATAAATCATGCTGCTATAAAGACACATGCACACGTATGTTTATAGTAGCACTATTCACAATAGCAAAGACTTGGAACCAACCTAAATGTCCAACAACGATAGACTGGATTAAGAAAATGTGGCACATATACACCATGGAATAATATGCAGCCATAAAAAATGATGAGTTCATGTCCTCTGTAGGGACATGGATGAAACTGGAAACCGTCATTCTCAGCAAACTATCTCAAGGACAAAAAACCAAACACTGCATGTTCTCACTCATAGGTGGGAATTGAACAATGAGAACACATGGACACAGGAAGGGGAACATCACACACTGGGGACTGTTGTGGGGTGGGGGGAGGGGGGAGGGATAGCATTAGGAGATATACCCAATGCTAAATGACGAGTTAATGGGTGCAGCACACCAACATGGCACATGTATACATATGTAACAAACCTGCACGTTGTGCACATGTACCCTAAAACTTAAAGTATAATAATAATAGAATAAAAATAAAAATAAAATATTTACACTTAATAGAGCAGATAAACAGCTGATTTCTATGATTTATGAAGATTTCTTATAAATCAGTAAGGGAAAAGACCAGTAACCAGCAGGAAAATGAGCAAAAGAAACAGCATATTTTTTCCTGTGAAAACTCTTAAACATATAAAAAAATACTCAACTCCAAATGCAGATTTTAAAAAAATACAGTCAGATTTTTTCACCCATCACAATTTCACTTAGCCTAAACATTTAAAAAGATAAACAGCTTGATAATGCTGTATGTTGGCTGTAGTGTGGGCAAACAGGCCCTCCATATTTTGCTAGTGGTATAGAAAGTTGGCAATATCGAAAAAATGTAAGACATGTCCCCTTTGTCCCCATGATTTCATTTCTAGGAATTTATATTACAGTTATATTCCCACATGTGTGAAATGATGTATGTACAAAGATATTTATCACAGCATTGTTTGAAATAGCAAAAAAGAGGACATGACCCAAATGTATTAAATAAATTATAGTACTTCCAGACAATGCAAGACTATGCAGCCATTTAAGAAGAAAAGAAGCCATTCAGTAGAGCCTGATATGTCAGCAGTCCCTAAGGTGCATTGCTAAATAATAAAAGCAAGGTGAAGAATGCCATGAATAGAGTGTTAACAGCTGTGTAAGAACAGAAAAAGAAAGAGCAGTGCGCATTTGCAAATGTGCATGTGCATGCCTGGAATACCTTGGAAGGGCACGTGAGGCTCATCAGCAGTGGGTGAGACCCACCAGGAAGGGGTGCTGCCCAGTTGGAGCCAGGGTGAGATCCAGATGCTTTCCTAAGTCTAGAGCTTTTGTAACTTTCTGATTTTGTATCATCTGTACATATTGTTTTAAAGAACAAAACACTGGGCACAGTGGCTCACGCCTGTAATCCCATCACTTTGGGAGGCTGAGGGAGGAGGATCACTCGAGTCCAGGAGTTCGAGAGCAGCCTGGGCAAGATGGTGAGATCCCCATCTCTACAAAAAAAAATATAAAATTTAGTTGGTTATGGTGGTGCATGCCTGTGGTCCCAGCTACTCAGGAGGCTGAGGTGGGAAAATTGCTTGTGCCTGAGAGGTGGAGGCTGCAATGAGCCAAGATCGCACCACTGCACTCCAGCCTGGGTGAACCTGTCTCAAAAATAAATAAATAAATAAAATAACGTTTAAAGTCCTTGACTTTATTCTTTTCTTTAACGAGACCTTACTGTTTACATCTAATCAAAAAAAGAGTGTTCAACATAGGGAGAAAGTAAGGTTTTGAAGTCAAATACTATTAAAGAGGAATGGTCATAAACTAGGAAAGCAAATGTTCTCCACCTTTTCCGTTTTCTCATCCGCACATCCACACAACTACTCAAAAATAATATTTACTGAAAAAGACATGATTTTAATCTTTTTATGGCTGAATAGTATTCTGCTGTGTATACATACTACATTTCCTTTATCCAATCATCCTTTGATGAATGCTTAGGTCAGTTCCCTGACTTTGCTGTTGTGAATAGTGCTGCAATAAACCTGGAAGTGCAGGTATCCCTTTGATACAATGACTTCTTTTCCTTTGGGTCGATACCCAGTAGTGGGATTGCTGGGTCGAATGGTAGTTCTATTTTCAGTTCCTTGAGAAATCTCCATACTGTTTTCAATGGAGGTTGGGCTAATTTACATTCCCACCAACAGTGTATAAGCATTCCCTTTTCTCCACTTGCTCACCAAAGTCTGTTATTTTTTGTCTTTTTAGTAATAGCCATTCTGACTGGTTGCCTTTTGCAGTAGCACGAATGTAACTGGAGGCCATTATCTTAAGTAAAACAGCTCAGAAACAGAAAGTCAAATACCATATGTTCTCACTAATGAGAAGTAGCTAAATGATGGGTACACATGGGCATAGAGTGTGGAATAACAGACACTGGAGATGAGAAAGGGTAGGGTGGTGAGGGGGACGTGGAGATGGGAAGTTACCTAATAGGTACAATGTGCATTATTCGGGTGACGGTTACCCTGAAAGCCCAGACTTCACAGCTAGTCAATATGTCCATGTATTCGTAACCCTTAAACTTATACAAATAAAAAAATATTTAATGGGTTTTATGCACAACAACTATATCTCTGTGTGCATAGGGAGGTCACCCCTACTCTTCCAGCCTCAGTTCCTGCACTTTTATAATGAGATCTTTGGAGCAGATATTCTCCAATGTCCCTTTTAGCTCCAGAATTCTATAAAACATCACTTTGATCTTTCCCTAAGGTCACTTTATTAACTTACTTCAACATTAGCCCACAAATTGGGGTTTACCAGCTGCTTAGTATTGCTTGAAGCTTCCTCTTCATTTAAATAAAATGGTTCCCTTACCAACCTTTCTCTTAAAGCCAAGTTTATGATACAAACATATTCAATTTATGTGTTCCTTTTTTAGTTCCCAAAGCTTGTATTTATATACACCCCAATTTAAACCATTTTCTGTTCTCTAAAAGACAGTATTCTTTCTTGTTCAAACTATGCCTAACCAAATATGGTAATCTTTATGGCTAAGCTGGAGGTATAATGTGTTTTCCTCTCATAGGATTTTTTAAAAGACAAGACAGTGCTCAGGAAAGAACGTTCCATTTGCTGTTAACTTCAGAGATTTGCAGAAGAGTCCTCTGCCCTGCTTTTCTGAAAGGCACCTGGGGTTCAGGACAAGCTTCTCTTGTAGACCCGGGTGCATTGCTTGCCAGAGAGATCTCTGAAAGGTGGTTCTGCTTTCCAGGGAACTATTTAGCCAATATGCATTACCCAGCTCCTCAACCTTTTTATGATTCCTGCCTGATGCTGCCTTTTGGTGATTTCTGGTAAAGCATCAGCACCTTATCATCTGCTTTAGTGACCAGCTTGGGAGAGTAACGTTAAGTCACGACCAGAATATGTCTTGGTGGAGCATGAACAAAGCATAGATTTTTTGTGGGGGAAAAAAGGTGTTACTTAGTTTCAAATTGCCATTCAATGATTTGTTAGTAGATTTAGTGACATTGTATACATTTCTCAGGCTGTTAGACTCTCTATTTTTTAATCCATAAAATAAGAGTAATAATAGCTACCTTACAAGGTTTTTGTGAAGATTATAAGAAACACATAAAATGTATAATATATATAATAATATAACATGAAACATTACGTATAGTATGTATCATAAGTTATCTTTTTTATTGTTTGTTTTTGTTTTTATTTTTTGAGATAGAGTCTCACTCTGTGGCCCAGGCTGGAGTGCAGTGGCACGATCTTGGCTCACTGCAACCTCCATCTCCCAGGTTCAAGCGATTCTCCTGCCTCAGCCTCCTGAGTAGCTGGGACTGCAGGTGCCCGCCACCGCACCCAGCTAATTTTTGTATTTATAGTAGAGACGGGGTTTCACCATGTTGGCCAGGCTGGTCTCAAGCTCCTGACCTCAAGTAATCCACCCACCTCGACCTCCCAAAGTGCTGAGATTACAGGCATGAGCCACCGTGCCGGGCCAATATGTATCATAAGTTATCTATTACATAATATATATTAGTGTCGGGACTAAAATCACAAGATTCTACACTTGACCACTCTGCACCTCTGTTCCCATTCAGTAAAATAGGCATTGTAATAGGTCCTAACTTAACAGTGTTATTGGAAGGGTTAAGTGAGTGAACACATATAAAGCATTTACATACTAGCTGGCAAAAAGCTCCACAAATATTGTCGCCATATGGCAAGGTCCCCTTTATGACATCAGCCCTCGATTCATGATGGGCATTGTGTCATTCATTTCCTCAGCGATGATCAAGAATCACAGATGCAGATGTCTGGTGGCATTTCAGGGGTGCTACAGGAATGGAGCCCCTGCAATATGCCGAGAAGAAACAACGTGTAGCCTGCAAGATCCTCATCTTTCAGAGAGAGCAACAGGAGCGTGGTCTCTTCCTGCTCTCTCAGCTGAGATGGTCTCAATGCCTGGCCTCTTATTTTCAAAATATGGTGTGGGCCTCCTTTAGAGAAGAGGAGGTACTGATGGTTATTGAACCAAACTGGGGCTCACTGGCCTTGTGCAGCAAAGCCAAACACTGATGCTGGCCCTGCAGGGAGAGAAAGCGAGGCATTTATTACAGGGCAGCAAGCAAGGAGGATCGGGCAGCTCATGCTTAAGACTAGAGCTCTCAGATGGGTTACAGGTAAGGGCTTTGAAAGGCAGGGAGGCAGAGGGTACAGGCAAAGTCCTAAGTCAGTACTTGGAGGCTATACATTGGTTTGACCCAAAAACAGACCTCGAAGCGAGGGCAGGTCATAGGTGGATGCAAAGCTTTTCTGGTTCACAATTGGTTAAGGAATCAAAGTTTTGTCTAAAAATTTGGGATCAGCAGAAAAACAATGTTAGCTCTGGCTCCTGGGTGTGACCTCCTCCAGGCCCCTTAGGAAGAAATTTAGAACGCAGAACAGCGGTCAGAGCTCAGTCCTTAGTTTCTCCTTATCTGAGGTCTGTGTGTCAGCAGATCTATTGAGAAGGGGGTCCCGGTTTGTGAAAAACAACCCAGGGACATATGCTAAGATGTTACCTTCAGTTTCCATAGGGAACCAAACATCTCCTGCCTCCCACGTCCTTGGCTGCTGCCTTAGGCTGCTATTACCTTATTGTTTATCTAGTTGCTGATTTACTTCTCGAGGCTAGCTGGGTGCCTGGAATTTCCCTTGAAGGAACTCTAGATTTTTCTTTATTTCCATGCTTGGGGGACCCCACAGGTCCCTAAGGCGGGGCTTGGGGGGTGGGGGTCCTTGCTCTGTCTCACAATGTAATAGGGTGATGAAGGTGCTGGACTCAGATGGGAAGACACAGGTTCCAGCAGCAAGGCAGATACTTGACTAATGCCTGGCTCTCTGCCTCCTCACCTGTTTAATGACAGTTTATTTTCAGGGTAAATACAAAACACAATTCCCCAACAATCTTACTTTTGGATGTAATTTTCAGATCTTCTCCTGGGAGTGGGACAGGGGAGCAAGAGAAAATAAAAAGAACAGAGAGTGGGGAGGGGCAAAGATGTCAATGAGAGCTTCACAGAGGATCTTTCTTCTGGGCACAAGAAAAGAATCACATCCATCCTGGGGAAACTCCTGTGAAGTTCATTCAAACTGCAGTATTGCCTAATCAGCATCTCTGAAAAAAACACAGTGGAAGGACCCCCAGGCACACATTAGAGTGTCCAGGCTTCATGGCTGCGGCACCTGCACGTTTGAGAGCAAACAGCTCACTCCAAAGCATTGACTCAGCAGCCACAGCAATGGGCATTCTGCTTAAAAAGAAAAACACCTGTTTGTATATAGCAGTCATGCTGTGTCAAGAAGGGGAAGATGAACAGGAGCAGAGGTGGGCAGAGCGTGTTGCCGAGTGGTCCCCAGCACACAGCTCCAGATGTGGCCAGGAGCTCTTTACTGCCTAAAAGTTTTAGAGCATTTGGGGAAGGCTTTTCAACTCAATTAGCATTTAATAGTCCTGATGTTCAATCTCAGGGATCAGCTGTGAAGTTACTAAAGCCATTGCCATGAGGCTAGAGTAGCCAGTTGTGTTTGAAATGTCAACGCCTTTCCCCTGACACTACCTTCTCCCTCCTGGCAGTCCCGCCCAACTTGAGGTCCTGATATTTAGTAACATTTCCCAAGGGCAGGTGGTCATCCTTCAGTCTTGAAAGCAGGGCCCTTGAAGAAGCCATGGAGTCAACTCAAGCTTTACTCTGTACCTGGGAAAGCAAGCCAATGTCAGAGAGTCGAGAGCAGGCTGGGGACCTGGGCACCACAAATGGGTGAATCCCAAAACAAGGGAGCGCCTTCTCCCATGAGGTCAGGGGGTTCTAACTGACCTAGTTGTCTAGCTAACGAAATGAGCAAACTCCCAAAAAGCACTGAAAGTAGTTGCCTCTATATGATGGGATTATGGTTGAAATTTGTTTCCTTTTTTTATGTTTTCAGTATTTTCTGAATTCCTTACATTGAGAATAAGTTATTTTATAAACAGAACAAATTGCACATCATTTATATACTAAAACCCACATAATCCTTTTCCAGCTGAACACCTCCCGAGCAGATGGCATCAGAGAGAAGCTGGATGTTTTTCCTCAAATGGATTAAGAAAGCAGAAGCTTCTGCCAGGGGTAACAATGCCACTTGTGGGCACCACTGATTTTTAAAGCACTCCACATTCATTAGCTCATGGAGCCTTCGCAGCATCCCTGGAAGGCAAGATGTTGGTAGGTATTATTCCCATTTCAGAGAGGAGAAACAGGGTCAGAGAGCCACCTCATTCTGTCATCAAAAGGGTCACTACTGAAATCTGGAGCACTCACTTGGAGCTCAAGTTTCCCTGGACCAGAGCTGCATGGCACTAGGACATTTCTCATCTGCAACACACACCCATGCCCACAAACCCTTGTATACATAAGCCCACAGCTTGCATGCGCCCAGCCATCTGAGTCTGGGACTTTCGTAGGAGTCAAAATGGAATTGTGCAACTCCAACCATGATGCTGGATGCTCCTCTCTGCCTCACCTTGTTTTCCTTCCAAGGTGGGGAAAGTGTGGTGGTCAGTAGAACTGGGGCTTTCTCATCTTTGGATGGTCAGCGGCAAAGACCCTGGGTGAGCCGCCCGGCCATGAGCTGTTCATTGCATCTGTCACATAACATTTCTATAAGACTGTGTGTCTTATAGAATCAGGAGCTCAGGCTCGTATCTGGACAAATAAGAGAATGCCTCCCCACGATAGCCCTCTTCTCTGTAGGCTGTATCTTTTTCTAATCACTTTGGCAGGTGAAAGTGTTTTTTTCCTCTAAATGAGTCAGATGGGCTGGGAATGTGTAACTTGGAAAAGAAGATGCTCTCATACCTGTACATAAAAAAGACAGACTGCCAGTTACCTCAGCCTTACCACCTGTGCTGGGCACCCGTTCAGAGCTCCTGAATGATTCCATTAGTGGGGAACTCTTAGTTGATAGGTATGAATTAGTTAACTAATAAAACTCTATGCTATGCCAGCCAAAGACTAATTAATAGTGTCTCAAAAGACATGTATTTTGCTCATTTTTAAATTTTTGTGCAGATGGGGTTCTTTTCAACTCTGACCCGAGTTAGAAGTTATTTTTCTCACCTAAATGCTCAGAATATAAATCTCAGCCTCAAGAGAATGTGAGCAACAGATCAGACACAAACAGACCCAAGAAAGAGAAAAAAGGAGAGAGCTAGAAAACCGAATCAAGAGGCAAAAAACACATTTTGCAGAGAGCATTAAGGGCAAACCAGTATTTCAATGTCATTGAAGGTAACATTACTTAAAACAGAGCTATGAGCTACTATAACTACAGGGACTGGAAGTCTCTGTAATTAGTAAATATGTTGCATGCATCACCCCAACATAGAATCACCTGAGATAAGTAGGGGGATGAGATACTAAAGATCAACAGAGCCTGAATTTTGAATGAGGGGAACTCTGAACTAGGCAAGAATGGAGATTATTACACAGGACACAAGGCTTAAAGTCCAGCCATCCTTGTGAAAAAGAACAGAAGGTTAACACTAGAACTTTCGTAAAAATAACTTAGGTTTTTTTCAATTAATCCTTTTGTTATCTTGGTAAAAAGTGGGGAGGAGGCCGGGTGCAGTGGCTCACACCTGTAACCCCAGCACTTTGGGAGGTCGAGGCAGGAGGATCATTTGAGGTCAGGAGTTCAAGACCAGCCTGGCCAACATGGCAAAACCCCGTCTCTACTAAAAATACAAAAAAATTAGCTGGGCGTGGTAGCACGTGCCTGTAATCCCAGCTACTCGGGAGGCTGAAGCAGGAGAATCACTTGAACCAGGGAGACAGAGATTGCAGTGATCCGAGATCGTGCCACTGCACTCCAGCCTGGGTGACAGAGCAAGACTTAGTCTCGAAAAAAACAGTGAGGAGGAACAACTTTAGTAATTGTTATGATCAATATCTGGACTAGGTGTGTCTCATTGGCAACTGCAGATAATGATATCATAAACCATCCACTGAGTATCATAATACGCTGGTCACTGTGCAGGATGCTTTAAAAATATTGAAGTGGATCTTCTCAGCATCATGTGACATAGGCATGATGACTTCCAACTTACAGAACGGTACACTGGGGCTCAGAGAGAAGATGTGATTCACTATTGTAAACAAAATACAGAAAAATGCAAAGGAAAAAAATGCCCCTGTAATAATATACCTGCTGTTTTTTGATAACTTTTTCTCTACTTGTATTATCAAATGTCAACAAAATTGAAATGCTTCATCCAGCATCTTGTGCCCTGCTTTTTCACTGTTTCCTTCCATCATTAAATATTCTTTGAGAAAATCTTTTTTTTTTTTTTGAGATGGAGTCTTGTTCTGTTGCCCAGGCTGGAGTGCAGTGGCACGATCTCAGCTCACTGCAACCTCTGCCTCCCAATTTAAAGCAATTCTCCTGCCTCAGCCTCCTGAGTAGCTGGGACTACAGGTGCATGCCACCACCCTCTGCTAATTTTTTCTATTTTTAGTAGAGACGAGGTTTCACCATGTTCGCCAGGATGGTCTTAATCTCCTGACCTCGTGATCCGCCAGCCTTGGCCTCCCAAAGTGCTGGAATTACAGGCGTGAGCCACCGCGCCCAGCCCTGAGAAAACCATTTTTAATGAATAAATTGTTTTCCATTCTTTAGTTGTATCATCAGTTATTTAACCAACCTCCTATGTGGGACATTTGGGTAGCTTCTGATATTTTTTCCATTACACTAATGGCTGAGATGAATATTCTTGAACATAAATCTTGTACATAAATTTGATTATTGCCTAGGATAAAGTCCTAAAACTAAAATTACTGGCTCAAAGTGTATGAACACTTCAAGGCTGTTCATATATAAATTGCCAAATAACCAACCCTCCAGAAAGCTTGCACCAATGTATATCCCCATCAGCAGCAGTGGGTGAGGGGTGAGAACACCCATTTCTCCACATCCTCGGCAGTAAATTTCCACCAATGAGATAAGCAAAAACTTTCCATGTTTATAACTTGCATTTCTTTGGTGGCTGTGGGGTCCACGTCTTTCCTTGTTTGTTGGGCATCAGCTTCGGCTGTATTGTGAATGTCCTATCATATTCTTCCTGTTTGTCCATCACTATGATTGGGGATGCTGGAATTTAGGACCCCAAGGAGGCTCTGCCTGACCTTTTCAGCACTTAGCGTTGTTCCACTTGTGGTGAGGATGAGGCAGAGTCCATTCTCCATGAAAGAAAGACAGTTGCTCCCTCGATACTTAGCAAATGTCATTCCTATCAGCAACTGACCTGAAGCTGGAGGCGGTGGCTAATCCATTGAATCATGGTGGCGCTGTGGGCATTGTCAGGTCCCTAGTTTAGAAACGCACCAGGAGCCAGGGCTGGAACTTTAGGACTAAAGGACTCTGCAAAACGTGTGATGTCTCAGAGACATGACCTTCCTCCTGCCTCCACTTGAGGACTGAATCAGGCTGTGTTGCATGGAGCACAGCTGTGCCTCTGTTCTCCCAGGATGGGGCCTGAAAGCCCAGCATGGTAGCAGAGTCCCTGCAGCTGGTGAAGATACCCTCTGGGTGACCCTGAGGCACAGTAGGAGGAGAGAAGGGTGGCAGTCCTCACACTTCTGGAGAGGGAGCAGTTCTCCTGGAAAGGCTGCAGCAGCCGCTGGAGGAATGAACACAAACCACACAGCCGCCTGCCATGAACTTGATCTCAGTGGTTGGAATTCATCCCTCTTTTCTGCAATTCCTCCACCTTTGCCTTTCCCATGCCTTTCTCCATTGGGAAGCAGTCTGGTCTAGCTTGAAAGTCAGTGGACCAAGTTTGGAGCACCCAGGACAGGTTAAACCCCTTTTAGCTGTTATGAGTGAATGAACAATGACACAATTCCTTTCTAGTATTTTTCATGGTATTTTGAAACAATGTATGCAGCTGCTTCCTTCATACAACCACAGACTCTTATTTTGTTTGTTCGTTTGTTTGTTTGTTTGTTTGTTTGTTTGAGACAGGGTCTCGCTCTGTTGCCCCAGCTGGAATGCAGTGGCACGATCTCGGCTCACTGCAACTTCTGCCTCCCAGTTTCAAGCAATTCCCCTGCCTCAGCCTCCTGAGTAGCTGAGTACAGGTGCACCCCACCACACAACTGCAGACTCTTTGAAAACATTTATGCCACTCCTTGTATGCCTGGCACATAGTAGGATAAATGCTTCTTGAAGGCATGAATGAGCCAAAGCATATTTCCACCACAGAAACCCGTACTTGAGCTCATCTTTGTAGCAGCTCTTCCCTTAGGAGCCATGTAGAATGCAGCAGGACTCTCAACCTTTCCCCATTGCCACTCGTGCTAGACGGAGCATTCCTCATCGTATTGCTCTGCGTGGGCTGGGGGCAGCCAGATTAAGGCTGTGTGACAGCTGCCCCCTCCCCACCCCAGGACTCGCAGAATAGCGAAATGTCTGTCTCCCCAGCTTGATGCTGCTGGGAACAACACTTCCCGGAAAAGGAGAAAGATCTAACTACTGTATACCTGTGTACACCTTTGTTTATGTTATACAGATAATGACAAGCTCTGTTGGAACAAAGTCACCTTAAATTCACACAACTCTTGGTGCCAGACCCTGACAGCAGCTGAAGTGGGTGTTTGCAATAGTCACCTGCCTCAAACCAAAGCCTAGTCTGAATCAGAAATACATTCTGTAGCAAGAAATAGGTTGTTGTCACACTTTAATTGCGTGTTTTGTTGAGGGGGTGGGTAGCGCCCCAGAGCTTAAGTACTCTGGGAAGAAGCCCCACAGCACCCGTGGAGCAGAACAGAGGGCAGGTGGCTGGTGGGTCTCTGGGGCAGGACCTCCAGTTCTCATCCCCACTGGCAGCAAAGCGGCCTCCAATCAGTGGGACAGAGACCTCAGCCTCCCGGTGTGCTCCAGCACTTCTGGACACCCAGAGAGCTCTAGCCTTACTGAATAATTGAATTTCCCATCGGAAAGAGGCTCGGCTCTCTCCTCACACAAACATTAGGGCTTCTGAATATTTCAGGATTTCTGGGTTGGGTAGGGTCACTCGCTTGCCCCTTTGGATAATATAAAGCCAACGTCAGTGGCTTTGGGCACAGCCTTGTACAGAACCGCAAAGACAGAAAGTCTCTGCGTGTGCCCTTCCTCCCCTCTGTGCCATTTTCTGCTGTATTCAATTACCTGTCTGCTTTGTGAGCAGTGATTGAGCACCTGCTGCGAGTGAGGTTCTGTGGTCTCCACCAAGAAGAGCCGGCTCAGGGAGGAGGTTGTGAAAAGACGGGTGCCGGGATTCTTGCCTGGGCCTGCCTGCTGTCAGTAATAGACTGCTCCCTGCTGTGTTGATGGGCCTCCATGAATGCGACCACTCAGGCGCCCTACCCTCGTCTTCCTGGGTCCTTTGTTTTTCAGGATTTAAAAATTTAAAAAAAATTTTTTTGGTAGAGATGGGGGGGTCTCACTATGTTGCCCAGGTGGGTCTTGAACTCTTAGCCTCCAGCAATTCTTCCATCTCAGCCTCCCAGAGCACTAAGATCACAGGCACGAGCCTTTGCGCCCAGCCTGGGGCTTTTGCTATTGGCTTCCACACAGCCCCATTAACACTGGGGAAGCCTGTGGGACCACTTTTTCTTCAGGCTGTTACTGGGGCCCGAGAAAGCTCAGATTAGTGCAAAGCAAGCTCTGTAAATATCTCGCATCACCAAGTTTGATAATTTCACCTTCTCCCTAACTCCATCCATATGCCCCCCAACACATACATTTGTTTTCCCCAGGAAGAGCCTCCAAGACAATGTTGAAAAGTTGGCCCTGCAGCCAGCTTCAGCAGGGCAGTCCTGCATAGCTGCCACTTCTACCGAGGACCACCCTCTCCAGGTTCCACGCAAGCTCATGGTGGCTGCTCCAGCCCAGCAGACCCACTTCCTGGGAGTCATCACCCACTTGCATCTTACTGTGGCTCTTCTTCTGTGTCCCCCAGTCATCTGCCTACACAGAGAGAGCACAGCCACTGAAGCCTGAGACTCACGAAAGACGCCTGTGCTTTGAGGGGCTGCAGGGGGCTGCTTCCCAGGCAAACTTCATTGCAGAATTCTGATGTCCCTGTCTGCTTCCCACTCAGGGAGTTAATGGGACTCCACAACAGGACTCCCAGAAGTTCTCCCTGCCTGCATGTGATGGTAAATTTCATGTGTCACCTTGACTGGGCTGAGGGATGCCCAGGTAGCTGGTAAAATGTTATTTCTGGGTATGTCTGTGAGGGTGTTTCTGAATGAGATTAGCATTTGAATCAGTAGGTTGAGTAAAGAAGATCCAATCCCTTGAGAGCCCTGTAGAACAAAAAGGCAAGGGAAGAGCAGATTACTCTTTCTCTTCTTGAACTGAAAGTTCCATCTTCTCCTCCCTGCCACGTTGGTACTCCTGGTTTCCGGACCTTCAGATTCCAGGACTTACAAAGTCTGCCACCCAATCCAGTTCTCAGGCCTCCAGACTGGACTGGGAAGCACGCCAGCAGCCAACCTGGTTCTCGAATCTTTGGACTCAGACTGAATTACAGCACCAGCTTCCCCAGCTTTTCAGCATGCGGATGACAGATCGCAGGACTATTCAGCCTCCATGATCATATCAGCCAATTCCCACAATACATCCCCTCATATATATATACGTATATATGTATGATATGTACATATACCTCTATGTCAGATATAGAACTCCTATCGGTTCTGTTCCTCTGAAGCACCCTGACTAATGTACTGGCCTCTCTAGTGCTGGTTCCATCAGAGAGGATCATGTAGACTCCCTGTCTCACCTGCTGCAGTCACCTATTTAGAGAACTACCGCTCACATCCCCCTGGAAGACACAGACTAAACCTCCTGGGACAAGGCCTGGAGAGAGGGGCTCTGCACATGGTCAAAGCACATCCCTCTCTCCCTCCCTGCCCCTAAGTTTGGAGAGTAGGACTCAGACCATGACTCAACAGCAAAACTCATGTTGCCTCATCTCTCAAACCACCAAATGATATGAGGTGAGGGATGTATGTGAGCCTGTAAAGATCCCTACTTCCTCTCCAATCGGTTTCGTGGCTCTGCAGATACTTCTTAAACAGTCACCCTCACTTCCTTGGCGTCAGGTACACACACCAGGGACCCCCAAGGCATGGTTTCTTCATTCTTACTACCCTCAGTTCCACTCCAGCTACAGTGTTAGCTGATAGCAGGAAATCTCAGGAATTTCCAAGGGCTCATTTTTGTAGAGACAGGCTGGAGTGCAGTGTGCAATCATAGTTCACTGCAGCCTCCAACTCCTGGACTCAAGCAATCCTCCCACTTAAGCCTCCTGATTAGTTGGGACTACAGGCATGTAGTCCCATTTGCCATGGGACCACATTTATCATGCCTGGCTAATTTTTATTTTTTTTTTGTAAAAATGGAGTCCCCCTATATTGTCCAGGCTGGTTTCCTACTCCTGGTCTCAAACTATCCTCCTTCCTTGGCTTCCCAAAGTTCTGGGATGATAAACATGAGGCACCATGCCTGGCTTTCCAAGGGCTCTTGAATATAGAAAAATCTCTAAGAGTCAAAGTGATTGTATCGGTCCATTTACATGCTGCTGATAAAGAACATACCGGAGACTGAACAATGTACCAAAGAAAGAGGTTTATTGGACTTACAGTTCCACGTGGCTGGGGAGGACTCACAACCTTGGTGGAAAGTGAAAGGCATGTCACACATGGCAGTGGCAAGAGAGAGAATGAGAGCCAAGAGAAACGGGTTTCCCCTTATTAAGCCATTGGATCTCGTGAGACTTATTCACTATCACGAGAACAGCACAGGAGAGACCTACCCCCATAATTGAATCACCTGCCACCGGGTTCCTCCCACGACATGTGGGAATTGTGGGAGTTACAATTCAAGATGAGATTTGGGCGGGGACACAGTCAAACCATACCATTGACTTAGCTCTAGTGATAAAATTATAGGTAGCCCTATTTATGGCTAGAGAACTTATGAAGCATTCCCTTACATCTCACCGCATGGACAGCTGACTCTAGCTGAAACGCCCCCATCTGAAATGCCACACTAGGCTGACTCTAACTGACCAGTTTGGTTCTCTTAAGGGTGCTTTCAATATTGTGAATCTTGCTGTCTCTCCTGGCTAAAGATATAGCCTTAACAATAAAGCTACACCCAGACCATCAGGCTATCACACCCATTGATCTACATCTTCCTCCCTTCTTCCTTCCCACTTTGGAAGCTATAGCAATTCCCACTTTAAAGTGCAATCACCAGCCTCTAAATAATTAATCTTGTGTCAATAGGAGGGCATGCAATCTCCACACACACCTATGGTGGTCGATCTGCCCAGTGAAGGGGAGAAGCAAGTTTTTCCTATGGGGTTTCCTTGGAGCTTCAGAGACTGAAGTTTAGGGAATGATGGGAAATTTAGGGAATGTATGTGTTTGGAAGTGACAAGGGGAGACTTCTTCTGTAGGGGAGGAGGTAGGGAGCCCCTCAGTGCTATTCCTAGGTAGCAAGTTGTAGTAACAATTGGCATCACACCCCATCACCACCATGAAACATTAATATACCAAAATTATCTCCATACCCCTTTCCCATCATTAAAATTTTAATATTTAACTTTGTGTACTGTTCTTACAGAAGAGTGCTGAGTGATAGATTTGAAATTGGACCCCTGACATCATGAATAGCAGAAGTTAATATCTAATGCAGCCAAAATGCTGCACAGCTTCCTGGAACCCTTAGCACCAAAGACCACCATGCACTGAGGAGCCACCTGCAGCTCTCCACACCATGAAGTGCATATGTACCCCTCCTCTCCGCATCTCGCATGACCCAGCCCATGGTGCTAAACTGACTGAGCAAGAAGCATCCAGAGCCTCTTCTGCTGGACGCATGGAACACACTCTCAAGAGATGCAGCCCAAAATAGGACTCTATGGTCAATGAAATGGAATGGGAAATGCTGCACCGTGTATCCCCTTTCTAAGGATCCATGATGTTTATTGTTGTTGTTGTTGTTAGTGAAACCTTTTAAACAACCTTCAGGAAAATCATCCCTGTTTTTCGCAAACTTTCTAACCTTTCCCCATGAAGAATTTTTTTTTTTTTTCATGAAATGGAATTTCACTCTTCTCGCCCAGGCTAGAGTGCTCACTGCAACCTCTGCCTCCTGGGTTCAAGCAATTCTCCTGCTTCAGCCTCCTCAGCAGCTGGGATTACAGGCGCCCACCCCCACACCCGGCTAATTTTTTTGTATTTTTAGTAGAGACTGGGTTTCGCCATGTTGGCCAGGCTGGTCTGGAGCTCCTGATCTCAGGTGATCCGCCCGTCTCAGCCACCCAAAGTGCTGAGATTACAGGGGTGAGCCACCGTGCCCGGCACATAGTGACATTTTTATTAGTGTCTTGCAGACTTGCACTCCACAAAACACACTTGGAAAAGGCTTTTCCAGAATGGTATAGGATGGTGTCTGCGACCATAGTTCTTCTGCAAATGTAGCAGTGAACTCTGCATGACTGTTTCTAGCACGTTTAATTAAAGCCAAGGGCATGATTCTCAAAATGCAATCCAAGGAAGGTAATTATGTAAGAAAACAAATGAATATCTTTCAAGAAATTTGCCTTCTGATGGTCTGCTAAGATCACAGGTCTCAGAGTGCTTACAGGGGTGGATGGGATGTGGGACTTTGGACAGTCACCCCTAGATGGCACTTCTCTCACCACATAATGTGGGTACTAAATGGGCAACAATTCTAGGTGAAACTCTCAGAAGAAAAACAAGAGCACCGTTATCTTACATTGATAATTGAGGATAGGATCCAGATGCCTTGGAAACCAGAAAAGCAAATGGCGCAGATGCCATATGAGAAGTATGATCCATCTTCCTATCTGAATGGTGGTCTCCACCCTCCTCAAGGATAGGAGGCACGAAATGGTTCGGCTGCAGCCACACCAGGCTTTGGCAAGAGGTGGAAGCCATGTTTAGCCCTCCTGACTCTCCTCATTGTCACCCCATTCAGTTATTACTCACCCTACCAACTACCCAAAGACCTCAGCTTTGCTCGAATATTTTGAACTGAGTTATAGGCTGGCTGTTTTAATATGTCAGAATTATTTTATTGCCTGTTTTGTCTTCTTTTTCACAAATATTTAGTGCAGAGCTTTTAGATGCATATACTGCATGCTGATGAAGTCTGGGTTTTCAGTGTACCCATCATCCAAACAGTGAACATGGTACTCAATAGGTAATTTTTCAGTCTTCACTCCATTGTTTTGTTTTTATTAAATTGATGGAAGTCTGAAGCCATGAGTAATCGGGAGCTAGAAAGGAGAGAGAAGGAAAACAGACAAAATGTGGGTGAGGTACACCCTCCTGCACACTTGCTATTTTTGCTTAAAACTATTTTTTCCAGTAGTCGAACCATAAATATTGGGATGATTATGATGATGGTGGTGGCTGGGTTTTAACTGAGTTCCTGCTCTGTGCTATGTACATGCCTGTCTTTAGCATGTTTTCTAAATTCCCCTGCTGGCTCCTTCTCATTTTTCTGACTTCTAAACACTGGAGTATTCCACAGACCTTTTCTCTTCTCTATCCTAATGCATTCCTTATGATCTCATGCAGTCCCAAGATCTAAAAAATTACTTACAAATTGGTGATTCCCAACTTTATATCCCAGCCCCAGTCTCTCCCCTAGGCTCAGACTCTCACATCCACCTGCCTACTCAACACCTCCATTTGGATGTTTAATAGGCACCTGCAACTTAACATGCCTCAAGCCAAACGTTTGATCTCAGCCCCCGCCACAATGGAAACAGTCTCCTTCCAGCAGATTCTTCATCTTGGTTCATGACAACTCCATTTTACTAGCTGCTCAGGACAAAGCCTTGAAGGCATTCTTTGTGTCTCACAATACACACACTCCACATCCATCCATCAGGAAGTCTTTTAGCTTCTAAATGCCAAATATATCCAGATCCTGACTATTTCTTAACACCATCACTACTTCCATAATCCAAGCTATCACCATCTCTCACCTGAAGATGCAGCAGCCTCCCAACTGGTCTTCCTCCTTCCCCAACAGCAGTCTTAAAATCTCCTTTCCACTCAGCAGCCAGAGTGATGCTTCTAAAATGTATGTCAAGCCATGTTATTTCTCTGCTCAAAGCCTCCAATGACTGTCCATTTCCCTTAAAGTAATTATGCAAGGCCCACATGACCTGACTTCCCTGTACACACACACACACACACACACACACACACACACACACACACAATCTCTCTACCCTCTTCTCTACTTTCTCCTCATTCCCTCTACTCTAGACACACAGAGTGTCCTAGTCCATTCTGGTTGCTATAACAGAATACCATGTTTGGGAGGCTGAGGCAGGTGGATCACGAAGTCAAGAGATCAAGACCATCCTGGCCAATATGGTGAAACCCCATCTCTACTAAAAATACAAAAATTAGCTGGGTGTGGTGGTGCTTGCCTGTAGTCCCAGCTACTCGGGAGACTGAGGCAGGAGAATTGCTTGAACCTGGGAGGTGGAGGTTGCAGTGAGCCAAGATCGCACCACTGCATTCCAGCCTGGTGACAGAGTGAGACTCTGTCTCAAAAAAACAAACAAAACAAAACAAAACAAAAGAATACCAAAGAATACCATGGACCGGGTGGCATATGAACAAAAAAGTTATTTCTTTTATTTATTTCTGGAGGCTGGGAAGTCCAAGATTAAGGTTTCTGTAGATTCAGTGTCTGGTGAGGGCCTGCCTTCGGGTTCATAGATGGTTGGCTTTTCACTGTAACTGTACAGGGCAGAAGGGGCAAGGGATCTCTCTGGAGTTTCCTTTATAAGGGCACTAATCCTATTCCTAGTCACCCCCCAAAAGCCCCGCCTCTTCATGTCATCACCTGGAGAGTTGGGATTTCCCTGCATGCGTCTGAGAGGACATAAACCTCTGGTCCTCACACTGAGGGTGTCCATGCTCTCTGAACACACCAGGCGCTCTTCCACTTGGCATCTTTGACCTTGCTCTTGCCTGTGCCTGGACATCTACATGGAACCTCACTTTCTTCCAGTTTCTGTTCAAGTATCACCCATCAGAGATAATTTCCTTGCCCATTCTTAAAAGATAAAAAAAAACCCTTCCCATGAACACACACACACACATCACTGTCACTCTCAATCTACTTATCCTGTTTATTTTTCTTCATAGTATTATTACCACCTGATACATCATATATTTATTTATTGAGTTTTTCACCCTCTCACATTAGAATATAAACATGCTATGGCCAGGTATGGTGACTCATCCCTGTAACCCCAATACTTTGGGAGGCCAAGGTGGGAGAATCATTTGAGCCCAGAGATTGAGACCATCCTGGGCAACATAGGGAGACTCTACAAAAAATAAAACAAAATAATTAGCCAGGCATGGTGGCACACCTGTAGTCCCAGCTGCTTGGAAGGCTGAGGTAGGAGGATTGATTGAGCCTGGCAGTTGGAGGCTGCAGTGAGCTATGGTAGCACCACTGCTCTCCAGCCTGGACAACAGAGTAAGACCCTGCCTCAAAAACAAACAAACAAAAATCCTAAGAGGAGAGACTTTATATTTTGTTCACTGCTTTACTTTTAGCACCTAGAATACACTTCAGTGTGGATTTACATATATTCATATTGTTCATTAAATAAATGAGTGCAGGTATCATGCTCCAGCTTTACAAATGAAGACGCAGAAACTCTAGAAGTGAATCACCTGCCAAACACCAGGAAGTGGTGGAGCCAGGATTTGAACCTACGTTTCTCAGGCCCCACAGGCACAGCCCTTTCCACTGTACCCTTATCCAGTCCCCATCGGGCCCCGCATGCACCATGCTCACAATAATAAGACACCCCGTGCCCACCTCCCTTCTCTTGCCTTTGGGAACAAGCAGCTGTCAGGGCTGCTGTGGGAAATGGAGAAGCAGGTGCCACAGGCAGAGGAGAAGGCCCGGCTGTTTGAGGTTGTGTGTGTGCCGTGCACCCTGCCTCCTCGGTCTCTCGTCATCAGACCAGGAATATCTGCAGCTGGCATGGATTCCAGAACCACACCCCCACCCTCGCCGCCCGCCGCCCCCGCAAGAGGAAAAGCAGGCGCTCAGAGGAGTCTGGGCTTCCCACAGCCCTTCCGCAGCACCTCCTGTGGGCCTGCTCGCCATGCACGCTGTTCAGGCTTCTGTATTAATTATGAGACGTGGAAAAGAGCAGGAAATCCATCTCCCTAATGCAACTCAGCTTACGACGTTTTCCACCTCAGCGATTCCATCCCTGCACTGCCAGCTCGGCGGTCCCATGAGATTCCCCATGCCTTCCGTGAGAGCAGAGCGCCCTGGGCATGGCCTGTGCCCAGAGGTGCAGGCCGCAGCAGGAACGCCCCTGATTGAGAGCTGCACCAGGCCCACCCCAGCAGCCCCCACGTGGCTGCCCCCGAGGCTGGGGCTGGGAAGAAGTAAGGGCAGCGGGGAGAAGGCTCTTGAGAAGCTTGCTAGGGCCTCCTGCAGTCTCCCCGAGGAGCACGGGCTTTCCTCAGGTCTCTCCCAAGAGCAGCAGCCGACCCGCTCTGCACACTCAGGATCAGCCCCGGAGAAGTCAAGCTGCTTCCCTTGTTCTCTGCCTCCCAGGCTCTTCCCTGAGGCCACGGGAGATTTCATCAGAAGAATATCAGTCTATTGATATGGGTGCCGGCAGCCTTTCTCAACAGAATACCAAAGCTACAGCTCCTCTGTCCCCTGGCTGCCTCCGGGACTCTCCCGTCCTTGCCTCTGTTGACTGAGCTGTGGGCTGAGCTTTAATGTTTCAGGGCCTTCACTTGGTGGACGAGGGTGTATGTCCGAGAGACAAGGAGAAGGGAAAGAAACACAGTCAGGCCTCCAGCAGCGCAGCCATGGTTGCTACTTAGGATACTTCATTCCTCCCCCTTCCCGCACGGTTCCATACCCCGAGGAGACTCAACTCGCGCGTCCGGCTGTCTTCCGTGTCACACACCGATCTGAGCGCCTGGGGAAGGTTGACAGCCTGGGCCCTGGCACCACTGCTGCTACTGCGACTGCAGATTCCATCATAGCATCTCTTCTGATGCCTCCCCTCTCCTCCATCAGCCACTGCCCGTGTGCTGCCCCACTTGTAAGCCCGTGAGTCCTAAATGATTCTGCAGGATAGTAAATGGTGTTATGTGTAGGAGGAGATTTGAAGGGTAAGCGGGACTGTAACACAAAATAGAAAAAGCTGAGTTTGGTAAAGACGAGTGGGTTCTTTACAGCAGAACTTCTCAGAGCCTTTAAATATACATGCAGATTGTGAATTCCCCAGAGGAAAATAGAGTAGTCATGTTCCCCTAACTTATTTTACAAGAGAGTGCGTTTTTCAAGGCACTTTTCGTTGAATAGGGCTTCTGAGCCCTATTTCATGAAACATCACTGCAGGCACTTGGCAGCCACCGACAACACAAAAATTGGCAGGAGGCATGGGGGGGACTGGGAAACGCTGGTAGCATCTCCCTTCTGGTGAGACAGAGAATCCCGCATTCAGAAGAGCAAGACACCGGGCCCTTACAGCCCCCCTTCCAACACCGGTCTACCCTCTTGAAGGAGTTGCATGCGTGTGTGTGTGTACCTGTGTATGTGCCTGTGTATGCATGTGTGTGTGCATGTGTGTGTAGACAGAAAGAACGAGGGAGATGAAGGATGCACGCTGCTCATGAGGGTGTGTGACGTGGGCACCAGAGAGGACAGAGAACAGCAAAAAGAGGGGAGAGGAGCTGGAGAAACAGCAGAGGAGGCAGTGACTTTCTGAGAGGTACCTGGAAACGCCCCCCACTCTCCCTTCACATCCTAAGTCCTTTAGAAGAGTGGGGAGAGGAAATCAGAAGAGAGCAGAAGGAAATGATTGAAGGTTTCTCCTAAAGTTAAACAGTTTTCTTCCTTCATTCTGTAAAGCGAGTGTGAGGAACGGAAGGAAGCATTTCCACACTTTTTTGTTCCTCTCCGCCTTTACTGACCGTCTAGCATGGGTCTAGTCTTGAGTCAGGTCCTGCGAGGAATGAAAGTATGGACCTAGTTGCTGCTTTCAAAGAGCTGGCAACGTTGTTGGAATGACAAGACCACACAAGGGAGAACAATTAGAGAACAAGAAGAGACTTAATCAAGAACAGAAAGGGAGGGTGCTGACTGCTAGCAGAGGGAAGGCAGTGTGCACGGAGGTGGGAGGAAGGGCGTCTCAGAGGACACCAAGGAAGACGCTAGGAAGAGAAGGCATTCCCTGTGGAATCACATCACAGAGGCTCCCTCAGGGCCTCCATCTGTCCAAAGCAAGGTCGTTGGGAGTGGGCCACATCCACCTGGAGGCAGCAGCGTATGGTGAGAAAACAGGAACAGAGCTGGGCAGCTCTGCTGGGTCATCTTGGGCCTTAGCAGGAGGTTGGAGGGACAGTGACGGCTTAGGCCACATCCCCTACAGGCACCCTTGGGCCTAGTAGGCAGAGGGGCTACGGCCATGTATTGGTAGCACAAGGCGATGGTCAGAAGGTCAACCATGTGACCCTCATCTCTTTTCCATCTGCCTAATGGGAATGTTATGGAATGAATTGTGCCTCCTACCCCAAAGCATATATGTTGAAGTCTTAACCCCCAGTAACTGTGAATGTCACTTTATTTAGAGATAGGGTCTCCAAGTTAAAATGAGGTCATTACGGTGAGTCCTAATCCAATGACAGCCATTGTTCTCATAAGAGGAGTTTAGAACACAGATACATGCAGAGGAAAGACCCCGTGAAGACACGGGGAGAAGACGGCCATCTGCAAGCCAAACAGAGAGGTCTCAAAAGAAACCGACCCTGCAGGTCGGTTTCCTTGATCCCGGACCTCCAGCCTCCAGAACTGTAGGAAAATGTCTACTGTTTCAGTTCCCAACACTATAGTGCTTTTTTATGGAGAGGGATCGAATGCCAGGCAGAGGGGGGTGGAGTAAGGTGGTGTAGACAACAAAAGAGAAGGCAGTAGGGGCTGAGAGCCCACTTAGACCAAATAGTTCAGGCTTCTAGGATGCAGTGTACTCATTTTTAAAATGTAGGGAAGGATTTCTTACCCCATGTGGCCTCCATAAGAATGAAATGAACAAAATGACACCAGAGAAGCTCTGCCTGCGCTCAAGGAGGGGCGGTCTCCCACTGTCCCTGGTCCTGGAGGGAGGGTGGAGGCCAACACAGACAGACTGGAGTCCCGTTTCACACAAGGAGACACCACAGTTTGTTGGCAGCATGTTTGCCTGGATGCCATATTTCTCAAACGGTGGTTTAGCACAAATTAAATCATTCCTGACTCAGGAAAGATGTGGTCTTGAAGCCGGGAGTAGAGTGTGAGGCAGTCTCAGCAGTGAAGACCCCAGGGGAGTGGGAGCAGGGGGTCAAGTGGTTATCAGGGCTCTGGGACTGCCAAGGACGACAAAGCAAGTGGAGACTCTGAGCAGTTATTGATGCTTGGGACATGAAGACGAAAGGAGGAGACCAGAAGTTAAAAGGAGTTGCCAGGAAAAAAAAAAAAGAAACTGAAAAATGTCACTTTCATGAAAACTGAAAGAGGAAAGAGTTTATTTAAGGAGTGGGAGTTTTAAATCCTACAGAGACAACAGAGAGAATGAGAATGAGAGCAAGAAAGGCTGAGAGGCTGCCATCAGAAGTCATTCAGGGCTGGGCACAGTGGTTCATGCCTGTAATCCCAGCACTTCGGGAGGCTGAGGCAGGAAAGATCACTTGAGCCCAGGAGTTGGAGACCAGCCTGGGCAACATAGGGAGACCATGTCTCTAAAAAATAAAAAGAAGGAAGGAAAGAAGGAAGGAAAGAAGGAAGGAAGGAAGGAAGGAAGGAAAGAAGGAAGGAAAGAAGGAAGGAAGGAAGGAAGGAAGGAAGGAAGGAAGGAAGGAAGGAAGGAAGGAAGGAAGGAAGGGAGGGAGGAAGGGAGGGAGGGGAAAGGAAGGAAGGGAGAGAAAGAAAAGAAGAGAAAAGAAAAGAAAAGAAGCCACAACTGGGACCCACGGGGAGGCAGCTTCTGGCAGGTAGGGAGTCAGGAGGAACCTACTTGGGCTTGGAGAGTCCATGACCATGCATTAGTAGAGGCTGAGAGAACTGACCTCATTTTGAAGGAGGGTGGCTTAGGTGTTACTGAACAAAAGAAAGCGTTGTTTCAGGGGAGATGTGAGCCTTTGTATTGGTGAGAAGGAGAAGAGCTAGTAGCTTGAGAGGGAGCGAACCCAAAAAGAAAAAAGATGGCAGCCAAGGTAAAGTCCCAAGGTAGAAAAGAAGGGATGGAATCTGACTTGTGCAGGAAAGGAGCCCTTCATTCTCTGCACACAAGGAAAGGAAGATACATGTAGTGGGCGAGGAAGGAAATCCTGAAGGAGACATCACAGAAGCAGAAGCAGCCTCCACCTTTTAGATTCAGTCAGAAGGCTGGGTCATTTCCTGAGGGCTGGGGTGGGACGAAGCAGTGGAGACTCTGAGGAGAGTGAAGTGTTTTAACAAGGTTGCTATGGGAAAGGCAAAAGGGACATGAGGAATAAATTTCCTGACTTAGTATCCTGATTTGGGTGCAAATAGTATTTAAGAGGTGGTCCCCAGAAGTGTGGTGAAGAATAGAGAACTGAGTCAGGCAAGGGAGGAAAGCTACTCAAGGGAACTTTATTGGGTTGAGTGCTGCTCTAGGACCTGGAGTTCACTCCCTCTTGGAGACTCTTGTGAAACTGGGCAAAACACACCTCAGAGTTGTCTCACCAAGGGACCAGAAGGCCAGGGTACTTATGCAGCCACTTTCTCCCCTCACAGTTGAAAGTGCCCCCTGGTGGTGTTAAATTCCTTGCACTTCAGGCCTCCCCAGTGCTCCTATGGCCAGAGAAATCCCTCAGGCAGACACCTGGAGCTGATGAAAGAAGCTGTGGTAGTCAGAATTCTAAAGGTGGCTCCATGATACCCCTCCCAGTGCACACATCATGTATAATCCATCCATCCCCCTGAGTGTGGCCTGGACCATGACTGTGATGGGATAGCTTTCCTGTGATTTTGTTATATGGCAGGAGAAATAAGGTTTGTAATCAGTTGACTTTGAGTTCACCAAAAGGAAGACTACCCTGGGCAGTGCTGACCTCATCAGATGAGCTGAGAAAGAGACAAGAAGCAGCAGTAGACACTTTCCTGGAGGTGTGACATGGAGCAGGCCACAGGGCAAGGTCCTGAGGGCAGTCTGTGGGAGCTTAGAGTGACCCCAGCCAACAGCCAGCAGGCAAATGGGAACCTCACTCTTAAAACAGGAAACTGGGTTCTGCCAATTACAAGAAAGTGTGGAAGAGGACCCCAGGCCTGAGATGAGATTGCAATCCCAGGTGACATTGTGACATCAGCCTGAGACCCTGAGCAGGCGACCCAGCTAAGTCATCCAGAATCCTCACTGACCCACAGAAGCTATGAGGTAATCCATGTGTATTGTTTTAACCTGCTACATGTGTGTCATTTGTTGTGCAGCAATGAAAAATGAATCCAGGCCAGGCACGGTGGCTCATGCCTGTAACCCCAGCACTTTGGGAGGCGGAGGCAGGTGGATCACCTGAGGTCAAGGGTTCGAGACCAGCCTGGCCAACATGGTAAAACCCGTCTCTACTAAAAATACAAAAAATTGGCTGGGCGTGGTGTCAGGCACCTGTAATACCAGCTAATTGGGAGGCTGAGGCAGGAGAATTACTTGAAGCTGGGAGGCAGAGGTTGCAGTGAGCCAAGATAGCGCCACTGCACTCTTGCCTGGGCGACAGGAGGGAAACTCCATCAAGAAAGAAAGAAAGTAGAGAAAAGAAAGAAAGAAAGGAAGGAAGGAAGGAAGGAAGGAAGGAAGGAAGGAAGGAAGGAAGGAAGGAGGGAGGGAGGGAGGGAGGGAGGGAGGGAGGGAGGGAGGGAGGGAAGGAAGGAAAACAAAAACAAATCCAGAAGCCACAAGTGTCCCCCAAAGCTAAAGGTGACGTTCAAGATGGATGAAGCATGGCAGCTTCCTTCCTCATCCTGAGGACATCATTAGGCCCAGAGCTTCAAATCCAAATTCCAGCAGAGGAAGAGGCAGAGGCAGGGAAAGTCCCCTCTCTTCCGGCCCTGCAGGGATCAGCCAGTCTGTTTGGAGGATGCTAACACTATGTGCTGGGCCACTGGGCTGTGTGGCCTGGAGGCTAGAGCAGGCAGGCAATCAGAGCTGGAGGCCCTGCAGGCTTGTTGATGCCGAGGTTCTGGGACTGCCATGGTTTCCAGGCACCAGGCGGGTAATTTGCTTCTGCATCACTCCTAGAGTTCTCCCATTACATTTTGGAGCCTCAGGCATCATGATGAAGAGCATGGAGTTTACTCTCCTCTTTGCAGATAGACATGCTGCATTTTCCTCCTAGAACACAGATTGTCCCCTATGCAGCTTGGGTTGCTCTGCCGTCACCTTTCCTGCTCCTCAGCAAAGTAGAAGGTAAAGCCGACAAAGGCGATTTTTACAACCACACCAAGAAAAGGTACTTTAAACTCGATACAACTCCACATTTAGATGTCTGGGATCCCCTGCATGGCTAGATTCTGGGCTTAATCAGTTTGAAGTGCAGCACTGAACACATTATCATGGACTTTTCTCACCTAATTGAGACTGCTGCTCTTAATGCAAAAGTTCTGAGGAAGATTAACAGTCAGAAGGTTAGCCAGAGGCATTATACTTTATCAGACTGTGCCTTAAGGTGGCCATAACAAAGTTCAGATGTGTCTGAGTCTGTTTTAAAGTTAATAAATTAAATTGCATTGGTTCATCTAAGGATGAACACATATTTGGGGAAGAATCCATAATCATCAAATTCACAAGGGACTGGGTAGTAATCCCTCAATGGGAGATGTGTGCTCAGCAGGATGGCCCATTCAGGTCATCGCCCAGGTTTAATTTTTGGTAGGTAGGTTCTGCCCTAAAATAAAATTAAATATCTTGCTCAGCAAATACCTTCTGAGTTTTTACTTATGCACAAGGTGCCATGCCAGATGCTGTGGTGAGGGCAGCGATAAGTTATACATGGGTCATGCCCTCGAGAAGCTTCCCTGCACATAAATACAACACGGATGAGAACGTGCTATAGGAAGATGCAGATGACTTGCTAAGGGAGCGCAGAAGAGGGAAAGATCCTTCCAGCAGGGAGTGTGGGGAGTAGGGAGAGAATCA
Source organism: Homo sapiens (assembly GCF_000001405.40). Taxonomy (NCBI): domain Eukaryota; kingdom Metazoa; phylum Chordata; class Mammalia; order Primates; family Hominidae; genus Homo; species Homo sapiens. The sequence goes on from NC_000008.11 coordinate 40,939,991, forward strand.
GAACCTCCCTTTGTTCTTGGCAGCATTCAAGCTGAGTCTGGAATGAAGTGTAAAGGTTTGTAAGGAATATGATACAGGGGGGCCATTCCAAGGAGAACATAGGTGAGCAAAGACATGGAGGTTGGAAAATGAGGAAGTCTTGTGTGCAGTGGAGGGAAGACGTGCTAGAACTATGAAGGAGTACCAGATTCGGCCTCACAGTCACCAAACAAATGGAGCATAGAACTCTTTTTTCTTTCTTTCTTTCTTTCTTTTGAGACGGAGTCTCACTCTGCCACTGAGGCTGGAGTGCAGTGGCGCAATCTCGGCTTACTGCAACCTCCACCTCCCAGGTTCAAGAAATTCTCCTGCCTCAGCCTCCAGAGTGGCTAGGATTACAGATGAGTGCCACCATATCCAGCTAATTTTTGTATTTTTAGTAGAGACGGGGTTTCACCATGTTGACCAGGCTGGTTTCAAATGGCTAGCCTCAAGTGATCCTCCCACCTTGGCCTCCCAAACTGCTGGGATTACAGGCATGAGTCACCTCACCCAGAGAGAGCAGAGAACTTTTAAGGGAAGTGTCCATGGAGAAATGAAACCTTGATGAAGTTGCTTTTTCCAGGGTGTAGAGCCTTCTGTCTACATAATCTGTTCTAGCCACTTGAAATTGCATCTTCCATGGGTAAACCAAAAAGTATTTGAGACAGGTCTCAATCAATTTAGAGGTTTCTTTCGCCAAGGTTGAAGACCAGGACCTGTGACACAGACTCAGAGGGTCCTGAGAACACGTGCCCAAGGTAGTTGGGTTGCAGCTTGGTTTTATACATTTTAGGGAGACATAAGTTACAGGAAAATATATAAATTAGTACATGCAATGTATACATTGGTGTGGCCAAGAAAGGTGGGACATCTTGAAGCAGGGGGACTTCCTGGTTACAGGTGGATTCAAAGATTTCCTGATTGACAATTGGTTGAAAGAGTGAAGCTCTGCCTGAAAAGTTGAAGTCAGCTTGAGTTAAGGTAAGAGGGGTTGTGGAAGCCAAGGTTCTTGTCAGGTAGATGAAGCCTCCAGGTAGCAGGCTTCAGAAAGATGTGAATATCTCTTATTGGACCTTAAAAAGTGTCAGACTCTCCAGAAAGGATCTAGTAAGGGAAGGAGATTCTCTGCAGACTGTAAATTTCCCCCACAAGAGAAAGCTTTGCAAGGCCATTTCAAAATATGTCAAAGAAATATATTTGGGGGTAAAATACTTTTATTTCCTTCACGGCCTGCTATCTGTCATGTGATGCTGTACCAGAGTCAGGTTAAAATTCGGTATCCTATTGCTACAGAGTCTGCTTCATCAGTCTTAAGATCTCTGTTATGCTGTTAATGCTGGTAAGTTGAGTCTCAACTCCAAAGGAGGGAGGCTATGATGAGCATGTCTGATCCCCACTTTCCATCATGGCTGTTTTTTTGTTTTGTTTTGTTTTGTTTTGTTTTGTTTTGTTTTGTTTTTGAGATGGAGTTTCACTCTTACTGCCCAGGCTGGAGTGCAATGGCGCAATCTCCGCTCACTGCAACCTCCACCTCCCAGGTTCATTCTCCTGATTCTCCTGCCTCAGCCTCCTGAGTAGCTGGGATTACAGGTGCCTGCCACCATACCCAGCTAATTTTTTGTATTTTTAGTAGAGACGGGGTTTCACCATGTTGGTCAGGCTGGTCTCAAACTCTTGACCTCAGGTGATCCACCCGCCTCAGCCTCCCAAAGTGCTGGGATTACAGGCATGGGCCACCATGCCTGCCTCCCCCCACAACCATTATGGCTTTAACTAGTTTTTTAGGTTTCTTTGGGATCCCATTGGCCAACAGGGGGGTCCATTCAGTCTGTCAGAGGCCTTAGAATTTTATTTTTGGTCTACACATGTATTGTGGGAACTCCCTGACATGCCTCAGCCTGCTCTGTTTGGGTCCCTTGTTCTTTTTTTCTTTTTCTTTTTCTTTTTTTTATGGAGTTTCTCATGACCCAGGCTGGAGTGCAGTGGTGCAATCTCAGCTCACTGCAGCATCCACCTCCCGGGTTCAAGTGATTCTCCTGCCTCAGCCTCTCAAGTAGCTGGGATTACAAGATTACAGGTTCCCGTACCACGCCCAGCTAATTTTCATATTTTCAGTGGAGACGGGGTTTCACCATGTTGGCCAGGCTGGTCTCAAACTCCTGACCTCAGGGGATCCGCCCGCCTCAGCTCCCAAAGTGCTGGGAGGGTCCCTTGTTCTTTATCAGTCATTCAAGTCTTCTGCCATTTTGTGACATGGTGATGGTGTCTTACAGCCCATTAGACTGTAGTTTATCTCTCATGAGTTACTCTGTGCATCAGAGGCCTCTGACAGCCTTCTATAGAGCACCCTTGACTCTGCAGTAAGGGCCAAGGGACCCTCTAGTCTTCTCAGCAACATAGAGACAAATTATTCCTCAGAGTGGATATTCTTCTCAGGTGGCTGTCCTCCTCTGCCTCTGGCAGGATTTAATTTGCTTCCATTGCAGAGGGTGGCACTTCCTTGCCTCTATCCTCAGGGTGAAGTCGACCTGGGCTTCCATACGCCCCACTGACTGCAGGGGTGCTGGAGCGAAGACAGGCCTTGGGTGAACTAAATGTGGCAATCTGGCTTCTGGGGCCAGTCAAGGAAGGTCCTGTGAGTCTGTACCTCACAGAGCCAGAAATAAGAAATGGCAGAGGATATGTCCACATCACTAATGTCCAGAGTTCCAGAAAGGGCCCACAATCAAACAGAACCAGCTTCAAATCCCAGCTCTACACTTAACAACTGTGTCACTCGGCATGCAACTTATTCCAAGCCTCAGTCTTCTTCTGCTTAAAGCAGGGAAAAAGATTGTGCTTACCTCCCAGGGTTGTTATACAGACTAGCAGATGAAGTCTGTTTGGCAGCCAGTGGCAGCCAGCCTGACCTGTTAATGAAGCTCGATTGATGTTAGCCATCACGAATGTAAACCAAGGACGCATGCTTGGGCAATATCAGAAAACTTGCAGCTGGTGAGAGGAGCAACAGTCTATACCCCTAAGCAGGCAAACAGACCTGGATCAATTGCCAGCAAGCTGATCTCTTTGTTTCTGAGGTGATGGCCTTGTTTCCTTCCTGTCCCTCCCTCATTCTTGCAATTGACTGTGCTGTGTGATTAGGCAGTACCCACAGCAGTCAGAGAGCCCAAAGAACTCTCCGATGCTCCATGTAGCTTTCCAATTGATAACTTCTGCACTGGTGACCTGCCCTGGGGCCAGTGAGACCCAAGCTCTTGGCCACCTGAGGCACAGAGAGGAAAGATACTCGGTTCAACTGTGATTGGTGGTGTTTGAAATGCTTGTCCCCCAGTGCCATAAAGAAATAGCACTTGAACGTAAATTTAATTTACTCAGCAAGGCTATTTTTATACTTTCTGCAGAAAGGGTACACTTGCCAGCAGTTTTGCCACGAGAGTACACTGAACAAAGGAGTCAGGGTCATTTATATCCTTGATGCATCCACCCTATTGCTGTGTCCAGTTTTCATTGGCTGGAACGGGACCTTACATTTTGTATTTGTCCTGATTGGCTAGCAACTTAGAACTTTTTAAAAGAGGCAAAGGTAGAAGAGAACAAAGGAAGGAGGAAGTAACTTGTGGAATGCTGAGAAAGGTAAAAACACCTTTAAATAAGGAAGAGGAACAGACTATGACCTACTGCTTGCTTGGACCAGTATAAGTATGCTAGGGCAAATATTTAGGCTAAACTGTGGGAGCTAAGAACATAAAGTACATTGATTTCTTTATCAAGGCTAGCAGATATTTAAGAATGTTAGCACAGGTCTTTGAATAAATTTTGCTTCTAAGAGAAGTTACTATTTATTCCTAATTAAATGGGGAGGAAAGTCTTTGAAGAGGAACTTTTACTTTATTTTTTACAATGGTAAAATGCACGATGGAAGCTTGGGCTTGTAAACTTCCAGAGACAGCGGAAACAGGGATGCACTGGTGAAAGCTCCAACCAGCTTGTGTAAGTTTATTTAAGAATTATGCTAGCCATTTAACATCCTGTTTGTAGCTTGAAATTGGCCAGGGGGAGATTGTTGACACCACAGAAATCAGCAAACTTTACAAATCAAGGTCCTCCGCTTCCATCCCTGTAAAACATTTATCAACACACCCCTAGGCGGGCCCTTTCTCACATCCCTCGCCTGCCTCACTTACTCTTAACTATTGCCCTCACACTACCTACCCCACCCCCAGACAGCCCAGCAAAATCTTAAGCAGTTCAGAAATAAACTGCCAGAGACAGCCAATGAGAAACAGCTTGAGCTGCAGCGAGAGTGCCCTTGAGAGCGGATGCTGAGACTCCAGAGCCTGGTCTCTCCTTCTCTCTGCTCCTCAGAAGGGAGTTAGTCGGCAGATATTCAGGTACAAGAACTCTTTGCTGCCTGTTAGAGTTGAAAGATCTCCGTGCCAGTTCTCTGAGGGGCAGGTGGATGAAAGAGGAAAACCCCATAGGGTCACAGGGAATTCTCAATGTCAACCCAAAGCACAGAAGTGCCCATAGAGGGGGCTCATGAGGACAAGCCTGTGAGGCACACAGAAAAGAAAAATAATTGTCAGCAAGGACCAGTGAGTTTAGCAGAGGCCAAGTCTGTCTTTCCCCTTGCAGGAGCTGAGGGGAAGCCAGGAAAGCGGCGGCCTCAAGGCTGAGAGGGGATGCACTCCCCACCCCCACCACATGGACAGCTTCAACCTGCGACCTCAGGGCTCCCCAGAGCAGCAGCAACCCTAACCCCTGAGAGGAGCCCCACCCTCCACCGGGGACATGCACCTCTGTCTCCTTCCTCTGTCCCCAGAAAGGAGCTCTTCCCACTGCAAGTGAAGGGGAAGCCGCTCCCTGAACACCATCCTTGTGTGTATCTAGCGCTTTTGCTCCTATAGTATTTAAGATCCGCATCAACTTTTTTATCCATCTCATCCCTCACTTCTCAGGCAAGTTTGGAGACCTTACCCTTTACGTTCTCCTTCTCCTTCGGGTGGTTGGAGACCGCGGTAAAGCATCGGGTACCTCCTGTACCTCAAGGGTTTTGCTGCTCCCTGCTCAAAAGCCAGAGTCTGCCATATGGCCTGCCAGCTCCTCTGTCACACTTTCTGAGCTGTTCAGAGTCTAATCACACCTTTAATATCCAGCCTTACGTCCAGCAGCTTCTCCTTCACCTGAGCTTTCTGCTCACTGTTCTGCAAACACAAGGCTTCTCCCTCCCACCCTGCTGGGCTCCTGCTGTTTCTGCAACCTGGATGACTCTTTCCTTCCTTTAATGCATCAAGAAATGCCTCTTCATCCAAACTCAGGCCAGATTCTCTATCTTCCAGGCAGCCATGTGTCCCCTAATCTAACCCCCACATCTTCTCCCTTCTGTCTCTATTCTACTTTGACCAGTAACTTATGACTTAGGTCTTAGCTCTTCTTTAAATGTTCTCCCCAGCTGAATGGCAAGCTCCCTAAAGACAGACTCTGCATCTGAATACTGTTCTCTGTGTTCTCCACAGTGCTTAGCATAACACTGGTATCCATTAGGTGCTTAATAAATACCTTGCTTGGTTGGAATTATTAGGGGCTTCTGTCTATAATATTGAGTCTTTTTCTTACTGGGTCCTATCTCAGCTATAGTAATAGTGTTTGCAAGACATTCTTATCACTGAGTAATACATGGATACATTAATTGTATTCATAACAATAATTGCTCCAATTTATTGAACAGCTATTCTGTGCTCAAAACAGCAAAGCATTTTACAAGCATTATCTAATTTACCTCTAAGGTCAGAACTATCATAATCCCCATTTCACACATGAGGAAACTGAGAAACAAAGAGGATGTGACTTCTCCAAGCAAACAGGCCAGAGCTCAAGGTCTTCAACGTTGCGTTATTCTGCTGTTGCCAGGAGCCCTGCACACATTCTGTGGAGAACAGTCTAAAGTGCAGTGAATAGCATTAGCCACCAACTGTTCATGCAAATCAGCATGGCAAAATAGGCGAATTTCCAGCTAACTAGGTGAAATGAGCATAAGCATTTATACCTACTCTCCCGAAATAGTAGTAATATCATAAGAAAGTAATAAAAGAGGAGTAAATCTACAAAGACAATGAGAAGAGAATAATTTATAGCAGCAGAGAGACAGCAGCAAGATTCCAGAAGTCAAATGGCGGGCGAAAGAGCGGTGCACCCCCACACAGGCCAGGGAGGCTGGGCAGCTCGCCGCTCACTGCAGGACCCTGGGAGGCCCAGAATGAAAGCATTGAGTTCCGAGGGAAAGTGGGGCAAGAGAAGAGACTAAAAAGAGACCTGTCTGAAAGCTTTCATACAGAGTAGTCAGGCTCCTAAATCCCCTCCCCATACGCTGCACAGCCAAGGAATGGCCCTTCCTTGGCCCTGCAGGGTGAACCTCAGAAAAGGGCCCCTGAGGCCCACAGGCAGACATGGGCCAGCTGCCAGGCTGAAGAGAGGGGCTGAATGATCTCTGTCTACAGAACAAAGACACCTTCATCCTCCTTCACTCCTCACCATCCTCTTCCAGCCCCAGTCCCCAAATGCCAGTGGCCAGACAGGAGATGGGAAAATATTCAAGAAACAGAATTCTATGCTAACAAACAGAAAGTCCTGAGTATATGTACAGATACAGTTGAGTGTCTCTCAAGGGAAAAGTCAGTTTTCAGCCCCACCACCCTACCGTGAAGTCCAGAATCAGTGCCCTGTTGCAATCAGAGAGCCTCACATCAACCCTTGAGTCCTTAATAATTTCAAAATGTAAACAGACAGCAAAGTATCAACAGATTTTTTTAAGGAAAGAATCTAATATGAAGATCAAAACAAATTATTTTTTAAATCAGGAAGCAGAGATTATACGAAGAACAGACAAGAAGCTCCAAAGACTATCAATATCTTTAGAGAGATACAAAAAAGAAATGACACCATGAAATGAGAACAGAGGGCCCCAATAGCAAAATGGGAGCAATTAGAGAATAAGAAACTCTATTAAAAAATGAAATAATAAAATTATGAACATCAAACATTGTTTAATCAATAAAAGAGTTCATAAAGTCAAGGAACTATTCCAGAAAATACTTTAAAAATGGAAGAAGTAGAAGGGGAGGAGGAAGAGGAGGAACAAACAGATGAGCTATGGAGAGGCAAGGAGGAAAATTCAATGAGCAATTCAGGGAGACCAAGAGTTAACTAATAGAAGTCCCATAGAGAAGAGAAAAAAATGAATAAGATGATACTAACAAAGAAATAATATGGAAAAATTCCTATCTGGGCAGATTAAAAGGGCCTATTTAATAACCAATGCAATGAATTTTAAAAGGTTCACAGCAAAGAACCTTAACATGAAACTTTACAACATGTGGATAAAAATAATAATCAAAATAAAGTAGGAAAGAGAGGAAGGAAGGAAAGAAGGAAGGAAGGGAGGAAGGAAGGAAGGTAGGTTACATGCAATGAACTAGGGATATGAATGACATTGGATTTCTCAAGAATTTCATCAGATGTTAGAAGGCTGTGGGACAATTTCTTTAAAGTTCTGAGGGGAAAAATAACTTTTAGTTCAGAATTAAATACTTAAACTGTCAACCAAATTTGAAGGTAGATTTGCTTCTATCTCTCATGCACTATTTTCTAGAAGCTACCAGAAGATGAGTTGCAGCAATAAACACGTGCATACATACCAATAAACAGATAGATGGGGGGAGTGAGCCAAGAAAGAAGAAGACTGGATGCAGGAAATGAGTGACACATCAGAGAAACGGGAGAGAAGTCCCAGAAGGACAGCCATGTCCCATGTGCCATAACTAGAGAAGGGACAGAAAAACAGAAAGCTTCAGGGGGAAGATATCCAGGAAAAAAAGGAGAACTCATAATAATAACTTTTAGAAACCCTAGTGGTTCTGCTTCTCTGATAAAATTCTTACCTATGCTAAACTAAGCACATGAAAAGCATGTCTAGCTCCAGGAAAAACAAAACAAAAGTTTATACAAGAAAAAAATTTGTACATTGGATGGGTTAGCAGTCAACAATATTTTCATAAGCCAAATAATTGAATAATCAACTATTAACTTATCCAAAGCATGTGCTATAACTGTACTGAGAAGATTGAAAGGGAAGTATATGCCTGCAGGTGGGAAGAATAAGAATGCTGAATCCTTATCCAAGTTTATTCCCACCTCTGGGCCTTTGCACTAGCAGGTGCCTCTGCCTAGAACTCCCTTCCCCAGAGAGGACGAGGCCCACTCACTCATCTCATTCAAGTCCCTGTTTAAATGTCTCTTCTTTTGTCCAATGTATCAGCAATAATGATCCCCCAAACTGTAGCACTCTTATCATCCTACTCTGCTTTATTTTTCTTCAAAACATTTTCTAACAGATACATGTAACTTATAGACTATTGCTTGCCACCTTGGAGATTTTTAATAAATACTAGTTGAATAAAGTCATGAATGAATTACCATGACAGAAAATCAATAATTAATGTCTGTCTTAGCTTGAGTTTCTCCTGAAGCAGACCCAGAGACAAGAATTAATGCAAAATCTTATTTGAAGGGATTGCCAGGGCCTGAGGGAGAGAGGGAATGGGGAGTTATTGTTTAATGGACACTGAGTTTCAGTTGGAGATGATGAAAAGTGCTGGAGATGGATGTTGGTGATGGTTGCACAACAATGTACTTAATGCCACCCAACTGTACACTTAAAATGATTAAGATGATAAATGTTCTGTGCATTTTACTACAATAAAAGGTATTTTTAAAAAGCTTACTTGGGAGATACAGAAAACACCATAGAGGAGTGGAGAGAGTGACAGGAAGGGAAGCCACCAATAATGGTGCATGATCAACCAGAAACCCCTTGAGCAGACTATGTCTCAATCCCTCAGAGAAGCTCCGGAGAATGGTGCAGCACCTGCCTGAGTTAGCCCACCACAAGGGCGAGGGAGTGGGGGGATTTATACACCAAGCCCTGCTAGGTTGGATCTGCTTTTGAGGAAATTGCCTGACATTTCATGCCTGCTCCTGTGCACAGGTGAGCAGTCTTTGAAGAAAATTCTCCGGCAAAGAGATGAAGATATTGCCAGCTAGAAGTAGGCAAGCCGCACTGAGGGATAAGGTCCAAGGGACCAGGTGGGACCCTGGCAGGTCAACTGCAATGCCTAAAACTGATGACCCAAAGGATTGTGGTGAGCATATGTTACTTAGAAACATGGAGTTCAATACCTCAAGACCCAGCTGGAAGAGTTCACAGCAGTTGCATTTAGGGAGCAGGACTGAGGAATGGGAAAGGGATGACTACATTTTGTTATAATTTTGTCCTAATGTTTCAAAGTATTATTTCACTTTACCAGGATAAAGTGGTATATAATTTGGATAAATTACCAGGAAATCATCCCATGCTGACTTGATTCTAATTTTTCATGGGAAAATATTATAAAATGATTAACCAGCCCTGTGGAAAAAGGAACTCAGTGAATGTTAATTGAAGAGAACTGAAACCAAACACCTTGGAAGCCAGTAATCAGTTGTATTCAATTCTAAAAGCTTTTGTTAAGCTCCTTCTGTATTCTAGACATGGTGCCTCATGTTGCAAGATGAAGAGATAAGAACCTTGTAATGAGTTGAATAGTGTCCTCCCAAAATTCATATGTACACAAAACCTCGGAAGGTGACATTATTTGAAAATGGAGTCTTTGCATTTGTAACTAGTTAAGATGAGGTTGCCATGGATTAAGGTGGCCCCTAAATTCGATGACTGGTATCTGTATGAGAAGGCCATGTGAAGACACAGAAAGAAGGTGGAGGCAGAGATGGAAGTGATGCATTACAAGTCATAAAACACCAAGGATTGTCAGCAACCACTAAAGCATGGGAGAAAGGCAAGGAATGAGTCCTTCCCTAGAGCCTTCAAAGGGAGCACGGCCCTGCAGATGCCTTGATTTTAGACTTTTGGCCTCTAAAACAGTGAGGGAATAAGTTTCTGTTGTGTTAAGCCACAAGTTTTTGGTAATTTTTTATGTCAGTCCTGGCAAACTAACATAACCCTGTTCTTACAAGTTTGAGTCTGGGGAGGAAGTGGCCTTGGACCAAGGAGATGTGTCCTTCCCCCTCTGTTTCTCCTCTCTGCTGGTCAGAAGGCAAACCTAACAGGCTGAGCTAGAATAGCCATTGTGGACCAGGAAGTGGAAGCTGTGCATTAAGGGAAGTGGATCAACAAGGTAAGCCCCCCATCTCCCTGGGCCAGGGAAGCCATGTTGACCAGGCACTGCCGACTTGCACATGACTTCTATGTGGAAATAAGCACTGACACTGTATAAGCTACTGTCTTTTTTGATTTGCTGTCACTTACTGCTGAATATAATCCTAATTCAGATCTGGAGTCAGATTCATAAATGAAAATACAAAATTCAGTGTGGTCAATAACATGGTGGAAACAAGCCATGATCACAAAGAAATGAAAGATCAACTTAACCTGGGAGATTAGGGAAGGCTTCTCAGGAAAGGCAACAGTAGCCAGATTTAAGAGCATGAGAAGGAGATTGCCAGGCAGCCTGGATATGGGATGATAGGTAGGCATTTCAAAGAGGGAACCCACTTACCGACACGGACGGGGAGTGAGAGTGCAGTGCTTGGGACCACGTGCATGGAGAAAGCAGAAGGTGAGAGGAAGTTAATGATGAAGAGGGAGGCAAAGGCAGGGTGATAAAGTCTTAGAATGCATCTTATGTCGTGAAGAAGAGCCATAAACAGGTGTGCAACACGGACGCAGTGTTAGCAATTAGCATTTTAAAAAGAACACTTAGGCTTGCAAGGAACAACAAAAGAGTCAAAAAGATCAGGTAAAAGGCATTGCAGCAGTTGCTCAGTTTGATGATGACAAGGGTCAAAATGAGTGCAAACCCATCTACCTTTCGATATATTTTACAAAACTGAAATAAAAATGCAAGGCAAACTAGTTGGTCAATTGTCATTTGTGTCATTTCCAAAATGACACTGGTGTCTATGTGTCATTTCCAAAGTATTCTTTGAATAATAAAACCAACACTTTCTCTAGCAAAAAAAAAAAAAAAAAAAAAGGAAAAAGGAAAAAAAAAAGACTAGGTGCGATGGCTCATGCCTGTAATCCTAGCACTTTGGGACGCCGAGGTGGGTGGATTGCTTGAGCCCAGAAATTCGAGACCAGCCTGGGCAACATGGTGAGACCCCATCTCTACTAAAAATACAAAAACTGAGGTGGGTGGAGCACCTGAGCCTGGGGAAATCGAGGCTGCAGTGAGCCATGATCATGCCACTGCACTCCAGTCTGGATGAGAGTGACACCCCATAAAAAAAAAAAAAAAAAAAAAAGTGCAGAGGCACTGGGGACATACAGGAAGAAACAAATGTATTTATTTATTTATTTGGAGATGGGGTCTCATTCCGCACCGCTACAGGCTAGCCTGGAAGACAGAGCAAGACCTTGTCTCTACATAAATAAATAAATAAATAAATAAGTAAATAGGAAGTCAAATTTATTGGCTATGGGATATGAGAGAGTGGAGTCCAGGATGACTTCACTTTTCTGGCGTGGAGTATGAGCAGACAAATCATTACCTAGCACGTTGAAATACATGGCGGAAGGAGCAGGTTCAGAGGTGAATGACAGAACGTTAATCATCAGTTCACCTCCAAACTCATCCTTGTGAAATCTGAAAACCACTGCTCCCTTTCTGGAGGGGTCCCCACCAGGCTCTACCAACAGGGGCCGCTAGAGGGTAACGGAAGGCTGGAGGAGGAGAGGACGCACCTTTCCCCTCCAGGGTGCCAGCAATGGTTCATTCTCCAGGCAGCAGCAGAAGATGCTGAAGTTTCAGCCCCAAGAATCAGCCCCCTGTATCCCTTCAGAAATAGCAGCACCAGCCGGTCAGGGTCCCTCCTCAGAGGCCTGACTCCCAGCTCTGTGGCTTCTGCTGAGTTTTCACCCCCAGCTGGCTGTGCCCTCTGCAGAGTCTGAGTCTCAGCTCTCCTCAGCTCTGCTCAAACTTTCTGGGTTCCATTAGCAGCAATCTCTTCCTTCATTCCCCCTGCGGTGCTGCAGTAAATGCTTCCTCTGGTTATCTGAGTGCTTATTCTCTGCTTTTCCATTCATTCTAATAAATACTACATCTTGACTGGTATAGTTGCTAGTACCCAGGTGGTCTCAGGAAATAGACTTTCCCCAAAGATGGGATTCTGTGATTGGTTTGCTCGCTTCTCTGGGTCTCCTGGGAAGCATCCATGTGGAGCCACCCAGGAGGAGTCTGGAGTTGGGAAGGGAAGTGCAGCTGGAGATGAATATCTGTGCACCCTCAGCATATGGGTCATATTAATCCCTCGGGAAGTGTAGGAAGTGAGAAGAGAAAGGGCTGAAGGTGGAGCCCTTAGGAACCCCAAGTTTAGGGGGCAGATAGAAGAACCCATGGTTGGGGGCAGAATACGACACAATGATCTGAAAATCAGGAGAAACACCGTTAAAGCACAATGTTTCCTCCCCCAAGAGAGGAAAGTTTTGGGAAGGAAGCGGCTTATACAAAAGCTAAGATAATGACTAAAAAGCCGACAGTGGACTCAGCAGTACAGCCACTCACGACGTTGATGAGGGTCCTTCTAGGGGAGTGGGGGAGACAGAGGTCATGGGAGAAGCATGAGGAATAAATAGAAATAAGCCAAGGTAATCAGACTATCAGCTAGAGGGCCAGAGAGTGTTTCTATTTTTACATGAGGGAGACTTGAGCCCCTTTATCAGCTGTGAGAAGGCTCCAATAGAAAGTGAGATTGAGGTGCAGAGACGGGAGGTGGAAAAAATGAGGTGAGCTGGGAGTACACAGAAGGATGAGCCTGCAGAAGACTCATCTTCTCTGAGGCTACTCGTTCAGACAGCAAGTATTTCAGCTTCTAAGATGTAATGTACACTGTTCTAGATCCTGGGGATAGCAGTAAATAAAAAGAGATAAAAATCAGAGGCTAGAAGTGCGGTATCAAAGAGGGGCTTAGGGTGTGAAATCTACAGCAAAATTCCATCCGATTTCTTGGGGAGGGAGGCAGTAGGTTTAGGCAGCTGGCTCTGGCTTTATCTACTTTTTCCCTGAAGTGGCTGGCAGGTTGTATTCTGAACAAGGTAGGGATACTACCCATTCCCTGTGACTTGATGGTTGCTCCCCAAGTCAAGGATGTTTCACTTACCTTGAGGTCACCTACCTTAGAAAGAGAAGCAGAGAGTGTAACTTGCTTGCTCCAATCCCCTTGGTATCGCGCGGGGTTCCACAGCCTGTGGAGATGGTGCTGGCTATTCTTGTGATTTTATAACGCATGCCAGCTTTCTTTCTTCAGATTTCCAGCCATGGGGTCTAGTGGACTCTCCCTCCCACTAGATGCTGTCAATGTAATCCTAACTGATGGTTGTAAATACTAAGATGACACCCCCAGCCATGTCTTCAAGGAAGGCAACAACTAAAGCATGGATTTAAAGGCCAAAAGGAGTATTAGAAGACTCATGCATCACTGGCTGTCAGGATTTCGAGGCTGTATTATTAGAATAACCCTTCACTCCTTCTGTGGCTCCAATCCCTCCCCCTTGCAATCCATTTGCCACACGTTCCATGTGCCACGTACAAACCTGGCATGAGAGACTCGGTCCCTGCCCGCCTCTCCAGCAGGCTCCCTCGGGAACACCTGCTACATGGGTATGCTGATTTCTGGCTGAAGTATTCCTTTCCTTCGTTCTTTGGCCAATTTTTACTCAACCTTTAAAACTTAACCCAAGTGTCACCCTCCCTAGTGATCATAATAATAGAACGTATCCCTAATTGATCCTCTCTACTTTAGGCTGGGCACATTGCAAACAAATCTTCAATCCTGGCAACAATTTTGCCTGACAAATATGGAAGCAGGACTGAATGAAACTTTATCTCTCACCAACCACTTAGAGAAATCTAGCGTTAAATAAAACACGGGTCCTAGCATCAGAATCACTTGGGGACTTGTTAAACTGCAGATTCCTGGATCCCACACATGTCCACAGATCACAGATTCCTTGACTGATTTGGTCATGGACTTGTTATATTTGTCAAAGTAGGAAGTTTGGAAATTTTAACTCAGGGCCAGAAAGGAAGGGAGTGTTCAAAGCATTATAAAGCCAGCGTTATTTGTTCATAAGAAATAAAATCAAAGCTACAATTTTAACAGGCATAAACGTTAGTCCCTCAAGTTGTGTGTAAGAAATACCAATTTCTTTATTCTCTTTAAAATCTAAGTTTAAAGCTCATCTCTCTGGGATGACAACAAAGTCCCTCTCAGTTTTTTCTCCCACCCCATCCCTCAGCCAGCTGAGGTCCATGTGGTACCCAGGAAACAGAACAGCCCCCAATTCCCATGGTGAGTGCTGTCATCCACGTTGTCCTTAGTTGCAGGAGACCCTTGAAGATTGGTGTCTTCCCCTTCCACAGGTCGTTGAGGCATGGGAATCTTTGCTGAGGCTGAAAATGCCCCTGTCTTCTGAGATGCTGCCCTTCCCCCAGGGAGCTGCCAGGGCTGGAGGTGCAGGTTCCTGCTGCTTGCATTTCCTCCAATCATGTCCCCTTCCCCAGTCACAGAGAAGGCTGTATGTTCTCTCTCCTCCATCAAAAGCTCTCCTTTCTCTCCCTTACCTATCCACATATAATCTACATAATGAGCTTAGGCCTCGGAGAAAACAAAAGTCTGGGACAAAATCCTAGTGGGAGATGTCCAGCGTCCAGAGTTCACCCTTCCCTCCCTCCTCTGGAGATCTGCCAGACACTGAGACCAGAGTGTACTGTCACGCATCAGCAGACGGGTGGAGGAGAAGAGATGTGGACTACCTCGCAATGCCAGCGACCACAGGCCTTGCAAGACATAAGGAGAAACTGAAAAAAAAAATTCTTGAAAATGTATGATTTCTATAGAGAAGGGTGACAGATCCCATGATAAAAGAAGAGAAGAAAGAAATAAAGGGTAAGGATTCTGGAACGAGAAAAGGATGGAGGAATCCATATCATGCAAAGAATGGCTATAAATAACATCAGAAAGCAAACAATCAAGAGAAAACTAAGCAAAACACTTAAGTGCTTGATGGAAGAAGAAACACAAATAACCCATTAGGATGTAAAAAAAAATACTCAACAGGATAATGCAAATTAACCCCATAGTGGGGTGCTCATGCACATGCACCATACCGGCCAAAACGTAAAACTCTGGTCATATCAAATGTTGGCAAGAATGCAGAGAAATGAGAATTCTTTTACATTCCTTATAGAAGCAGAAATTGTTACAACTACCTGGAAAACAATTTGACATTCTTTAGGAAATCTGAAGATGTGAATAGGTATAACCCAGCAATTTCATTTTGACGCGTTTAGAGCAGGTACTTAGCGTGTGGTCCATGAACTCCTCGGAGTCCCTGAGACCCTCTAGGAGGTTCCACAAGTCAAAACTATGTTCGTTATCACACTTAGACATAATTTGCTTTTTTCATTCTGTTTACATTACACTATCATGTACGCACAGAAAAAAAAAATTGCCAGTATTACTTAAGAATGTCCTTGAGGCAAGAAAAGGTACTAACTTTATTAAATCTCAATATATTTTTTTTCTGAGACAAAGTCTCACTCTGTTTCCCAGGCTGGAGTGCAGTGGCGCGATCTTGGCTCACTGCAACCCCCATCTCCCGAGTTCAAGAGATTCCCCTGCCTCAGCCTCTCGAGTAGCTGGGATTACAGGTGCTTGCCACCATGCCTGGCTAATTTTTGTATTTTTTAGTAGAGACGGGTTTTCACCATGTTGGTCAGGGTGGTCTTGAACTTCTGACCTCACATGATCCGCCTGCCTCAGCCTCCCAAAGTGCTGGGATTACAGGCATGAGCCACCACACCCA
Organism: Homo sapiens; assembly: GCF_000001405.40. Classification (NCBI taxonomy): domain Eukaryota; kingdom Metazoa; phylum Chordata; class Mammalia; order Primates; family Hominidae; genus Homo; species Homo sapiens. Next base: position 40,955,931 of record NC_000008.11, read on the forward strand.
GCCTAAATCTCAACTCTAGATAAACATCTTTTTAACATTCTATGTGATGAAAGGGGAAATATACCTGAAACACCTCAGCTGCATATTGAAGCATGAAGTGTGTCTCTCAAAAGCCCTTGTGCCATTGTTTGAATTCTGAGCTGAACTAACCATTGTTTCCAAAGAACACCATTTTTATTTGAAACAAATACTAACAGAAAAACCATATCTATTCAGACTTGACTATCTGACCAACAATTCATCAAAATGGATGAAGTGAGTCTATCACTTTAGGGAAAACTAACATTATTTGTTATTTTTTATTGTCAATGATAAAATTCAATCTTTCAAGCAAAACTTGGAATTTTGAAAAACTTCCCAAAATGTAAAGGCTTTTCTGATGAGATCAGTGGTGATATTAATGAATGCAAACTTTCGGTGTCTTATAAGAAAATGTATCAGTATTTGTGATATCTGCATAAGTCAGTGAACATCCAAATGACACATTCATGATTTTACAAAATAATACATGAATAAAATTTCCACACAAAGGGCAAGAAAGAGCAATAATTTTAATGTAACAGAGGACGGAAAGGTCATTGATACGGTTTCAGATTCCATATTGCAACTAATCTTTAAGAAATTACCATTGGCCAAATTTAGGTATAGTGCCAAAGAAGAAGATTCACAATTATCTGAAAAGGTTCATAAAATACCATTACCTTTTCCAACTACATGTTTGAGTGAGGCCAAATTTTTTTCACATACTTCAACCAAAATAATATGTAACAGTTTGAACATAGAGGCACATATGAAGATCTAGCTGCCTTCTGTTGAAGAGATTTTCAAAAATGTAAAACAATACCCTCTTCATAAATTTTTCTTATTTTGAAAAACAGAATTCTTTTTTATGAAAATATGTTATTTATATCAACATATAATGGGCTTATTGCTATAATTTTTAATTTATTAATTATTTTTTGAACTACAAATAAAAATTATATATATTTATTGCATAAGACATTATATCTTGAAATAAGTATACATTCTAGAATGGCTATAGTTAATTAACATATGCATTACCTCACACACTTATCATTTCTTGTGGTGAGAACGCTTAAAATCTACTCTCAGCAATTTTTTTTTTTTTTTTTTTTTTTTTTGTCACCCAGGCTAGAGTGCAGTGGCGCGATCTTGGCTCACTGCAACCTCCACCCCCTGGGTTCAAGTGATTCTCCTGCTTCAGCCTCCTGAGTAGCTGGGATTACTGGCACCCATCACCATATCCATCTAATTTTTGTATTTTCATAGAGATGGAGTTTCACTATGTTGGCCAGGCTGGTCTTGAACTCCTGACCTCAGGTGATCCACCCACCTCAGCCTCCCAAAGTGCTGGAATTACAGGCGTAAGCCAGTGTGCCTGGCCTACTCTCAGCAATTTTAAAGAACACATTTTTATTAACGATAGTTACCACATTGTACAATAGAACTCTTAAACTTATTGCTCCTATCTAAATGAAATTTTTTATCCTTTGACTATCTCTCTACTTCGATAACTTTAGCTTTTTTAGATTCCACATGTAAGTGAGGTCATATAGTATTTATCTTTCTGTGCCTGGCTTATTTTACTTAAACATAATGTCCTTAAGGTTCATCCATGTCATTGCAAATAATAAGATTTTTCTCTTTCTATAAGGCTGAGTGGTATTCCACTGTGTCTGTAATACAACATTTTCTTTATTCATCATTGATGGACACATCAGTTGATTCCATATCTTAGCTATTGTGAATAGTGTTGCAATACACATGGGAGCACAGATATCTTTTCAACATACTGACTTCATTGCCTTTGGGTGTATATTCAGTTGTAGGATTGCTGGATCATATGGTATTTCTATTTTTAACTTTTGGAGGAACCTCCACACTGTTTTCCACGAGATGGTTGTACTAACTGACATTCCCACCAACAGAGTGCAAGGGTTGCCTTTTCTTCACATCCTTGTCAGAACTTATCTTTAATCTTTTTGACAATATCCATTCTAACAGCTGTGATGTGATATCTCATTGTAGTTTTAATTTTCATTTCCCTGATGATAAGTGATGTTGAGCATGTTATTATATACCTGTAGGCTGTTTGTATGTCTTCTTTTGAGAAATGTCTGCTTAGATCCTTGCCCTTTTTTTAATCAGGTTGTTTTCTTGCTGTTGAGTTGTTTGAGTTCCTCATGTATTTTGGATATTAACACTTTATCAGATGTATGGTTTGCAAATATTTTCTTTCTCATTTCATAGGCTGTCTCCTCACTTGGTTGATTGTCTTCTTGGCAATGCAAAAGGTTTTTAGTTTTGTGTCATTCCATTTGTCTAATTTCACTTTTGTTGCCTATGATTGGGGGTCATATAAAAATATCGTTGCTCAAACCAATGTCATGAAGCTTTCTCCTATGTTTTCTTCTAGTAGTTTTACAGTTTAGGTCTTAAGTTTAGGTTTTTTGTTCATCTTGAGTTGGTTTTTGCATGTAGTATCAGATAAGAGTCCAATTTCATTCTTCAGCATGTAGATACCCAGTTCTCCCAGCATACCACTGCTATTTTAAATGAATATATAAATACCTTTAAATGTTCTCAATTTTAATTTTTAATAAAACAAATATAAGTATATACAAACTGTATAATTAAAAACTCTTTAGAGTTCTCAATAATTTTTTTAAATGAAAAGTGTCCTGAGGTAAAACAATTTAAGAAGCCCTATTGTAGAAAAAACCTTTCTCATGAGCAGCATGAAAAATATACAAGAATATTTATAGCAGTACTGTTAGTAATAGCAAAAACTGGAAACCATTCAGCACCAGTATGATAAATGGAATACGGTATATTCATACAATGGAATACCATATATCAGTGAAAATTAATGATCTAAAACATGCACAACAACAAGGATGAATTTCACTAATATAATGTCAAAGGGAATAAAAGAAAGCAGAAGGAGAATACATCCAGTATGATTACATTTCTATACAACTTAAAAGTAATCAAAGCTAAAAACAGAAAAAAAATCAAATCTAAATAATCTACTTTTAGTTATGCAAAGGACTGAGACAAGCAATGGAATGATAGACACAAAATTCAGCATAAAGTTGACCTCTGAAGAATGAACCTCAGGAATGGATTGGGAAATGGTGTGTTGGGAACTTCAAAGATAATGCTTCATTTTATTTACTGGGAGTAAGTACATGGCTACTTGTTCTACTTTTATCCTTCATACTATACACATATTTTATAAATATTTTATATCTAACCAGTTTTTGTCAAAACAATAAAAATTATATAGACAAATAAAGCTCACACAAAACTAAGTCCACTTTTGAAAATGAAGACTAAAGTAGAAAGACTTGCCCTACTAAATATATTATAAAACCATACTGATAAAAACAATATGGCATATGCAAGGACAAAAACAGTCCAAAGTAGCAAAGACTAAAAATAAGACTACCATATCATCCAGCAATCCCATTGCTAGGTATATACCCAAAAGAAAGGAAATCAGTATATTGAAGAGATAGCTGCACTCCCATGTGTATTGCAGCACTATTCATAATACCAAGGTTTAGAAACAACTTAAGTGTCTGTCAATATATAAATGGATAAAGAAAATGTGGTACGTATACACAATAGAGTGCTATTTAGCCATGAAAACAGAATGAGATCCTGTCATTTGCAATGACATGGATAGAACTGGAGAATATTATGTTAAGTGAAATAATCCAGACATGGAAAGACAAATTTTGCATGTTTGCACTTATTTGTGGAAGCTAAAATTTAAAACAATTGAACTCAGGCCAGGCACAGTGGCTCACATCTGTAATCCAGCACTTTGGGAGGCCAAGGCGGGCGGATCACAAGGTCAGGGGTTGGAGACCAGCCTGGCCAATATGGTGAAACCCAGTCTCTACTAAAAATAAAAAATAAAAAAAATTAGCCGAGCGTGGTGGCGCGTACCTGTAGTCCTTGCTACTCAAGAGGTTGAGGCAGGAAAATCGCTTGAACCTGGGAGGCAGAGTTTGCAGTGAGCCGAGATTGCACCACTGCACTCCAGCCTGGGTGACAGAGCAAGACTCCATCTCAAAAAACAAATACATAAAATAAATAAATAAAACAATTGAACTCATGGAGATAGAGAGTAGAATGATGGATGTACTCCTTACAGAGGCTTGGAAGAATAGTGAGGTTGGCGAGTGAGCACAGTTAATGAGTACAAAAATATAGTTAGAATGAATAAGATCTAGTATTTGATTGCACAACAAGGTGACTGCAGTCAGTAATAATTTATTGTACATTTTAAAATAACTAAAAGTATAATTGGATTGTTTGTAACACAAAGAAAGGATAAATGCATGAGGGTATGGATACCCCATTTACCCTGATGTGATTATTACACATTAAATGCCTGTATCAAAATGTCTCATGTACCCCATAAATATATACACTTGCTATGTACCCACAAAAATTAAAAATTAAGAAAAAAAAAAACAGTCCAAAGCCAGGCATGGTGGCTCAAGCCTGTAATCCCTGCACTTTGAGAGGCTGAAGCATGAGGATCACTTGAGGCCACGAGTTCAGGGCAAACCTGGACAACATAGGGAGGCCCTATCTCTACAAAAAAATTAAAAAACTAGCCAGGCATGATGGCATATATCTATAGTTCCAGCTACTCTGGAGGCTGAGGTGAGAGGATCACTAAGTCCAGGAGGCTGAGGCTGCAGTGAGCCATGATCATGCTGCTGCACTCCAGCCTGGGTGGCAGAGCAAGACTCCTCTGCAAAAAAAAGGTAAAATTTAAAAAATAACAATCTAAAAGAAGAAAAGAAAACTATGATAGAGCCCTTGTATGTATGGGGCTGAAACCCACAAATTAAACTGAAACAGATTATTAATATATGGTGTTGGGAAAATTGTCTTACTAGATTAAGAAAAATAGAAGATGGCTTCATAGCTGAATTCTGCAAACATTTAAAGAAGAACTAATACCAATTCTTCTAAATTCTTCCAAAAAGTTAAAGGAGTGAGCACTTGGAAACTCTTATTTTATTTTATTTTATTTTATTTTATTTATTTTATTTTATTTTTTGTGACGGAGTCTCACTCTGTTGCCAGGCTGGAGTGCAGTGGCCCAATCTCAGTTCACTGCAACCTCTGCCTCCTGGGTTCAAGTGATTCTCCTGCCTCAGCCTCCTGAGTAGCTGGGACTACAAGCACCTGCCACCATGCCCGGATAATTTTTGTATTTTTATTAGAGACAGGGTTTCACTATATTGGCCAGGCTGGTCTCAAACTCCTGACCTTGTGATCAGCCCACCTCGGCCTCCCAAAATGCTGGGATTACAGGCATGAGCCCCTCTGCCCAGCCCTCGAAACTCATTTAATGAGGCCAACATTATCCTAATATGAAAGCCAGAGAAAGACACTACAAGGAAAGAAAACTACAGGCCAATATTACTGATGCATATAGATGTAAAAGTCCTCAAAAAATAAACTAGCAAACTTTGTTTACCAGCACATTAAAAGGATCATTCACCATAATCAAGTGCAATTTATCCTTGGGATGCAAGGTTAGGATGTGCAAATTAATAAATGCGATTCACCATATTAACAGAATGATCAGTCAAAATTCAATATTCTTTCATGACAAAAAAAAACTCAATAAATTAAGTATAACAAGAATATTTCTCAACACAATGCAGGCCATATATGACAATCCTCCAGCTAATGTCATACCCAGTGGTGAAAAGCATCATCAAGACAAGGATGCCCACAAGACAGTCTCACTACTGCTGCTCAACATATTACTGGAAGTCCTAGCAAGAGCAATTGGGCAAAAGAAAGAAATAAAAGGAATCCAAATGGAGAAGAATGAAGTGAAATCATCCCTGTTTTCTGAAGACATAATTTTGTATATAGAAAATCCTAAAGACTCCACCAAAAACTGCTAGAACTTATAAACAAATTCAGTAAAGTTGAAGGACACGAAATTTAGTAATAAATATCAGTGGCATTTCTACACACTACAACAAGCTGCCTGAAAAATAAATTAAGAAAACAATCCCGTTTACAATTGTATCCAAAAAATTTTAACCAATGAAGTCAACAATCTATATATGTAAAACTATAACCTTCAATAAAAAGAAATAGGAGATGACACTAATAAATGGAAAGATAGCTCATGTTCATGGATTGGAAGAGTTTGCATAATTAAGTGTTCATACTCCCCCAAACAATCTTCAGATTCCATATAATTCCTATTAAAATTCATTCTTCACAGAAATAGAAAAAAAAATCCTAAAATTTGTGTTGGGACCACAAAATATTCCAAATAACCAAATCAAGCTTGACTAAACAAACCAACAAAAACAAAGCTAGAAACATCACACTACAGAATTTCATCTATTAGAAAGCCACAGTAATCAAAATAGCATGAAACCGGCATAAAAACAGATATATCAACGAATGGAATAGAATAGGAAGCACAGAAACTCACACAGTCAACTGATTTTTGACAAAGGTGCCAAGAACACACAATGTGGAAAGAAAAATGTCTTCAATAAGTGGGCAAATGAATATCAATAGACAAAAGAATAAAAATGGACCCTATCTAACCTCTTATAAGAATCAACTTAAAATGGTTTAAAGTCTTAAACTTAAGACCTGAAACTATGAAACTACTAGAAGAACACATAGGGGGAAACCTCCATGACATTGGTCTGGACAGTGACTTCTTGAATATGACCCCAAAAGCACAGTCAATAAAAGCAAAAATATATAAATGGGATTGTTTCAAATGAAAAAGCTTCTGCACTGCAAAGGAAAAAAGTAATAGAGTGAAGAGACAACCTACAGATTGGAAAAAAGTATTTGCAAATTACACATCAGATAAGGGGCTAAAATCCAAAAAACACAAGAAACTCAGAGTACTCATTAATAAGAAAACAAATAACCCTATTTTTAAAATGGGCAAACAACTTGTATAGACATTTCTCAAAAGAAGACATAGAAATGGCCAACAGATAAATAAAAACATGATTAACATCTCTAATCATCAGAGAAATGCAAATTAAAATCACAATGAGTACCACCTTACACCTGTTACACTGGTTATTATCAAAAAGATGAAAAATAACAAGTGTTAGTGAGAATATGAAAAGAAAGGAACACTTATATGCTGTTGGTGGTATTGTAAATTAATTACCATATGATCTAGCAATCCCACTAATGGATGTATACCCAAAGGTACTGTAATAAGTATATCAAGAGATGTCTGCACTCCCATGTTCATTGCAGCATTATTCACAACAGCCAAGTTATGAAAACCTAAATGTCCATCAATGGATTAATAATTTTTAAATGTGCTATAGATACATGCAATATAATTCTTTTCAGCCTTAGAAAAACAGAAAATTCTGTCATTGGCAAAACGTGAATGAACTTAGAAGCATTATGTTGAGTGAAATAGGCCACGCACAGAAAGGGAAATACTGTATGACACTTACATGTGCAATCTAAAACAGTTGAACTCATACAAGTAGAGAGTAGAATGGTGGTTTCAAGGGCTGGCAGGGTGAGGGTGGGATGGGGAAAGAGCAGACGTGGGTCAACAGGTACAACGTTTCAGTTAGATACATATAAAAAGTTCTGGTGATCTACTATTGCATAGCATGGTGACTATGGCCAATAATAGTGTGTTGATTTCAAAATAGCTAATAAAAAATTTTAAATGTTTTCAAATATTAGCCAGGCACAATGGCAGGTGCCTGTAATCCCAGCTACTCGGGAGGTTGAGGCAGGAGAATAGCTTGAACCTGGGCGGCAGAGGTTGCAGTGAGCAGAGAGCATGCCACTGTACTCCAGCCTGGGCGACAGAATGAGACTCCATCTCAAAAAAAAAAAAAAGAAATCAAATGATGAATATTTGAGATGAAGGATATGCTAATTGGCTTGATTTGATTATTCCCCAATGTATAAATGTGTCAAAACACCACATTGTACCTCATAAATATATGCATATATTATGTGTCAATGAAAATAAAATAAAACTTTAAAAAAAGACAGAGATATAGAAATGGATCCTTACCTACCTCAGCATCTCACAAAGGACTCCAGATGAATTAAATATCTAAATATGAAAGATAAATATTTACATCTTATTTATAACTTAGGGCTAGAAAAGAACTGCATAGACGAAACCCAAAAAACACAAACCATAAGGTAAAAATTAATGGATTTTATAATCCATTATAAAACTGCTGGATGCACGATATCAAACAGTCATGCAATAAAAGTTGGCTGACAAATAGGAGAATGGGAGAAGATATTTACAACATCTGAAACTGGGAAGGGACCAATATCAAGAATCTTCAAGGAACTCCCACAAATCAAAAAGTCAACAAGAAAAATTGAGAAGATCAAAAGAAAATGGTCAGTGTAAACAAAGCCGCCAGGAAGTTCAGACTGGGCAAAGCCCACTGCAGTGCCACAAAGCCAGGGTAGCCAGACTGACTCTCTAGATTCCTCCTCTCTGGGCAGGGCACCTCTGAAAGAAAGGCAGCAGGCCCAATCAAGGGCTTACAGATAAAACTCCCACCTCCCTGGGACAGAGCACCTGAGGGAGGGGGTGGCTGTGGGCGCAGCTTCAGCATACTTAAATGTTCCTGCCTGCCAGCTCTGAAGAGAGCAGTGGATCTCCCAGCATAGCCCTGGAGCTCCGCTAAGGGACAGGCTGCCTCCTCAACTGGGTCCCTGACCCTGGAGCCTCCTGATGGGGAGACACCTCCCAGCTGGGGTCAACAGACACCTCATACAGGAGAGCTCCAACTGGCATCTGGTACGAAGCTTCCAGAGGAAGGAGCAGGTAGCAATCTTTGCTGTTCTGAAGCCTCCACTGGTGATACCCAGGCAAACAGGGTCTGGAGTGGACCCCCAGCAAACTCCAGCAGACCTGCAGAAGAGGGGCCTGACTGTTAGAAGGAAAACTAACAAACAGAAAGCAATAGCATCAACATCAAAAAAAAAGGATGACCAAGCAAAAACTCCATCTGAAGGCCACCAACAGCAAAGACCAAAAGTAGATAAATCCATGAAGAGGAGGAAAAACCAGTGCAAACAATCTGAAAATGCTAAAAACAAGAATGCTTCTTCTCTTCCAAAGGATCACAACTCATCGCCAGCAAGGGAACAAAACCAGATGGAGAATGAGTTTGACGAACTGACAGAAGTAGGCTTCAGAAGGTGGGTAATAACAAACTCCTCTGAGCTAAAGGAGCATGTTCTAACCCAATGCAAGGAAGATTAGAACCTTAATAAAAGGTTAGAGGAATTGCTAACTAGAATAACCAGTTTAGAGGAGGACATAATTGACCTGATGGAGCTGAAAAATACAGCACAAGAACTTCATGAAGCATACACAAGTATCAATAGCCGAACCGATCAAGTGGAAGAAAGGATATCAGAGATTGAAGATCAACTTAATGAAATAAAGCATGAAGACAAGCTTAGAGAAAACAGAATGGAAAGGAATGAACAAACCTCCAAGAAATATGGGACTATGTGAAAAGACAAAACCTACGTTTCACTGGTGTACCTGAAAGTGACAGGGAGGATGGAACCAAGTTGGAAAACATACTTCAGGATATTTTCCAAGAAAACTTCCCCAACCAAGCAAGACAGGCCAACATTCAAATTCAGGAAATACAGAGAACACCACAAAGATAATCCTCAAGAAGAGCAACCCCAAGACACATAATCATCAGATTCACCAAAGTTGAAATGAAGGAAAAAATGTTAAGGGCAGCCAGAGAGAAAGGTCGGGTTACCCACAAAGGGAAGCCCATCAGACTAACAGAAAATCTCTCTGCAGGAACCTTACAAGCCAGAAGAGAGTGGGGACCAATATTCAACATTCTTAAAGAAAAGAATTTTCAATCCAGAATGTAAAGACCATCGACACTATGAAGAAACTGCATCAACTAATGGGCAAAATAACCAGCTAGCATCATACTGAGAGGACCAAATTTACACATAACAATATTAACCTTAAATGTAAATGGGCTAAATCCCCCAGTTAAAAGGCACAGACTGGCAAATTGGATAGTCAAGACCCATCAGTGTGCTGTATTCGGGAGACTCATTTCACGTGCAAAGACACACATAGGCTGAAAATAAAGGGATGGAGGAATGTTTACAGGCAAATGGAAAGCAAAAAAAAGCAAGGGTTGCAATCCTAGTCTCTGATAAAACAGACTTTAAACCAACAAAGATCAAAGAATACAAAGAAAGGCATTACATAATAGTAAAGGGATTAATGCAAGAAGAAGAGCTAACTATCCTAAATATATATGCACCCAACACAGGAGCACCCAGATTCATAAAGCAAGTTCTTAGAGAACTACAAAGAGACTTAGACTCCCACACAATAATAGTTGGAGACTTTAACACCCCACTGTCAATATTAGACAGATCAACGAGACAGAAAATTCACAAGGATATTCAGGACTTGACTCTGCTCTGGACCAAGCAGACCTAATAGATATCTACAGAACTTTCCACACCAAATCAACAAAATATACATTCTTCTCAGCACCACATGGCTCTTATTCTAAAATCAACCACATAATTGAAAGTAAAACACTCCTCAGCAAATGCAATAGAATGGAAATTATAACAAACAGTCTCTCAGACCACAGTACTATCAAATTAGAATTCAAGATTAAGAAACTCACTCAAAACTGCAAAATTACATGAAAACTGAACAACATGCTCCTGAATGACTACTGGGTAAATAACGAAATCAATGCAGAAATAAGTAAGTTATTTGAAACCAATGAGAACAAAGACACAACATCCGAGAATCTCTGGGACACAGCTAAAGCAGTGTTTAGAGGGAAATTTAGAGCACTAAATGCCCACAGGAGAAAGCAGGAAAGATCTAAAATCAACACCCTAACATCGCAATTAAAGAACTAGAGAAGCAAGAGCAAACAAATTCAAAAAGCTAGCAGAAGACAGGAAATAACTAAGATCAGAGCAGACCTGAAGGAGACAGAAACACAAAAACCCTTCAAAAAATCAATGAATTCAGGAGCTGGCTTTTGAGAAGATTAACAAAAAAGATAGACTGGTAGCCAGACTAATAATGAAGAAAAGAGAGAAGAATCAAATAGACACAATAAAAACTGATAAAGGGAATATCACCATTAATCACACAGAAATACAAACTACCATCAGAGAATACTATAAACACCTCTATGCAAATAAAATAGGAAATCTAGAAGAAATGGATAAATTCCTGGACACATACATACAAACTCCCAAGACTAAACCAGGAAGAAGGCGAATCCCTGAATAGACAAAAAGCAAGTTCTGAAATTGAGGCAGTAATTAATAGCCTGCCAACCAAAAAAAGCCCAGGACCAGATGGATTCACAGGCGAATTCTACCAGAAGTACGAAAAGGAGCTGGTACCATTCCTTCTGAAACTACTCCAAACAATAGAAAAAGAGGGACTCCTCCCTAACTCATCTTATGAGGCCAGCATCATCCTGATACCAAAGCCTGGCACGGACAACACAAAAAAAGAAAACTTCAGGCCAATATACCTGATGAACATTGATGCGAAAATCCTCAATAAAATACTGGCAAACTGAATCCAGCAGCACATCAAAAAGCTTATCCACCATGCTCAAGTCGGCTTCATCCCTGGGATGCAAGGCTGGTTCAACATACACAAATCAATAAATGTAATCCATCACATAAACAGAACCAATGACAAAAACCACATGATTATCTCAATAGATGCAGAAAAGAGCTTTGAAAAAATTCGACACTCTTTCATACTAAAAAACACTCAATAAACTAGGTATTGATGGAACATATCTCAAAATAATAAGAACTATTTATGACAAACCTATAGCCAATATCATACTGAATGGGCAAAAGCTGGAAGCATTCCCTTTGAAAACTGGCACAAGAAAAGGATGCCCTCTCTCACCACTCCTATTCGACATAGTATTGGAAGTTCTGGCCAGGGCAATCAGGCAAGAGAAAGAAATAAAGAATATTCAAACAGGAAGAGAAGAAGTCAAATTGTCTCTGTTTGCAGATGATATTAATGTATATGTAGAAATCTCCATCATCTAAGCCCAAAATCTCCTTAAGCTGATAAGCAACTTCAGCAAAGTCTCAGGATACAAAATCAATGAGCAAAAATCACAAGCATTCCTATACACCAATAATAGACAGAGAGCCAAATCATGAGCAAACTCCCATTCACAATTGCTGCAAAGAGAATAAAATACCTAGGAATACAACTTACAAGGGAAGTGAAGGACCTCTTCAAGAAGAACTACAAACCACTGCTCAAGGAAATAAAAGAGGACAAAACAAATGGAAAAACATTCCACACTCATGAATAGGAAGAATCAATATTGTGAAAATGTCCATACTACCCAAAGTAATTTATAGATTCAGTGCTATTCCCATCAAGTTACCATTGACTTCTTCACAGAATTAGAAAAAAAGAAACTACTTTAAGTTTCATATGGAACCAAAAAAGAGCCTATATAGCCAAGACAATCCTAAGCAAAAAGAACAAAGCTGGAGGCATCACGCTACCTGAATTCAAACTATACTACAAGGCTACAGTAACCAAAAGAGCATGGTACTGATACCAAAACAGTTATATAGACAAATGGAACAGAACAGAGGCCTCAAAAATAACACCACACATCTACAACTCTCAGATCTTTGACAAAACTGATAAAAACAAGCAATGGGGAAATGATTTCCTATTTAATAAATGGTGTTGGGAAAACTGGCTAGCCATATGCAGGAAACTGAAACTGGACCCCTTCCTTACACCTTATACAAAAATTAACTCAAGATGGATTAAAGGCTTAAAGGTAAGACCTAAAGTCATAAAAACCCTAGAAGAAAACCTAGGCAATACCATTCAGGACATAGGCATGGGCAAAGACTTTATGACTAAAACACCAAAAGCAATGGCAACAAAAGCCAAAATTGACAAATGGGATATAATTAAACTGAAAAGCTTCTGCATAGCAAAAAAAACTATCTTCAGAGTGAACAGGCAACCTACAGAGTGGGAGAACATTTTTGCAATCTATTCATGTGACAAAGGGCTAATATCCAGAATCTACGAGGAACTTAAATAAATTTGCAAGAAAAAAAACAACCCCATCAAAAAGTGGGTGAAGGATATGAACAGATGCTTTTAAAAGAAGACATTTATGCAGCCAACAAACATATGAAAAAATGCTCATCATCACTGGTCATTAGAGAAATGCAAATCAAAACCACAATGAGATACCACCTCATGCCAGTTAGAATGGCGATCATTAAAAAGTCAGGAAACAAGGGATGCTGGAGAGGATGTGGAGAAATAGGAACGCTTTTACACTGTTGATGGGAGTGTAAATTAGTTCAACCATTGTGGAAGATAGTTTGGCAATTCCTCAAGGATCTAGAACCAGAAATACCATTTGACCCAGCAATCCCATTACTGGATATATACCAAAGGATTATCAATCATTCTACTATAAAGACACATGCACACGTATGTTTACTGCAGCACTATTCACAATAGCAAAGACTTGGAACCAACCCAAATGCCCATCAATGATAGACTGGATAAAGAAAATGTGGCACATATACACCATAGAATACTATGCAGCCATAAGAAGGAATGAGTTCATGTCCTTTGCAGGGACATGGATGAAGCTGGAAACCACCATTCTCAGCAAACTAACACAGGACCAGAAAACCAAACACTGCATGTTCTCACTCATAATTGGTAGTTAAACAATGAGAACATAAGGGCACAGGGAGGGGAACATCACACAACACCGGGTACTGTTGGGGAGTGAGGGGCAAGGGGAGGGAGGGATACCATTAGGAGAAATATCTAATGTAGATGACGGGTTGATGCGTGCAGCAAACCACTATGGCGCATGTGTACCTATGTAACAAACCTGTACATTCTGCACATGTACCCCAGAACTTAAAGTATAATTTAAAAAAAAGAAAATGGTCAATAACTATGAATAGTCATTTCACAGAAGCGAAATCTCAAAAGTACAAGAAGCACTAAAGAGATGCTCAAATTGATTAGTAATTAGAGAAAAATGTATTAAGCAACAATGCTCTATCTTAACGTCTGTCAGCTTGGCAAAAACTTAGAACCCTGGATAACGCGAGTGATTTTTGAGGCTGTGAGAATGTGGGAGTCCTGGCGCAGTGGTGGTAAGGGTGCAGAGAGGTGCAGCCAGTTTTAGGAATCATTCTGTAATAACTCAGAAGAAACATTTAGTTACTCTCTCTGGCCTAAAAATTCTGCTCCTGGGTAGGTATAGTAGAGAAATTCTTCCATAGGTTCCAAAGGGACTCATATGAGGCTGTTTATTGCAGTATTGGTTGTGCTGGAGGGAGGATAAAAGGCAACCTGAGCGTCCTTTCTAGAGGGGAAGGCATAGAATACATGTGGTCGGTGCACAAGGTGTAATGCTCTGCAGCAGTTAGAAGCAAGAGACCAGAAGTACACAGACCAACATGAAGAGAGGCTACAAATATATTGCTGTACTAAAACAAAGAAATAACAATTCCATTTATGTACATTAGAATACTTCCACACACTGTTGTAGAAAAAAACAGGTTCTTGTCACACAACCAGGAAAGATTCAGCTCACAGACACTTTGAAGGGTGAGGGGAAATGGAATTTACTGGGCAAAAAGGAAAATAACTCAGCAAAGCGAGAGGTGTTTCTGTTAACAGACCCCCACCTCACAGATTGAATTCCAGGTCACTACCCAGGAACAGGAGAGGCCAGGCTCCTCCCCTCCTGCAAATGGCGAGAACGTCCTGAGGCTCCACCCCGTCCTCCCAGTGCTCAGGCTGGTGGGAGATTCTCCGGGACCTTCCACCTTATCTTCTTCCTGCACCTATCAACACTATATATAATACATATTCTACAGCAACACAAACCATGATGAAAGAATACATATCAGGTAGCTTAGAAAGATCTTCTAAGAGAGGGAAGTAAAAGGAAATGAGAATTTAAAAGTCATAAATAACAAAGCACAGCAATAAGAAAGGAGCCTTCCAGAAATAAATGATAAGATGCCCTGAAACAAATACCACGATTAACTAAATCTTCTGCACCTAAAGTAAGAAGAAAAAAAAAAGAGCAAGAGTTTGAAAATCATAGTGTGACTGCCTGGGGCATTCCCTGAATGCTTGGCCCAGAGGTCTCTCCCGCTGGCACATGGAGAAGAGGCAGAGGAGCTCCTCCAGAGGAACCATCTCTGAATCTCCACCTCTGTCTACTTTTCTATGAAAAGCTGCTTAAACTTTCATAGGGTCTAATAAGCATTTGGATGGGAACAAAAGGAGAAAGATGTCAGATTAGTCAGGATTCTCTAGAGAAACAGAACCACCAGGATATATGTATATAATATGTATTATATATAGTGTGTGTGTTTACAAGGAAACTTTAAAAAGTTTATGGAAAATGCTTATATGAAAACACTATGTCTGCATGGATTTTAATTTTTTATACCAAAATAAACTTGTACTAACTTGTTATAATATGTCTGAACAGGACCTAGTTTGAGGCACTAAGAAGGATGAGACACCAGTTTGAAAATAGCCCCTAATGGAGCAATATGAATTCTACTAAAATTGAACCAAGAAAAAACATCAAATTGATAGTGAAGCTTCAGTGGAAAAATGGTGAAATCATTGATGCTTTACAAAAAAAATGTATGCGGAGAGTTCCCCAAAGAAATCAGGAATTGCATGTGGATAAATCATTTTAAGAAGTGACAGGACGATGTTGAAGATGAAGCTTGAAGCAGCAGACTATTCACATCAATTTGAAAGGAAAAAATTTATCTTGTTTATGTTCTAATTGAAGAGGACTCATGGTTAACAGCAGAAACAATAGCCAGCACCGTAGACATTTCAACTGCTTCAGTTCACACAATTCTCTGAATAATTAAAGTTGAGCAAACTTTCCTCTTGATGGGTGCCAAAGCTGTTGCACCAAGATCAGTTGCAGACAGCAGCAGAGCTTTCGATGGAAATTTTAGACAAGTGGGATCAAGATCCTCAACCATTGCTTCAGAGAACTGTAGCAGGAGATGAAACATGGCCTTACCAGTATGATCCTGAAGACAAAGAGCAAGCAAAGCAATGGCTACTGAGAGGTGGCTGTGGTCCAGCCAAAGCAAAAGCAGACCGGCCAAGAGCAAGGAACATGGCAACAGTGTCTTGGCATGCTGAAGGCATTTTGCCTGTTGACTTTCTGCAGGGCTTGCAAGTCACAGTGGCTCATGCCTGTAATCCCAGCACTTTGGGAGGCTGAGGCAGGGAGATCACTTGAGGCCAGGAGTTCAAAACCAGCCTGGGCAATAAAATAAGGCTTCATTGCTACAAAAAAAATTTAAAAGTTAGCCAGGCATGCTGGCACACTCCTGTAGTCCCACCTACATAGGAGTCTGAGGTAGGAGGATTGCTTGGGCTTAGGAGTTGGAGGCTGCAGTGAGCTGTGATAAGTGCCACTACAATTCAGCCTGAGTGACAGAACGAGACCCTGTCTCAAAAAACAAACCAAAAAAAACAACTTTCAGGAGGGCCAAAGAATGGTAACATCCACTTATTGCAAGAGAGTTTTGAGAACGTTAGCCAAAACTTTAACAGAAAAACACCCAGGAAAGCTTCGCCAGATAGTCCTTCGCCACGGCAATGCTCTTGCTCATTCCTTTCAATAAACAAGGAGTTTCAATGGGAGATTATTAGGCATCCACCTTAGAGTACTGATTTGGATCCTTCTTTCTTCTTTTTGTTTCCTAATCTTTAAAAATCTGTAAAAGACAGGCATTTTTCTTCAGTTAATTATGTACAAAAAAGACTGCATTGACATGGTTACATTCCCAGGACCCTCAGTTCTTTAGGGATGGACTAAACGGCTGGTATCATCACTTTCAAAAGTGTCTTGACCTTAATGGAGCTTATGTTGAGAAACTAAGTTTATATTTTTAGTCTTATATTATAATTCATTTTTACATAAACTCTTTGAAGTCCCCTAGTGTGTGTGTGTGTGTCTGTGTGTGTGTGTGTGTGTTTGCACGTAGAAACAGAGGAAGATGCATTGGATCTATATATATAGAGAAAGAGACATAATCAAGGAATTGGTTCCCACAATTGCGGGGGCTCACAAGTCTGAAATTCACAGGGCAGACTGGAAACTCTTGGGTAGGAGTTGATGCTGCAGTGTGGAGGCAGAATTTCCTCTTTCTTAGGAAAACCTCAGTTTTGCTTTCATTGGATGAGGCCCACCCACATTATGAAGGACAATCTCCTCTACTTAAAGTCAACTGATTGTCCAAGTTAACCCCATCTATAAAATACCTTTGCAACCCCTAGATTAGTGTTTGGCTTAATAATGAGATACTATAGAAGTCAATTTGAAACATAAAACCGACCATCACAGACTGTATCCAGAAGGGATACAGATCCAGAATAGTCATCGACAACAAATTCATTATGGAAAATTGAGAGTCTAGGCCTATCTACCCACAAATAGCACCCAGACAGGTCAATGATTTCACCTCTTGTCCCTCCTGGTCTACCACTTCCCCTTCTTACTCATTCTAGAGCTATGCCTTGCCACACAGGATTTTGTATTATCATCTTAATTTTACAAATGAGGAGGTGTTCAGAATGGTTAAATATCTGAGTAGCTGACCCCAGGCCACTCACTGGTGCTGATATTTTAGCTCCAGTCGGCCTGACCTCTTCCAAGAGAGCAAGCCCACTTTCAAACAATATAGACTTCCTACACCCCTTCTTCTAACCTGTTAGTTGCCTCTCCTTTGAGCTCTCATGATAGCCCATGAAAATCTGAAACCTAACTCTTACCTCTTTATAATTGTCTATTCAATTCCCTGTCTCCCCCACTGAAATCCAAACTCCTGGTCCTCCCTCTGTGTGCATTGCCTCATCTGATTCTGACATATACATGGTATGAGACACACTTGCTCAGTGTTCCCATTTCCAGAAAAGACTGTAAAAAGCAAGAGGTGAAGGGCCTCAGTGTTCACATTTCCATAAGCACCTGCTCTCTCCGGCCATAGCTTATAGATCCCAGCATAGACACCTGACCCAAGCTGGGTCAGCCAAATCATCTTGTGAGAATCTGAAACTTGAATGGAAGGACACAGTAGTGACAGACAATAAAGAGAGCTGGCTTCCTGGCAGCATCTGAGAGAGTTAGCTCTATAAATCCTGTCGCTTGAGACATCAAAGCTGCCCCATCCCTGCCTTCCTGAGGCTTAGTTATTCAGCAATTCTTTCAATTCAGTCCCCTGAAATCATTAGGGTAAAGGTTAAACTGCTAAAACAAAGGGCCCCCAAATGTAATGGCTCAAACAAACTCCATGTTTATTTATTGCAAATAACAGTCCATCGGGACTGCTCGGTTCCATGCAGTCATTTATCGGCCCTGACCGCCAGCAGCTCTGCCTCCTTCAACACTAAGTGCCTGTCAGAGCAGCTGGGGCTGAAATGATTCCAGCCAGAAACAAGGAGGGGAAAAGATGCAGAAGTGAACCTGCAAAGTCTTTGGGGCAAGGCCTGGAAGTGACACCTAAAACTTCTGCTCATGCTCCCTGGCAGGAACTTGAACATCAGCCACACCTAGCTGCACGAGTGGGGCTGGGCCATGTCCTTGGCTGGGCAGCCACACCCTGCTTCAACTCCGTTGCTATGGAAGAAGGAAGAACAGCTTTGGCTGATGCCAGCAGTCTCCAGCTATGAGACATTTCGAATGAATCTCCCCTCCACCCACCAAATAGTTAAAGTCTATTTCTGTTGCTTACAATCAAAAGAGACTTAGTTAACACAGCAGATGCCCTACACTCCTGATGAACAGAGAGCTCATTGACTGATCATTTAGAATACATCTGTATTTTGGGGACTGGCAGTTCTACACCTGGGGTAGGAGGAATCTGATGGTGTCAGAGATCGACAGAAATGAATTGTAATCCTTCTGGGGCCAGGAAAGAACAGAACTCTTTAGAGTTTCATCAAATCAAGGCCTGGTTCTCAGATGCTGGGGAGACTCTGACCTACAAGGAAAGGCTGCTCTTGGGGACACAGATTCAGGTGGAAGGCGACTCATGCTGAAGCCTTATCAAACTTGCCCAGTACCATCCACAGAGTGGACCATGTGAGGACCCAGCGGCACGCTCAGCGGTCCCACTGTCCCACAGGAATGTCCACATGTAGCTAAGGTATTGGTGCTGGGGCTGTCTCTTTGGAAAGAATCCAAACAGTTCTAAAAGGTAGGTCAGTGCCTAGGTACCCATGAGCACTGCCCTCCCCCAGACCAGCCCTAACTCCTACAGACACAGAGCCCTGAAAAACGCTTCCTTGTGCTTTGAGTACTTTTTTTTTTTTTTTGATACAGAGTCTCTCTCTGTCACCCAGGCCTGAGTTCAGTGGCTCAATCTTGGCTCAATGAAACCTCCACCTCCCAGGTTCAAGCAATTCTCCTGCCTCAGCCTCCCAAGTAGCTGGGATTACAGATGCATGCCACCACACCAGGCTAATTTTTGTATTTTTAGTAAAGATGGGGTTTCACCATGTTGGCCAGGCTGGTCTCAAACTCCTGACCTCAAGTGATCTGCCCACCTTGGCCTCCCAAAGTGCTGGGATTACAGGCATGAGCCATCGTGCCCGGCCCTCCTTGTGCTCTCGAAATGGAGGTTTCCACAGTCATCTGGTGAGCTATTAAGCTGCTTGTGTTAGCTGTTCTTATGTTGCTATAAAGAAATACCTGAGGCTGGGTAATTTATAAAGAAAAGAGGTTTAATTGGCTCACAGTTCTGCATGCTGTACAAGCATGGCGGTGGCACCTGCTTGGCTTCTGGAAAGGCCTCTGGGAGTTTGTACTCATGACAGAAGGTGAAAAGGGAGCCACCACCTCACATGGTGAAAGCGAGAGCAAAAGAGTGTGAGTCGGTGGGCTAGGGGGTGCCAAACACATTTAAACAAGCAGATCGCGCCAGAATTCACTCACTATCATGGAAACAGCACAAAGCCATGGGGGATTTGCCTCCATGACCCAAACACCTACCACTGGACCCCACCTCCAACACTGGGGATTATATTTCAACATGAGATTTGGGCAGGGAAAAATATCCAAACTATATCACTGCCCCCAACTATGACTGAACCCTCCAGGTGCCGAGGGACCCAGAACCCAAGAAGCCTGGGTGGGTCCAGGGATAAACCAATGGTGGCCACATGCCCAGAGGGGCTGCCAGCCTCCTGCTCCCCTCGGGGTCACCGCCTCCTGCCCCTCACTAGCTCCCTTTTGGAAGAAGCACCAGGTAGCTCCTGTCTATGACAAAGGGGGTTGTTCATAGCTCAAATAGTATGGAAGGGGAATTTTCTTAAATTACATACAAGAAAATGAGAAGGAAAAGTTCCATGTGGCCAAAGGAATGTGACTCTGTGGGGAGGTGAGAGGACATTGAAAGGCTTGCTTACTAATTTTCCAGATGTGCATTGCATTTTCTCATTCATCTGTGTTTTCACCTACAGGATCTCATTTGATTCTCAAAGCAACCCTGTGAGGTCAGCCAGGCAGGTGTTTTGATTCCATTATATGAATGAGAAAACCGAAAGTTTTTAATATTATGTTATATTATATTATATTCTTATATTTCTTATGTCAATTTCTTAACTCCAAGCCTGATGACTTTCCCTTTGGAAATAAGACATCGTTGTGAGCACTTACTACATCCTAGGTGTTCTGCCTTCCCTTAAGCTATTGTGTCCAAGCCTCACATCATCTAAGTCAACTGAATGAGGGAAGTGCTCTTATTATTCCCATTTGACAGGTGAGAAGACAGACTCAGAAACACTGGGAGGAAGATTTCCCACAAACTGATATAAAATCTGAATTTCACAACATTATAATATCTTAAGGCTACTTGATTTCCAGAGGTGATCAAATTTCACCTGTCTTGAGCCAAAAATGCTCATAGGGATTCAAGAAGATTCACCACCTCCCCTGGCTACTCCACAAGGCCCCTCACAGATTCTAAATTTTAATTTCAGGAACCTCTATCTTTGATAGAGACACAACTATTAAAACCTGGAAAATCCCCCCAAAATTAGTCTTTAACAAGGGACTCCAGATTGACCCAAACCACATTCTTCCCAGGTCTACTCAGCAACTCAGGGACACTGTGCACATTTTGCACTAACAAGAATTCCATAACTCTAAATTAAGTTTAAGGTAAGACAAAGCATGGATCGATTGCTTTCCAAGTGGGATGCTCTCTCCTGGCATCCAGTGATCTCTGCAAGAGGCCCCTGCTTGTGCTTCAACAATGGCAGGAGTGCCAAATTCCAGGTGTATTTCCTGGGACTCAAGCCACATATCCAAGGATTCTCAAACCTGTGAGTGGATTGAGAGCAAACCTCAGGTGGCACATATTCCATTTCCCTTCAGAGAAGTCTAAGTGCTCCTGTCTGAAACCAGGCAGTTCCTTCTGAGCACCTCTTTCAAATAAATCCCTGGTCCCAGTGAACATTAGCCCAGGGTGAATCATTGTCAAGTACCCCAGCCAGGAGAGCACTTTCTATCTTGGAAAGGGAATAAAAAAAAAAATCTCAAAGATAATAAGAGCTGCCTAAGAAGATGTTTGTTCATTTAGTCCTGCCAGTCATGAGCTTCATTTGTCAGGGTTTTCAATTAGATCCCATCACACACAGTCCCCTCTCCAGTCAGCCCCAGACAACTTTTGTTTGCATTACACGGATGAATAAGGATGGACCTTTGCAGGCTTTCTTACCCTCTCTGCCTCCTGCCCTGCCTTTTTCCAGCATGCTGGAATCCTTCTCCCTTACCTGACCATAAAACCTAATTGCTCTTTGTCAAACATCTACCTTGCTTTTCTTTCTTTCTTTTTTAAACAGAGACAGGGTCTCGCTGTGTTGGCCAGGCTGATCTTGAACTACTGGCCTCAAGCAATATTCCTGCCTCACCCTCTCAAAGTGTGGGCATTACAGGTGTGAGCCTCCATGCCCGGCCTATGTTGCTTTTCCATGTGACTTTTTTTATAGTGCTGAAAAGAATTTCAATGTCCAAAATAAAACCCCAATTTTTGGAATGCTATTAACAGGGATGTGACACTGTCAACACTCTTGCTGGTAATAACACTGCAATCCCCCTTTTAAGTTTTGCTATTTATGACTGACGCAGAAAAGATGCAGTTTCAGTGTGGATTCCAGTGTGGTTCTGTGTGCCAAACTCATTGGCTGTCCCCTGAAATGCCCACAGTTGAGAGAGCCAATGTGCTGTGTGCCGAAGATTGCAGCAGCTGGGGAATTTGCTCTTGAAAAACTTCGCTGAAGAATTTAGTACAACGGTGAAGCAATGTTTTGGTTTTGTCACTGTTCAAAATTTGGCAGGACTTAGAGGCTGGAATGTGAAGTTATGGAGATATCATGTAAGATAAATTTCCAACCATGATATCTTTTTTTTTTTTTTTTTTTGAGATGGAGTCTCGCTCTGTCACCCAGGCTGAAGTGAAGTGGTGTGATCTCGGCTCACTGCAAACTCCGCTTCCTGGGTTCAAGCAATTCTCCTGCCTCAGCCTCCCAAGTAGCTGGGATTCTGCCACCATGCCGAGCTAATTTTTGTATTTTCAGTAAAGACAGGGTTTCACCATGTGGCCAGGCTGGTCTCGAACTCCTGACGTCAGGTGATCCACCCACCTTGGCCTCCCAAAGTGCTGGGATTATAAGCATGAGCCACTGTGCCTGGCCCATGATACCCATTTCTTGACCATCAGCTGAACAATCCACTTTTGATAATGCCAAATCCACAAGCCCTACATGTCACTTTCACTATGATATCCCTTACAACCTGCAATTCAGAAAAAAAAGTACTGACCTTCAACTTAGTTTCACATGGGGTCTGGGTTTTCTTCCCATTCTACCTGCTGATCATTTATAGGAAAGTGGGTAAATCACTTGACCACATTTCAGTGACCCATACGGCTGGAGCAGGACAAAATGAAGGACGGCAAGGTTAGAGGGGCAAGAAACATGATGTACATGTAGTCAGTTTTTGAGCTCTTTAAATATCTTGTAAAATATCTGACCTTGCAGACGGTAGAGGATCTTGCAATTTAATGCAAATCTGTAAATGCTTTTTAAAGAGAAGAATTCTTCTTGCACCATTATTAATTACCTTGAAAATAATGATTCCTAAATTTAGAGCCAATATATTGAGTTTTTTTTTTCCAAGTGGGTTACCAGTAAACATCTTTGGCTTACACCATATTGGGAACAGATGGCTGGATGTCAGACAAAAGGCCTGGACTGAGGTCAGAAGAGCTGCATTCAAGTCCCAGCTCTGCCACTCTCAAGCCGCGCGGGCTTGAAAGCGTCTTTTTCCTTCCCTTGACCTTGTTTGCCTCAGATGTAGGAAAGCGAGGCGAGGCTATCCATGCTTATAAGGTGTACGGCTTTTAGCGGTGCTGGGTTTTGAGTGCGGACTGTAGTGGACACTCTGGATCCCGTCACTGCCCCTATCTGTGCACTCCACATCTAACAGCCTGCATCTGGGGCTCACTTCTCAGGGCTGCCCTTGGACTACCAGAGCCATTTTGTACTCAAGCCCAAAGAACTGAAGTGTCCAGGAGTTTATACCCTCTCTCTTCTTAGCTGAAACCTAATTTGGGGGTGTTCAGCTCCCTTCCCCATGTCGGGACAAACTCAGAAGTAATTCCTCCCACAGAGCTCCACTATAGGGTCAGGCTGAGGCTGACACCCTCACCCAGCCTCTTCTTTCCCTATCCAGCTGTCTCACTCTTTTTTTAGTTTCTCCTGGGAAAATTTCTTTAATAAATCCTTGATCTGTTTCTGGGGAACCTGACATAATCACACATTTTCATAGGCAGAGCAAAACAATAATAATAATAGTAGAAGAGCTTTCTTCATCTGAGGTGCTATGTTACTGAAAAGTAAAGAGATTTGTACCTGAAACAAATAGACACAGACTCACAGCACCTAAGAGTCACTGAATCTCTCTGACTGGTGGATGAGATGTTCTTGTCAAGAATCTCATCTAATTTAAAACTCCACTTTCAAAGTGGTCCTGAAAAGACATCTGTGTGTCTTGAGCTTGGTAATCCCAACAAATGGGGGTGGTCGTAAGACATGGTGCATTGGGGTTGAAGTCTGCAGGTTAATCCAGGACAGAAACCGCAGAGAAGGAACAGTGCTCAAAGCCAACCTTCAATGTTGGCTGCATGAACAAAGGGACGTAGCCATGAAGCAGAGTATTACCTGGTTCCTTAACCAAATGCCCAGGCCCAGAGATGCGTTGAGTGTCAAATGGCCTTTCCCTCCTTTGTAGCCTGCACTGCCCTTCCATCTTCCTAGTTCCTTCCTTCCCTCCTGAACAAGTGTGAACAACTATGTGTCAAACATCAGTGAGGCCCAGTGGATATGAAGACCCTGTTCACAAGGGTCTATGGTCCAGGTAGGACCAGCAAGAATGTGCAATGGTGTATTAACCATGGTGTTTTCAATATCTCTGCAAATTATAAGGAGGCTACTGGCTATATCTAGAAAGCTAAAAATGTTCTCCTAGAGAAGTGGACGTTCGAGGTGAGATTTGAAAAATTCCGGCAGGGGACAGGATGCAGGCAGGAAGAGTGGGGCATTCCCTACAGAGGATCCTAAGAGCAAAAGCCAGAAACAGGAAGCTGCAGGAGCTGCCCCGAGGGTGACTCACTGTGGCCACAGTGAGCACCTGTTGGGGAGACAAGGTAGGAAGAAAGATATCAGTTAAGATCGGAGAGGGGCCAGGAGCGGTGACTTACACCTGAAACCCCAACACTCTGGGAGGCTGAGGCAGGAGGATTGCTTGAGCCCAGGAGTTCAAGACCAGCTTGGGTAACATAGCAAGACTCAGTCTCTACAAAAAGTAAAAATAAAAATAATTAGCTGGGCGGGCAGCATGTGCTTGTAGTTCCAGCTACTGGGGAGGCTGAGGCAGGAGGATTGCTTGAACCCAGGAGCTCTAGGCTACAAGGAACCATGGTCAGCCACTATACTTCATCTGGGGTGACAGAGCAAGACCCTGTCCCTATTGAAAAAAAGAAGAAAAAAAAGGAAAAAAGATTGGAAAAGGAAGCTACAGAGGAAACAACATAATATCCTTCCATGCACGGTAAGGAGTTTGAGCTTTATCCCGTGGGCAGGGAGGAGGGATGGATGGGAATGTCCTTCAAATACCTCCAAGGTCACTCATCTGGCTCCTCATCCCTCAGCCCCCAAACCCAGAAATGGTGGGTGCTCAGGGGGCTGCATACCTTTCCTGGAACTCCCTATTCTTGCCCCACCAATGACACCAGGGGAAGAGTCTGTGAATTTAAACCAGCTTTCAGCTCTGCTGCAGGGCCTTGAAGTTGCTTAATGAATAGGAACGCGATAACCTGTTCTCCACAAAAGGAGGAATTAAGAACTCATTTATATCAGTGACAGGGTAGAAAGAAAACAGCAATCTTACTCTGGCCAGATAATGGAGATACCAACCCCTGCTTTATGGAGTCTTAATTAGATCTCCTCGGTCCTCTTGTTTTTATTTCATGTTTGCCTTTTTAAAAAATTAAGGAAGAACAGCCATGATCTCCCACAACGCGAGTGCATATTTTATGGACAGGACATGGGTAATGAGACTGTGTTCTAACAATTCACGGGGGGTGGGTGAGTAGGGAGGGGAAGGTGGAATTTGTTTTGCCAACGGCACATGAATAATCACTTCTCATAATGAACTCTCATTCTAAAAGCACCACGAGCTACCTAAGGATGAGAAGGACCTGCTGCAGGAATCTCAACCAGAGTGGTTTCCAGGGTGAGGCGGGGAACAAAGGCAGGGAGAACCAGAACCACAATAAACGGTCATGAGAAGAAATTTCATGGGGGTCATTTTCACATTTCATGGCTTTTCCTTTTTGGAGCAAAAATGTGACCAACTCAGGAAATTTAGGAGTGAGACACTGTGATGTTGTGATCTGATGGATGGATGGATAGATAGATGGATGGATGGATAGATGGATGGATGGATAGATAGATAGATAGAATTGATAGGTAGATTGGTAGGTAGGTAGGTAGATAGCTGTAGATTTTCATCTACAGTTCCTGGCTCATAATCCCCATGGCCCTTGTTACAGTCTTTTGCTATAATGTTGGCTGTGTTAGGCCTCAAGAAACAGAATCTCCTGACCTTTCCTGGCCTCCTTTCACCTGTCCCAGGCAGGACTCGAATCTTCCCTCACCTTTCTGATTGTGGGTCTTAAGAGTCCCACCCCAGAGAAGGCCCTGTCCTATATCGTGGGGAAAGGAATGCTGACACCATGAAGATTCCATAGAAACCCAAGAGGACTGAGTTAGGAGCTTTCAAATGGCTGAACACGTGGAGGTTCCTGGGGGTGGGGCCCAGGGAAGGCAGGGAGGCTCCGCAACCCTTCCCCCATGCCTCACCCCACACACCTCTTCATCTGTATTTCTCATAATATCCTTTATAATAAACAGATAAGTGTTTCCCTGAGTTCTCTGAGCCACTCCAGCAAATTTGTCAACCCAAAGAGGGAGTCCTGGGCACCCCAGCTTGAAGCTGGTTGGTCAGAAATTCCGGAGGTCTGGGCTTGCGAGCGGTGTCTGGGGTGGGAGGGCATTCTTGGGGACTGAGCCCCCACACTGTGGTGTCTGACACTCTCTCTAGGTAGACAGTGTTGGAGTTGAATTTGAGGAAGCCCAGCTGGTAGCCACCACTTGGTGTGTGTGGGAAAAACCTGCACCTTTGGTCACAGAAGTCTTCTGTGTTGATGATTGTTGTTGGTGTGAAAGTAGAGGAGAAACTCAGTTTGAAAGGTTTTTTCAAAACAGGCACCCAAAAGGGAGCAAGGTGGAAGAGGTAAGTGCCATGCCCGGAACAGATGTCAGCACCAGGAGGCTTGAGTCTGGGTCCTAGCTCTGCTGTTGACTGGCTTGTGACACTGGGCAAGTTAGTTTCTCCGTCGGAGATTTGGTTTATTTGCCAGTAAAACACAACAAAATTAGATCCAGTGATCCCCTGGCCCCACCCAATTCCCTCAGGCTTTGAGAGTGAGAGAAAAAGTTAACACTCCGGGCAGGCGCAGTGGCTCAAGCCTGTAATCCCAGTGCTTTGGGAGGCTGAGGTGAGTGGATCATCCGAGGTCAGGAGTTTGAGACCAGCCTGGCCAACATGATGAGACCCCACCTCTACTAAAAATACAAAAATTAGCTGGGTGTGGTGGTGCATGCCTGTAGTCCCAGCTACTTGAGAGGTAAGGCAGGAGAATTGGACGAACCCAGGAGGCAGAGGTTGCAGTGAGCCACAATCGCACCACTGCACTCCAGCCTGGCGACAGAGCAAGATTCCATCTAAAAAAAAAAAAGTTAACACCCCAGAGTCAATCTAGAGGCGAGGAGGGAGCCCTAGCCCAAGGTGGAAAAAGCATTTCCCCTGAAGGGCTCCACTGGCTTCAGGTGACATCAAAGTAAAGTCAAGAGATTTCACCTAAACTCTCAAAGACATGTAAGCCAGCCTGGACAAGAGTTCTGCAAATCCCTCCCAGGAGAAATCTAACACTGTAAAGTTGGTTTTGTGCCAGGGAGACTCTAAATAGCAGTTTCAGTTGAGTTTCAGTTTTCTGAAAACAAGCTTGGTGGACTGCTATTCCTCATCAATCCACCCAAGATAAGTACTCACATCTTCCTTCTTGGGCAGCTCCACTCTCTTCGCTCATTGCTCTCCACTGGTTTCCGTGTGCACCTTCTCCATTTCCATGGGTGTGTGGCTGTGCCAGGGCCATTCGGAGCCAGAGTCCAGCCCAGGCAGCAGACACCACGGCAATAAGACACACAGACGTCAGGATCTGTGGGATTCAGCAAATAGAAAACAAGGCCAGAAAAATAGAGACAAAAATCAAATTGCTGGGCATGGTGGCTCATGCCTGTAATCCCAGCACTTTGGGAGGCCGAGGCTGGTGGATCACGAGGTCAGGAGATCGAAACCATCCTGGCTAACATGGGGAAACTCCATCTCTACCAAAAATACAAAAAATTAGCTGGGCGTGGTGGCGGGCACCTGTAGTCCCAGCTACTCGGGAGGCTGAGGCAGGAGAATGGTGTGAACCTGGGAGGCAGAGCTTGCAGTGAGCCAAGATCGTGCCACTGCACTCCAGCCTGGGTGACAAAGCGAGACTCTGTATCACAAAAAAAAAAAAAAAAAAAAAAAAAAAATTCAAGTCATCTTGTCAGAGACGTAAGCTTCCAGATGTTTCCAGAAGGAAATAGCAAACCGCAGCTGGTGGGCCAAATCCAGTCCATTGCACACTTTGCAAATACAATTTTATTGGAAAACAGCCACACCCATACATTCATGTATTGTCTGTGGCTGCTTTTGCACTAAAACAGCAGAACAGAGTAGCTGCAACAGGAACCATAAGGCTCATAAAACTCAAATGATTTACTGCCTGGCCCTTTACAGAAACGCTTGCCGACTGGTGGCTTTGAGTGTGATCCAGCATGCGTAAGCAGCTGACCTGCTTTATATAGAGTGGTGGACGCTCCCGGTCTCCCTCCTTGACCCCCAGGCAGAGCTTCCTTCAGGAGGCTGGCACTCTGATCAGGGCAAGTCCAGGCAAAGCAGCAGCCCCAGGCCTCCTCCCCACCCCGACCCCACCCCCGGGAATGGAGAGAATGCCCTACTTCCTCCCAGATCCACTGGAGGCCAGGAAGATGATGGCAAAGGAGAAAGCCACCAGGCCTCTTCAGGAGGAAGGACTGCCAGTGAAGCTCTCCCCTGCACTGTGGACAGGGCTCTAGCTCCACTGCTGTGGAAGAATTGGCCCCTTTCCTTTTCTCCATCACTCCCATTGTGCCTGCTCTTTCCCAGGCCTGGCCAGGAGAGGACTTCCGCATCCCTGGGCCTTATTTTAGAAGTCACCCCATGCTCAGCCACCATCTCGGGCATGACCCTTCCCGAAGACAGGACTTTTGTCAGCCCGTCATCTTGTTTGATCAACATAGGCACTTGAATTCTCAAAGAAGCCACATTGATCATGCACTTGCTAAATGGCTGCTAAGCGCCCACCGTGTGCTGGCTGCTGTGCTCAGCACGAGGGAAAGAAAGAGGTAGGACTTAGGCTCTGACTCCAAGCCTGCTGCCCACAGTCCACCATCCTGCAGCCCCCATCAAATGTCCTGCTGATCCTCCTCAAGCGGGAGTGTCAGAAATCCCTGATCCCAGACCATGCGATCTATTTAGGATTTTAATTTATGACTATTGTAACTGACTATTGGTAAATTACAACTCTCCTATTGCCAAAAGACTTAAAAGTGGATAGTAAATCTGTTAAGAAATTACATACCTATATTTACATATTTTCATATTTTTAAAAAGAGCAGATACAGAATCAGCTGCATTGGTTCAAATGTGTGTGAGGGCAACCTCAGGTTTTGGGACATCCTCAGAGATTTGTGGAGAGGAACCCTGATGAGAGCTGCAGAGGCTGTGATGCAGCTCATGGGCATGAATATTCCTGTCCATGAAGGAGTCTGCTCACCAAGCCAGCTCCCATGCAGGCAGAGTGAGGGGGCATAAGTCTCAATGGAATAAGCATTTGGGCAGGCACAGAGCAGAGGGGAAAGGAGAGAGACTGCTATGTGTTAGGTGGTGGAGACACAGTCAGGATGGGAAGGCTGTTGCCCAGCCTGAGCTATGAATGTTGATTATTTATTTATTTATTTATTTATTTATTTATTTTAGAAATAAGAACCAAATGACAGCCTCCTGATCCTCTCCAGAAAGGTGCCCAAGGTGAGATCTGGATATCCAGGGATTCATCCAGGGACGTGAAGATGAGCCCAGCAAAGGTATGAGAAAGTTTCTCTCTTAGGGAGCTCTTCTTTCTGGCCAGGCCCTAATTGTAATTTACGGAATGTTTCTTTCATAAAAAGAGAAGTCACTGACTGAAATAGCTGCTTTTGCTTGCAAGTCTCTGTGAGAATTCTCCAAGGTCTCTTTCCCTTTCTTTGCCCTCTGGGAGCACAGATCAAGTACGCACTAGAAGAATCTATTTGAAGCACTCCCTTCAGCAGGTTAACCAGTTGTTGCATTAGAAATATACCTATAGCAGCAAAACAAAATGTTTGGATTGGGTCTGATGTGATTATTTATTCCAGGAACAAGTCATATGTATGATTCTCACCATTTTAATAATGGGTTGACATCATTTCTGGCTAAATGGGGATTATCCAGCCATTAACTAAAGCTAAGCCGGTGGCTTCCATAGAGGGGCCTTTTCCTCCTGCAGCCTGGGCTCCAGGGAGGAACACCTGGACCTGGCTGCAGGTGCGTGAGCTTCCAGATGGAAACAGACTCTGTCTCTGCATACGAAAAACTCCCTTTACCCATGCTTTTCCTCTGCTCTCACACCAGAAGAACAATCATCAACGCAGAGGAAGATTCCTGAGACTAAATGTGGGGGCAGGGGGTGTTTCCACACACACCAAGCAGTGGACACAAGTTGGGGTCCTCTAATCCAGTTTTGACGCTGTCTACTCAGAGGTAGCATCAGATCCCACAGGCTAGGGGCTCAATTGCCAAGACTGCCCACCCCTCCCTGCTCGCAAGTCCAGGCTTCCGGAACTCCTGGCCAACCTGTTTCGAGTTGGGGTTCCCATGACTCCCTCACTGGGTTGGATTCATTTGCTGGAGTGGCTCACAGAACTCAGGGAGACACTTACTTACATTTACCAGTTTATTATAAAGGATTTTGCAAAGGATACTGATGGAGAGACATGAGGGTGAGGTGTGGGGAAAGGGGTGCAGGGCCTCCATGCCCTCCCTGGGCATCACCGTCCAGGAACCTCATATGTTGGGAAGCTTTCCTAACTCAATCCTCCTGGGTTTTTATGAAAGCTTCATGTCATCAGCGTTCCTTCCCTCGGGGTATATAGGATGGAGGCTTCTCAGGGGAGCACCTTAAGACCCACAGTCAGAAAGGCAGGGAAGAGTGAATTCTGCCTTGGGGCAGGTGAAAGGAGGGCAGGAGAGAGGTTCTGTTTCCTGAGGCCTAACACAGCCGCCATTACAACAAAAGACTCTAACAAGAGATGTGGGAGTTATTGATCGGGAACAGGGGGTGAAAACCCATATATAGGTTAGATAGGTGATACAGATGCAGATGATGATACAGAGACAGAGACAGATATAGAGATATCATAACATCACATGCTCAAAGAGGTCCTGTGCTCTCTCAGCCCCCCAGGCCTCTGCCTGTGCTATTCCTTCTGCCTGAGGGTCCCCTCCTGACTCCCCCGTTTCTCCACACTTTGCCTGGCTTAGGACCCACGCCTTCATTCACAGCTCAGACCTCAGCTCCTCTCCGAGCTCTTCCTGGCCTCCTACAGACAGAGGGATGGGCACACTCTTCTGGACTGGACTGGCCCTTGCCCAAGTCCCCATTAGAGCCTGTAGGTGATTTCTCCCACCAGACCAAGTGGCCCAAGGATGCTGGATCACATCTGTCTTCACATCTTCAACAGGGACATTAGGCAATCAGAAATAAGAGATTTGAGCCCTAGCCGGCAGACACCTCTTGCATCTGTGGTCACAGGTCTGGGGTTCCTTGCAGGGAAGCCTCCTGGAGCAGGATGGCTGGCAGATCCCTGGGGGTATGTCCCGGGCAGAGCCCAGTCAGGTACACAAGATAGAATCAGGGAAGGCTGCAGTCCTGGGAATGACTTTCCCCAGGCATGCACTGTCTTCTCCTCATCCTCTCCGCCATTCCACATCATTGCCCCCTTATCTCTCTGCACCCAGATCCCAACAGAGTTAGAATCTGCACCGCAGATCAGGAGCTACTGCTTCCAGTTCCCAACAGAGGGGCTAACTCAGAATCTCAACAACTGTCAGAGCCAGAAAGGCTGAAAGATCACCTGGTCCAGGGCTTCCAGCTGTGTTCAGCAGGATGGGGTGGGATAGGATCCTCGGAGTGGGATGGAGATGCCCCTCGAGCCACCTAGTGTGCACATCTGAGGGGAGGTTCTCAATCAGGGGTCTCTGGACCACTTCAACCTCTCCCCTTTTGAGAGCAGTTTTACTTTTGATTTGATCTGTAATAGCCATAAAGTTGCCTTCCACATGAAATAACTTTTTAAAAAATTATTAGAGATAAATAAAACAAGACAGAAAACCTCGAGGACTAGAATAAGAAAGTGATTTGTCCAAGGTCATAAGATGAGTAAACATCACATCCAGGACTAAACTTAGTAATTTCACCCCCCTGCACACTATCCTGTCCCATCAGCCACACTCTGGTAGCAACAACACTGTTTCCAAACCCATTCACACTTCCAGATTCTGGTCAAAGCAAAGTTTCTAGGCAAACACCCAGAGGCATAAGCAGATGATGGCAGTTTTGTCTCCATGTTTAAGTGGAGCTGACTCTACAGATGAATCCTCCGCATCCAAACATGTGATCACTTAACCACACTGCTGCTCAAGACCCGAGATGTTCTTAACTCTGCAGTCATAGGGAGAATGAGCCAGTGATCTGGGCAGGGCCTGTCTGGAGTGAAGAAGGGGCAGGCAGTTACCCAGGGAGTCAAGGCACTGAAGGTCACCTGGGTCCCATCTACCCCTGGCCATCACCTTCTGGTGTGACACAGAGCCCCCAGTGCCATGGTCCAATGAGGAATCCATCAGAGCTGTACAGGCAGAGCTGGGCTGATGGCCAAGAGATGGCTCTTAAGAAGGGGCCCAGTGTCCTTGCAGTGGGACAGAAGGAGCTCCTGTTGGTCTGAACATCCAATGATTATGAAAGGAGGGAGTAAGAAGGGCAGGGAAACACAAATTCAAATGCAGTCTGAAACCTGGCATCAAGTGACCATGGTGTTATGATTCCACAGAACTTTACTTAGCAGCTGCCAGACCTAGGAACACTGTCCCCAAGGTTTCACACTTCTATCCAAAACTAACAAATCCTGTGACTATATAAGCCAGGCCCAACATTGTAATGTAGATAGTAGTCTTATCTTTATTTTACAGATGAAGAAACTGAGGCCTAAAAATGTAGGCAGAGTCACTCAGATAGAGCAAACCTAGTTGATGTTCCTTGGGAATGCAGAGAGACACAGCAGAGAACCTGCTGCCATATCACCATCTACTCAATAAAGAGGAACTTTCTGGTGATAGGGATTGGGAATAGGAGGCTGTTGGATTAGAATTTTGAGCCAGGCAACTGTGGCAGGTACTAGGTTGGAAATTGTCCCACCCTATGAAACCGCTTTCACCACACATTCAATCCTTTCATAAAGGGTTACCGGCCACCCACCATTGACGCCAGGCACTCTCCTAGAAATCGGCTGCACAGCAATGAGCACATCTGCCATGGTCTATGCGTTCACAGAGAAAAGTCTGGAAGCTTTGTCCTGTGCCTCACACTAGCGACACTCCTAGAGCAGACCTCCAGCTCCCATGTCACGCATGACTAGGGTCTCAACAGTGCATCACAATTTCATTTTACTCCCTGCATCTCAATTCTCCCTGAATCCTCTTGCACTCAGACTCCTCTGAGCTCAGTTTGCTGTGTATGTCCCCCTGTGACCCACTAGACCTGAGGCTCTGCCCCACTTCCCTGGGCCGCCCTGACCAGCAGCTGATGGCAAACATGCAGCATGGACCAGACCCACCCAGCCTTGCACCCCATAAGAAGTGCTTTTTGATGTTAGCTGCAGCAGGACCCACACCCCATCCACGTGGGGCTGGCTAATGAAGAAAGGTTATCAAATAGCCAGGACCTACCCACACCCCCGGAGGGACTGAGGTGTTAATATCACTGACCAGTTGTATTCATTCGATCATTCATTCATCAGCAACAAATATTTGTTGATGATGACTATGAGCACTGTTCTAGGTGCTTATTCATCTCTGAGTAAAATAGACAAAGATCTCTGCCTTGCAGAGTTTCAACCTAGCGAAAAGAGAAAGGAAACAATAGACATAATAAATACACACAAGCATGAGAAAACAGTGATAAGAACTATTGAAAAAAAGAAAAGGTAATGCAGGATAAGGAGCATAGGGGGCGCTATGAATGGGGTGGTCAGGGCAGAGCTGATGAAAAGGAATTGAACACACATCTTAAGAAGGTGAGGGGGAGTCCAAGAAGGTACCTGGAGAAGAATGTTCCAGGCAGAGGGAGCAAGAGGAGCAGAGGCCCTCAGCCTGTTTGCAGAGGAGCGGCCGGGCCAGTGTGGTGGAGTGAGCAGGGGAGGGAAGGCAGGAGTAAGAATAACCAAGAGTCAGATTTCCATGTAAGACCCAGTAAGCTATTGCTCATATTCCATTCTTTTACCCTGGGGCCATCAGAGCCATCAGGTTTTGACTTGTGAAGTGATATGACATAAAAGCCGTTGCCCTATAGGGCACAAGGGTCAATAATGATGGTGGCCTGGGCCAGGCGGGTAGCAGTGGAGATGCTGAGAAATTGATTAGCATCTGACTTATTTTGAAGGTACAGCCAGTAGAATTCCCTAATAGATTGATAGCTTAAAGAAAGGGAGGAGTCAATGTTAACATTCAGACTTTTGGCCTGTAAAATTAAATAATTCAAACTTAAAGTGGTTGGAACTTATTTTGAGCCTTGAGAGGAATGTGGCTATGTGGCCTGGGCCCCACAGCGTGAAGTTGCAACTTCTGCTTTTTCCCGTAAAAGATTAGAGAAGGTCTTGTGGCACCAGAGATAAGACCCCCTCAGATCATCACCCCTCCTCACAGAATGTTAAAGCATTCCTTGGAATGTAGCAAGCTGTAACCAATCAAATTGCTATGACATTGTAC
This sequence comes from Homo sapiens, assembly GCF_000001405.40. Taxonomy (NCBI): domain Eukaryota; kingdom Metazoa; phylum Chordata; class Mammalia; order Primates; family Hominidae; genus Homo; species Homo sapiens. Next base: position 40,990,937 of record NC_000008.11, read on the forward strand.
TGACCTTGCCCGGGAGATATTGCAACCCTTTTCAATCTCTCTGTCTCCGCCTGTGTAAGTGAAACCATAACTTCACTCTGGAATGCTGACCCATTTTCTTGGAGTCTGTGTTTCGCATATGGCTATCCTTAAGATTGGCACTCTAATAAACTATATAGTTCATCCTATTTTCTGAATCTCATTATTTAAGATTGACAGGCCAGAGCAACTGTAAGGATGGAGTTACCATAAAGAGAGATGGGAAAGGCAGCCAGTGGCACAAGTTTGAAGTGGGAAGACGACAGTGAAGCTTTGTTCACGTAGAGTTTGCCACATTTGTGGGCTACCAAACGAAAACGTGAGAAAGCAATGGAGATATGAGTGTGGGGTCTAACAAAGGGGCGTGAGGCCTGGAGAAGGAGGTTGGGAGTCATTGATGTAGAGACTATCATTAAAGCCACTCTACACGTAAGATCACTCAATAATAGGTGAGCGTATTGGAGAAGAGGAGAGGTCTACAAGCTGCACCTCAGGGAGGAACTAGCAAAGGAGCCCTTGAGGGAGAGAGGAGTGAGGTAAGAGGAGCAGCCAGCGAGTGTGCTGTCCTGGAAAGAGAAAAAAGTGCATCCTGGAGGAGGAGGCCATCAGCTGGGTCAAGTGCTGCTGACAGGTGCTGGAAATTGAGAACTGAGAATTGACCACCGGATTTAACTATGTAGAGGTCACTGGTGACATGAAGAGCCATTTCAGCAGAACTGTGGAGGCGTGTCAGCCTGACTGGAGAGGGTTCCAGTGGGAGGAAAGAAGTTTTGTTGCAAATACAAGCAAAGATTTGGAGGGAAATCTAGTAGAAGTGGGATCAACACACATTTGTTTTTATTGTCTTTTTTTATCTTTTTATTTTATTTCTTAATTTTTTATGGTTTTTTTGTCAATCTTGCTCCTTCTCTACTTTTTTTTAAAAAGTGAGAAAAATAACAGCATGTTTGTTTGCCAATTGAAATAATCTGGGGTAATCGTTCATGAGGGGGAGAGAGGGGAGCATTTCTGGGGCCCTGAGCAGGGTTCCTCACTACATGGGCGTGCACAGGAGTGGGGACAGCTCCTCCATGGTGACAGGCTGGAGGCCGCGAGGGACAGATGTGGTGGCCAGCAGAGTCTTTGGAAGTTTCCTTCCAGCTGCTTCAATTTTCCCATTGAAATAGGATGTGAGAGGAGTTTGGCTGTGTGAGGAGAGAGGAAAATTTTCTTAGACATGTAGAAAACAAGGAAAGTGACTCAATCAGGAAAATATAGCAGGATTGCCTGGAGATGGTGAGGTCCATTGAAGTTCAGAGGTTGTGATTGTCGAATGGGACCAGTTCTCACGATGTGTCTTTTTTTCCCACCTTGAGAAAAGGGTAGGAGCTCTCCACTGCTTGGGGTGGGGGCACCTGAGGCTGGATTTCCTGAGACTCCCTGGGCCTTCGGGTGTCAAAATTTTCATTGCTACTGCCAGGCATTTTAGGGGCCAAAAATAAAAACCAACTGATGCTGTCACATTGGACCTGCCTAGCTTCTGAATCCCTGTTACTCATTCTCTTGGGTTGAGGATTTGAAAGCAACAGGCTTGGAATTCAAGGAGCTACGTTTGCATCCCTAGGCACAGCACTGTGAGAAAAGGGGCCCTCTATTAGCATTACTCCACAGAAATGGCTTCTGAGGAAAGCCCGTGGAAGCAATATTTGGCAGGGCTCCTCGATCCATACTTCAGCCGGGAGTAACTGGCTCATGCCCAGCCAGGAGCCCAAATCCCCAACTCCTGCGGCTGTGCCTCTCTGTTAGTGCAGAGTGGCTGGTTTCCCTGCCTTTACTGTTGGCTTCCAGGCAGATTTCCTCCCAGCTGTCTCCTCCCCTATTTGTGTAATTGACATGAGTCATTTGGGTGATTTCTGCCTTTAATCTGAGAGGGCCTCTGTGGTCATCTGTGTTGCACAGCTCAAAAATTCCAGGAACAGAACCTCTCCTGTTAGATTTCTGTTAGTGCACAGTGGGTTGTGATCAGGTGAGCGGGTGCCAGGGACCATGACAATGGCATGAGGGGGACAGGCAGCAGTTGTGAGGGAACTCTGTCATCTTCATTGTACACCTGTTTATCTGCAAGCTCATTGCCTTCGTGTGAGGTTTCAAATCACTATCATGACTGCAAATTGACTTAAGAATTTAAAACATAAAACACAAAGAGTGAGAAAAGTGCTCACCAAAATATTGTTTTAATGGTAATTATAAGAGTTTTCTGATGTGTGACGTGTTTCGTTGCCTTTTCTAATGTCTTTTTGGCTGGAAGTAAAGAAAGGCTCAGAAGCAGAGACTCCCAGCATCTCCTTAATTTTCTATCTCCTCTGAAATATGACTCCTCTGTATTTTTGTTTAGGAAGCATTTCTAGGAACAATTTTCAGCAATTAGGAAGGAAGCAACCCGCAGAGCCCTGGCGTCAGGACTCAGGGAAAATATCCTGAGGTCTGGATGAGAGCAGGCACCTGCAACTGTGTGAGCTGGGCAGCGCTCGCTGACACAGAATCTATCCAGACCCTGTTCCTGAACCTCACTTTACAAACACAAAGGAATGATAGAAAAGCCATTCCCAGTTTTCCGAATTACTGAAAACAAGGCAATATCGAAATATTAACTACAAACAGTGAAGAAAACAATTGTATGGAAGGCTTTCTGCCTGTATCTACCTACATTCAAAAGTTGTTTCTTTCACCTCTCCCTGCCACATCCTCCCCGGAGTTCTAACGTTATTATTATGGCTGGTCCATGGTAACGAGCTATTAAAAGGGTTAAAGCTTTATTTGTTTGAGTTTCTTTTCCTATATAGAAAAAGCAATAAACATTACCAGGAATGTATCCTGAGCACACATTCTCTCTAATGCATTAACAAAAGCAATCAATATAAATGACATTTGTCAAGGAACCTAATTCTGTGAACCCACGCCATTCAGGTGCTCCTTTTCCAGGCAAAACCTGCCACCATGTGGAAGACGGTGGCATTGCAGCCCCTTGTCCAAAAATCTCGCTTCCACAAGGACAAAGGGACGTTCTGAGCCAAAACACAAAGTCAAAACACAGCAAAGGGCTCCTCAAAACGATGATCAGCAAGAAACCATTCTCTGTCTACTTTCTCAGCTTGCACCATCAAAGGGATATCAAGAATTCGCCGTTTACTTCGGTTGAAAAATCAAGTCCCGGGCTCAGAGTCCCCCTGCCCTAGATAATTCCTCTTGATAAAAGAACCATAGATTATCAGAAGGGAACTTACAGATTACCCGGTTCCTTCTTCTTCTTCTTTTTTTTTTTTTTTTAACAAACAAAAGGGAAAGGAAAAGCAACAGGATGGTGGGGATGTTTACCACTTCTTGTGCTGTGTTCTCTCTATATATAAGTAATAGACAAAGGAGGTAACGTCTCCGGAGACCCTATCTGGAAGGTAGCAGGGTAGTTCCCTCTGTAGGGGGGCTCTGCCACTGCTGCGATCACCTCCAAGCCCCCTTTCAGATCAGCTAGGAGAGGCACCATAGACAGGCCAGAGTTGTCTCTGAGGAAATGAGGGATGGGCCAGCACAGGCCGTGCAGGACGGAACCCGAGTCCCAAGTGAAAAAGCTGAGGGAAAGGTTCTGCAGGGAACCTGCAGGAAATATGGGAGAACCCTGTGAGGTCAAGTGGACACACTTCTGCACATGCCTCCCGACCACCTGGCTTGGTGGTCCACTTTTGGGGTGGCTGGCACTCTTCCTGCAGTACAAAGAATCAGGGTGGTGGCCCCGAGACAGCCCTGGTGGATGAGGATCAGATGAAAGAGACACAGTCCCGCTCCTGGTTTCTCAGAGCACCCTCAATTTCCTCTCCTACAGCGCATGCCAGTGAGAATTATACTTATCTGTTGCTTCCCCATTTGCCCCCGTAGATTATGTGCCTCTTAAAGGAAGGAACTGTATCTCTTCCATCTCTGCATCCTTAGAGCCTAACACAGACCCTGATAAATAACAGGCACCTAATAAATGTTAAATAAAAGGGAAAAAAAAAAGACAGAGGGAGGAAGGACAAAAGGCCCGAGGGAGGGAGGGAAGCCGAGACTAGACTTATGACTGCTGCAGGAACGTTGCTGATGAATGCAGCAGACCCTCAGGTGATTAATTTTAGAAAGTGTTTGTCCCCAGACACATGACAACAGTTCACCCCACGCTGCTTTCCTTGCCAATCAGCAAGGCAAAACCTCAGGACACTTTCTCTTCCCTGACATAACACCCCTGGTAGGCTGGGCTTTTGTGGTGATTTTGTTCTTTTAATTTTTAACATTATTTTCTAAAAATTTCAAATCTACCAAAAAAAAGAAAAGAAGAGAATAGAAAGGCCAGGCACTGACACACCTGTAATCTCAGCACTTTGTGAGGCTGAGGTGATAGGATAGCTTGAGGCCAGGAGTTCGAGACCAGCCTGGGCAACATGGCAAGACTTCATCTCTACACACTAAGTACAAAAAGTAGCCAGGCATGATGGCACACACTACTCAGGAGGCTGAGGTGAGAGGATCACTTGAGCCCGGGAGGTCAAGGCTGCAGTGAGCTGAGATCATGCCACTGCACTCCAGAACAGGAAACAGAGAAAGACTCCGTCTCAAAAACAAAAAAAAAAATGCAAGACCACCAGCATGTCATTCATGGAAATCCACCCTTTTATTAGGATCAAGTTTATCCTTCCTGTATTTCTTCTTTGCAAAAATTAGCAAATGTACACACACACACACACACACACACGATTTAGTTTCCCCGTGTTTCTTACACAAAAGTTAATAAAACATATGCAACTTTCACATTTTTCTTTTTTCTGCTAATGATATATCTTGAAGAAGACTCGGTGTTCTTTCAGAGAAATCTTCCTCATTTCCATGATGGTGTCAACAGTCTCCCATTATGTGGATAAGCCACAGTTTACTCAACCAGTCTCCTATGGATTGGCTTTTAGTTCATTTCCAACAGTTTGTCATTACAAATAATTCCAGTAATAAATAACTTTATGCGTAGCAGATTGTTTTAAACGTGTGATGAGTAAAGATACATTTTCAGAGAGAATTCTTAGAAGTGGGGTTGCTGGTCAAACTGTAAATGCTATTTTCTGTTTGCTGTTTTCCAATTTCCCGTCCTAGGACCTGTCCTATTTCGCAGGCTCATCAGCCCTGTATGACAGGGCCGGTTTCCCCACAGCCTTGCCAAAGGAGTGCTTTTAAAAAATCTTTCGCATGTTTGCCAAATCCATAGGTGAGAAATGATATCCCCACGCAGTTTTAATTTGCATTCTTCTTTTTACCGTGAAGTTGTATATCTTTTATAAGCTTAGAGGTCACTTATTTATGATTTTTGTGAACTCTTTGTTCATTATTTTTCTCATTTTTCTATCGGGATTTTAATCTTTTATTTCCCTCAATTTCTTTTTTTTCTTTTTCTTTTTTTTTTCGTGTGTGTGTGTGAGAGAGAGAGAAAAAAAAAAAGAGAAAGAGAGAGAGGTTCGTACTCTGTTGCCCAGGCTGGAGTGCAATGATGCAACCACTGCTCACTGCAGCCTGGAACTCCTGCACTCAAGCAACTCTGCCACCTCAGCCTCCTGAGTAGCTGGGACTACATGTATGTGCCACCACACCCAGCTAACTTTTGTATTTTTCGTAGAGATGGTGTCTTGCTATGTTGCCCAAGCTGGTCTGCTAGCCTCAAGTGATCCTCCCCGCTCAACCTCCCAAAGGGTTGGGATTAGAGGCATAAGCCATCATCCCTGTCCATATGATCCATTTTGAGCTAATTTTTGTCGATGGTGTAAGTAAGGGGTCCAACTTTATTCTTCTGCATGTGGATACCCAATTGCCCTAACCCCGTTTGTTTAAAACACTGTTCTTTCCCCCGCTGAATTATCTTAGCATCCTTGTCAAAACTCAATTGACTATAAATTTATGGATTTATTTCTGAGTCCTCAGTTATTTTCTACTAGTCTATGTTTGTCTTTATGCAAGTACTACACTATGGATTACTGTAGTTTTGTATAAGTTTAGAAATTTGGATGCGAGTCTTCCAACTATGTTCTTCTTTTTCAAAATTGTTTTGGCTACTCTGGGTTCCTTGCATATCCATATGAACACGAGGATCACTTCATTAATTTCTGCAAAGAAGCCAGTGTATTTTGAGAGGTATGTGTTGAATCTGTAGATCAATTTAGGTAGTATTGCTATCTTAGCAATATTAAGTTTTCCAATCCACAAACACAGGATATCTTTCTGTTTAATTTCTTTTTTCTTTTTTTTTTTTTTTTTTTGTTTTGAGACAGAATCTTGCTGTGTCCCCCAGGCTGGAGTGCAGTGGCGCAATCTCAGCTCACTGCAAGCTCCGCCTCCCGGGTTCACACCATTCTCCTGCCTCTGCCTCCCAAGTAGTTGGGACTACAGGCGCCCGCCACCATGCCTCGCTAATTTTTGTTGTATTTTTAGTAGAGACGGGGTTTCACCTGTGTTAGCCAGGATGGGCTCAATCTCCTTACCTCGTGATCTGCCTGCCTCTGCCTCCCAAAGTGCTGGGATTACAGGTGTGAGCCACCATGCCCAGACTTCTATTTAATTTCTTTTAAGAATACTTCCTGATTTTCAATGTACAAGCCTTACACACCTTTTGTAAATTTGTTTCTAAGTATTTTATTATTTTCAATGCAACTGTAAATGAAATAGCTGCCTTAATTTCATTTTCAGATTGTTCACGGTCGGTGTATATAAATACAATTGATTTTTGTATGCTCATGTTATTAGTTTTCTATTGCTGCTGTACAAATTACCACTAACTTGGGGCTTTAAATAATGCAAATGTATTATCTGACAGTTCTACAGGTCAAGGGTCCAATATGGTCTCATCGGTGGCAGAAGGGCTACATTTCTCTCTGGAGGCTGTCAGGGAGAAACTCTTGTTTTACCTTTTTCAGTCTCTGGATTCTTGGTTTATGGTCCCTTCCTCCCTCCACATAAGGTCACACCTTGCCATGTTCCATCACTCTGACCTCCTCCACTGCCTCCATCCTCCACTTGGAAGGACCCTCATCTCTACATTGGATCTCCTGATAATCCAAGGCAATCTCCCTATGTTAAAAATCATCTGATTAGCAGTCTTAATTCAACTCTGCAACCTTCAATCCCCTTGGACATGTAACCTGACATATTCACAGGTTCTGAGATTAGGTCATGGACATCTCTGGGACTGGGGGAGCATCATTCTGCCTATGACATTGATCTTGCATCCTGAAACACTGATGAACACATTTATTAGTGCTAATATTTTTTGTGTATTCCTTAGAAATTTTTGTACAAGATCATATCATCTATAAATAGGTTAGTTTTACTTCTTTTTTTTCAATCTGGATAGATTTTATTTCTTTTTCTTGCCTAATAGCTTTGGCTAGAATTTTCATTACAATATTCAAAAGAGGTGATGAGAGTAGACATCTTTGTCTTGTTCCTGATCATAGGAGAAAAGCATTCCATCTTTCACCTTCAAGTATGAGATGAGGTGTGGTTTTTATACAGATGGCCTTTATTTGGTTGTGAAAGTTCCCTCCGTTTCCTAGTTCATTGAGTATTTTCATCCTGAAAATGTGTTGAATTTTGTGAAATAATTTTTCTGTGTCTATTGAGGTGATCAGTGGGATTTGTTCTTTATTCAATATTGATTTATCATTTTCTGTCATGTTTTTGTCTGGTTACAGTTTCAGGATAATACTGGCCTCATTAAATGAGTTGGAAAGAGTTCTCTCCTCTTTTATTTCTTGGAAGACTTTGTGAATGATTGGTGTCAATTTTTAAAAAAATGTTAGGTAGAATTTTCCAGTAATGCCACCTTGACTTGGACTTTTCTTTGCAAGAAGTTTTTAAATTACCAATTCAATCACTTTATTTGTTATAGGTATGTTTGATTCTGTATTCTTTTTTAGGTTAGTTTTGGTCATTTTTGTATTTCTAGAAATTTGTTCATTTACTTCTGGATTATCTAATTTGTTGGCAACAGTTTTTCAAACTGTTTGTATGTAATATTTTTTATTTCTGTAATGTTGATGGTGATGTTCCTTATTTTTTTTATTTTTTAGAAATTCTACAATTTTGATTTGTAGTTCCCACTTTGTCCTAAATGTGCTTGTATATAAAGTTCTTTGTTTGTTTGTTTGTTTGTTTGTTTGTTTTAATTGGCAGGCAGAAGGCTCTTCTACACTTTTGATTTTGTTATTCAATTTTGTGGCATTGTGATTAGAGTATGTTATTTATGTTAGTTCTACTTCGTGGTATTTATTGAGGTTTACTTGTGATTTAATATATAGCCAATCCTTGTGAATGTTCTATGTATGCTTGAGAAGAATGTGTATTTCTATGAGTGGTGTCAAGTTTGATGTAGAGCTGTTAGGTCCACCTTATTAAGTTATATCATACCTCAGCTAACATTGTGTCCACATGGTCTGTCTTGGACTAAATGTTAAAGTCTCATGCCAATAGCATGCTTCTATTTCTCCCTGTGTCTCTTGTTGCTGCTTTAAGGGGTTAGTTGCTCTGTTATTTGGGTAGGTATTCAGGACTGACATATCTTTATTGTAAATTGTAGCCTTTAGCATTTTACAGTATACAATTTTTGTTTGTTATTGTGTTGCTGTTCTGCAAGGTTTTTGAGACTAAATTCTACCTTGTCTGATATCAGAATCTCTTGTATCTGTTTTCTGCAAATGCATTTACTCATCTCTATTTTTAGCCTTTCTGAATCACATTATTTCAGGTATGCTTCTTTTATATGGTTGATTTTTGTGTTATGAGCCAGTCAGAATTTTTTTTTTTTTTTCCTGAGGCAAGGTCTATCTCTGTCACCCAGGCTGGAGTGCAGTGGCCCAATCTTGGCTCACTGCAGCCTTGACCTACCTGGCTCAAGTGATCCTCCTGCTTCAGCCTCCAAAGTAGCTGGGGCTGCAGGTGCACACCACTACACCCGGCTAATTTTTGTTTTATTTTTAGCAGAGACAAAGTCTCGCTATGTTGCCCAGGCTCGTTTCCAACTCCTAAGCTCAACTAATCCTCCTGCCTCAGCCTCCCAGAGTGCTAGGATTACAGGCATGAGCCACTGCACCTGGCCTGGAAATTCTTTTTCTTTTAGTAGAGAACATTAATTCATTATATTTATTAACATAGGCAACATGTTTCATCTCAACTTTGACGTATTTTTAATCATTTATTTACTGGTGCATTTTGTTCTATTTACTCTTTTTGTTTTTCTTTCTTTATGTGGTATGTTTCTTTCATTGTTTTAAATTACTAGGGAAGAGTGGAGTTTTGAAGGTTTGTGTTTTTGTTCTACCATATTCCCCTATACTAATATCATTTCTAACCAATTTATTTCCTTTTCCTTATTTATTTTTCTACTGTTTGGTTTGTCAGCTTCAAAGGGTATTATTTGACACCTACCTATTAGCATCTAGAAATCAATGAGCTTATTTCCCTTTCCTCTTTCTCTTCACATTTTTAGTTAAATTATTACTTTATTAGAACTCATAATATTTAGTGTTCTTCTATTCTTACAAATTTATTTATTACAATATTGCTCTTCTATTGTCTTGCCTCTCTTTTGAAGTTAAGAATGCTGACGCCAGCACAATTTTCTTTTCTTTGTAAATGGCTTGGAGGATTGTATTGAGCACTTAAAGGATTTTTTCCTTTGTCTTTAAAGTCAGATTGTTTTATTAAGACTGTTGAGAACATATCAACAGATCTTTGAAATATGAAAATTGTCTTTATTTTCAGAAAGAGTTTTTGTGCCATAGCTTTACATAAATATTAGTTGTTGTTGCTGTTCTTCTATCTCCTTAGTCTGACTCCTCTATTTCAATTACATGTAAGTGAGATTTTCTTTGCCTATTTATTTATAGCTGTTATTGTCTTTGTGATCCCATTTTTACCTCTTATTTTAATTTTATTTTTGTTCTCTTGGGTATTTTCATTCCTTTCTTCAATTTCCCTGTTTTATTTTCAAGTGAATCCATTCTCTCAATGAATCTTGTGATGAAGTTTTTATTTCTGAGATGGTTCTTACTTATCTTTTCTGATAGCAATCCATCATTCATTTCACAAATTTCTGGCTTTTGTCATTTTTGTCTTTAAATTTTTGTCGAGTTAGTCACTTTGCCTTTAGTTTTCTGATCCAAGATATTTGCTTCCAATCTGAGAATTATTCGCAAAGAAGGCGTAGATTGGATGAGGTGTTACTTACGCTTTCCCCTAGTTTGTGGTGGTTTTGATGGGGAGGGTAGCGTTCATTGTCGTTTCCCATTTTCATCTCACGGTGGCTCTGTATGGAAGTTGTCCTTTGTGCTGCGTTCCTCTAGCGGGTCTAATATTTTCCTGGGTCAGCAATAACAGATGTAGGTGGGCAGGAGGATTTAGGGGACTACATTTCTTAGTTCAAGATTCCACTCATCTTTCACTATAATAAGATGCAGTTTGTTGCTTTTGTTTTAGTACAAATGTCTTTTATGGGGAATGATTGGGTGTGTATTTTGATCCTGTGGTGCTCTTTTGTTTCCATAGAAACTTTAATTTATGTCTCTGGATTCCTTCTTTCTCTTTCCCATTAAGCCTCCAAAGAACACCTGCCCTCTCTGAGTTACCAGCCAGAACTGGCGCTTTCCTGAGACCGCCACCTCCGGTCCACTACGTGTTTATGCTTCTGCAGCTGCCTCCTCCTCCTCCTCCTCTTCTCCTCCTCCTCCTCTTCTTCTCCTTCTTCCTTCCTCCTCCTCTTCTTCTTCCTCCTCCTCCTTCTTCTTCTTCTTCCTTTCTTCCTCCTTCTTCCTTCTTCTTCTTCTTCCTTCTTTTTAATTAAAATAGAGACAGGGTCTTGCTAGATTACCCAGGCTGGTCTTGAACTCCTGAGCCCAAGTGATACTCCTGCCTCAGCCTCCCAAAGAGTTGGGATTACAGACATGAGCCACTGCCCTGAGAATACTTTTTCCTTTTGATCCTTCAGTAGCTTTTTGTCAGGTTCACACAGCTCACACTTGTTTTCATTTTCCCCACTCATACTCAGAGTGACCTCACTTTTTTTTGTTTTGTTTTGTTTTGTTTTGAGACAGGGTCTCACTGTGTTGCCCAGGCTGGAGTGAAGTCGTCTGATCTCAGTTCACTGCAGCCTCTGTCTCCAGGGCTCAAGCAATTCTCATGCCTCAGCCTCCCAAGTAGCTGGGATTACAGGTGCACACCACCAAACCGGCTAATTTTTGTGTTTTTAGTAGAGACGGGGTTTTGCCATGTTTCCCAGCTTGGTCTCAAACTTCTGGGCTCAGGCTATCTGCTTGCCTCGGCCTCCCAAAGTGCTGGTATTACAGGCATGAGCCACCGTGCCTGGCCGGTTCTCTCATTTCCTAAGAGTAATTTCATCTGAGCTCCTTCCCTGCTGGGGCCCGGGTGCCCTTCCCTCTGCTCTGCAGTGCCCATCTGACTCCACTGTGGGGAGGGTGCCAGCGCTGGCGCTATTGTTTCAGATGTCTGTCCCTTAATTACACCCGCACTGAAGCTTGCAGTGTTCGCTGTCGTCTAGTAATGTTGTAGACATGGGTTATAGATACTATGACTTGCTCTCTTTGTTGCTCTATATGGTTTTTGCAGAACATATGGAGAGATTAAAATTTTGGCAGCCACTATGATCCTAAAAGAACTTGGAGGTTCCTCCAACTGCCTTTTTTTAAGTTAACCTTGAAACATTTTTTGTATTTGTATAAATTTAAGGGGTACAAGTGCATTTTTATTCCATGGATATCTTGCATGGAGGTGATGTCTGGGCTGTTAGTGTAGCCATCACTCAAATAGTGCATATTCCACCTATTAAGTAATTTCTCATCCCTCACCCCCCAACTCTTCTGAGTCTAAACGTCTGTCATCCTACAGTCTATCCATGTGTACATGCTATTTAGCGCCCACTCATTAATGAGAACAGGCAGTATCTGACTTTCTGTTTCTAGTTGTTTCACTTAAGATAATGGCCTTCAGTTTTGAGGGCCACATTGCTGCAGAAGACTTGATTTCATTCTTTTTTAGAGCTGAATAGTATTCCGTGGTGTATATATACGTTTTCGTTATCCAATCATTTGTTGATGGACACATAAGTGGATTCCGTGACTTTGCTATTGTGAGCAGTGCTGCAATAAACATATGGGTGCAGGTATCTTTTTGATTTAGTGATTTCTTTTCCTTTGGGTAGATACCCAGTAGAGGGATTGCTGAATCGACTGACTCTCAAGATTCCTTTTTACCTCTTCAAACTTTTTCTGGATTTTCTTAACTTGGCCTCACTCATAAAAATGTGTTGAATGGTTAAAAAATGGAAGCTACATAAAGTGATTGGACTCAGCCATCCCCTAACCTAGGAAGTAGCTGAGAGACATTTTCTGTTTTCAGAACACTTGGAGGGTCCAGAGATCGCATAGGAAGCCCACATCCCCATGTCCTCTTTTTCCTATGTCTTCTTCTGTCCCCCAGTCCCCCCAAAATAATCCTTTACCTCATCACTATAAGGCAGGGCAGGTTCTATTTACATTGGAGTCCAGTGAGAAAATGTACCACATATAAAATAGTATACTGAGAGTGAGGTCAGAAGATGTAGAGGCCAGCTCCGTTTCTCCCTAACCCCACCTCATCACATGCCCATAGGGAACAACTTACCTTTCTGAACTCAAAATTGTCACTATCACAAATGTAAATGAACTCACTGTCTTTCATTTATGCGGCTTACGTATGAAGCTGGGGTAATTATCTTGCAAAGCTATTTTGAAATATAAGCATGCCTGAAAAAGTAGAAAATGCCATAAAAATATGAAGTTTTTTTTATACAAGCCAGAGACAAACATAGATACCATCCTACCAGGAATTTCAGTAGGATTTGTGGCCAACCCAGATGTAGAGGCCTCTAGACCTTGGCAGTGGAACAAGAGAAGGTGAGGGAATGAGAAAATAATAACCTTTGCTATTGACGTGAACATCATCTGTGAATATCCTGCAAGTACCATAGAGGGGTTTATATTGAGTTTGAATTGCAAAATCCTGAAATAGGTTCATAATAGTTTCCTCCGGCAACAGACAGTTTTGTACTAGGCTATCTGGGGACCAAAGTGAGAGCAAAGGCAGATGCCCTTGGCATCTCTAAGAAGATTTTATTGTTTCTCCCTCCCATCTTTATTTACTGTGAGAGTAGAAAATAGGAATTGGAAAAGTCTCAGCCTCTTCTTTGGTTCTTGGCTTGCTAACCCTTTTCTGAGCTTCAAAACAAATGAGCAACTAGAGTTGCTTTTTATGGAATTCTGAGAAAGAAGTTCTAAAAACCGCTCACGCTCCAGGAGGTGGCTTGAGGATTTTACCCACTCATTTGTTTATGATGTGATTTGCAAAGTGGCCATCAGAAGCCTCTAGCCCTGCCCTCCCTACATGTCTTAAGATCACCAGAGAAGACTCTAGAACCCCTGTACTCTAGAACCACTGACCTAACAGTTATTAGTTAAGAGTCCCAGGGGAAATAAACCAGCTCCCAATTTATGCTTCATACTTTGAACAAGTCCCCTTTTCTACCATCATCTTAGGGGACTTCGAGGTGAGGATGCATGCTCTGTGTCACATATATAGTGAGATACACTATGTGTATGGTGCTATAGGCTACATGTAAGGTGCGGTACAGTACATGTATAGAATGCTATACTAAATGTGCCAATCTAGCAGACATTGTTAGTTATCCATCAATTATCCATTTCCCCCTCCTCCTTTCTAAAAGAGTCCTATTTTGTTTCAGTATCTGCCCTGAGTGGTTCAGGAGAAGGAGACCCCATTCCCAAGGCCAGCCTGACTATTCTGAGCCAATGTTGCTTCATGCCATTCCTCCTGGCCCTGACTGGCTTAACAATAGACAGATGACTTAATTCTGGCCAAGAATACATGACAGGAAGTATGCCAGGGTGCTCCTGAGAAGGACCTCTCACCCTCAAGAATGAGACAAAGGAATAAGCACCCCTTTTTTGTTATGCTTGGAGGCAAGGCCTGGAATGGAATGTCCCCAGCGACCATGCCCCAGACTGAGAGTGAAACCAGAGGAGCCCAGAGAACCACAGCGAGGCCCTGCCCCGTGCGCCATGCCTGGCTCTGTCTCATCCCAGGCCCCTTGTTATGTGGAAGAATGCATTTTATTTTGTTTAAGTTATTAAGTCAGAATTCTATGTTCCTGCAATACAATAGTGTGAGTCACATAAACAACTTCTACTTTAAAATTTTCACACACAATAATTCAGACCCACAAAGGATATTTCCACATCCTCACAAAACCCCAAGCATAAAAATGGTTTTATGGAAGGAGAAAAGGGTAGTTTGGATGGACTGAAGATTTTCTCCACAACCCTTTATACAATAAGGTATGCAAATTTTATATGAAAATAAGTGTTCCCGGCTGGGGGTGGTGGCTCACGCCTGTAATTCCAGCACTTTGGAAGACCAAGACAGGAGTATTGCTTGAGCCCAGGAGCTCTAGACCAGCCTGGGCAACGTGGCAAATCCCTGGTATGTGGCGTGTGCCTGTGATCCCAGTTACTTGGGAGGCTGAGGTGGGGCCCTCTTCAGATGAGTCTGGGAGGTCGAGACTGCAGTGAGACAAGATCATGTCACTGCAATCTAGCCTGGGGGACAGAGTGAGACCCTGTCTCAGAAAAAAAAAAAAAAAAAAAAAAACCACAGTGCTCTCCTCTCACTAGGTTATATGCTTAACATTTTAATAGAAGCCTTGGCTTAAAAGAGCGTCCTCTGAGTGTATCACATTTCAACTCCAAGAAAGCAGAAGCTATACCTTTGACTTGTTCTATAGACTGGCTTCTGAAAAAAGGCTAGACACTAACAGAAGCTATGCAGCCCTTGCCTAGCCCCTGGTGAAAGGGAAATGAAAGTGAGTCTTCATCACAGGCCATTTGGAGTGCCTTTTCTCAAACAGTCACTCAGAGTTTGTCACCAGAACCTAGTATTCCAAACAGCCAACCCAAAGCTATCATCTTGTCAAAGATGAAAATAAGCCAAGACTTCAGGGGTGTTTGACTCCCCAGAATGTCACCAGGAAACCTGTTAATAAAGTAAAAGCCACTGTATTTCTAGGCATTGCCATAAGAGAGAACACTGCCATGACAGAGTCTCAGAAGGGGGCGGAGAGAAGTGAGATATTTTTGTGGCTTTGATGTCTCAGCTCAAGTGGTTAAATTGGGTCATTCAAGGCAGGGGACTGACTGGGAAGATTTGTGATAAAAGACTTTAGATGCAGCAGCCACAGCAAAGCAAGAACCCTGAAGCAGGTCCTGATAAGTAAAATTCGATTTAATAAGTGCTGTTGTCTAAATGTTTGTGTCCCCACACAATTCATATGTTAAACCCTAATCACCAATGTGATGGTGTTAGGAGAGGGAGCCTTTGGGAGGTGGTTAGGTCATGAGGGAGGGGCCCTCTTCAATGAGAGGAGTGCCCTTATAGGAAGAAACGTAAGACAGCAGCTGTGCCCCTTCTACCACGTGAGATTACAGGTAGGGGCACCATCTTTGTTCCAGGAAGAGGGCTCACCAGGCACCGAATCTGCCGGCACCTTGATCTTGGACTTCCCAGCCTCCAAAACTGTGACAAATACATTTCTGTTGTTTATAAGCCACCCAGTCTACGGTATTCTGTTACAGCAGCCGGAACAAACCAAGACAGTAAGTGAGCCATTTCCCCAGGTGAACGGACAGTTGTCTCCAATAACTGAAGTGTAGGGGCTTCCTGAAAAGAGCACTGAGGTTGTCTACAGGTTTGTAGTGTATGTCCTGGGAAATTTTTCTTGTAACAGATACCTGAGTCATGTTGTCACAAGCGATCTCAGCATTGCCACAGAACATCCTGTGTCTCAGGAAGCAAGAGAGAGGACTCAAACTCAGTGGCAACAGGAGAAAACACATATGCATGTGATCACATTGACTGACATATCCTCCTGCATTCTGTCCAAAAGGTGGCTTTGTTTTCTTTTGTTTTGTTTTTAAGGATGACTTTTGCGTGGCTCTTTAATGAATTCTAACTATATGTAAGACTCAATGCTAAGTGTTTTGTACTAAAACCTGCTCATGCCTATGTGATCTTAGGCAAGTCACAATTTCTTGGAGCCTTCATTTCCTCAGCTAGAAAATATTAATAATGGGCCAGGCACAGTGGCTCATGCCTGTAATCCCAGCACTTTGGGAGGCCAAGGTGGGAGGATCACTTGAGGTCAGGAATTTGAGATTAGCCTGGCCAACATAGCAAAACCACATCTCCACTAATATATATATATGTATGTACAAAAATTAACTTAGCACGGTGGTGCATGCCTGTAGTCCCAGCTACTTGGGAGGCTGAGGCAGGAGAATCACTTGAATCTGGGAGGCGGAGGTTGCAGTGAGCTGAGATCGTGCCACTGCACTCCAGCCTGGGCAATAGAGCAAGACTCCATTTCAAAAAAAAAAGAAAAAAAAAGAAAATGTGAATAATGCATTTTGGAGTTGATATATGGGTTAAACTACCCATCTTCCTGAAGAGAGTACTGAGCACCCATCTCAAAAAAAAAAAAAAAAAAAAAAAAAAAAAAAAGACAGAGAGAGAGAAAATGTGAATGATGCATCTTGGAGGTGGTATATGGGCTAAACTACCTGATAAATACAAAATGAACCAAATGAACCAAGCATGGTACCTGGAATTGCTCAATAAATTACTTTCTTTCTCTTTCTGCAAGGGAGATTTTGAAAGTTTTGGAGAGGCAAGGCTAATAATTGAAAAGTTAACAGCAAATGTGAGACTCCACAAGACAACAAATCCAAGTGGGTCAAGTAGGCATGACGGGTAATCCACCGTGGAGGTCGTAGGGTGCCCACTGCTGACTTGAGAGACAGTCTTGGTGTTCTCTTCCAGTTCCTATTGAAAAGAGACCAAAATAGCATTTGCTTCCATCCCAAAACTCTCAGGAAAGACAAAAAACAAAAAAACAAAAAAAAAAAACTCATTGAATGAAATGTGAGTCAGGTGTCCCTGGAGGAGTAAACCCCAGGTAAAGATGGTGATAAAGCTGTGGGGAGAGGGTGAGGCTTGTATAAAATATTTTTGTGGACACTCTAGGCAGTGGGGAGAAAACATCCAATGTGAGACCAGCAATGGGTTTGAAATGAAGAAGGCCAGCTTATGCAGTATAACCATTTCCCAGCACTGGTAAGTATTCATTAAGTAAATGCTACTAAATAATTTAATCCTTACAAAAACACTATTGTAGCAGATAATAATATATTTGTCCCTTTTACAGAAGACAAAACTGAGCCAATGTCAGAAACAGGATTCCACCTTAAGGCATCTAATACCAGAACCTGTGTGTTTTTTTTTTTTTTTTTAGACAGGGTCTCCTCTGTCACCCAAGCTGGAGTGCAGTGGCTCTATCTTGGCTCACTGAAACTTCTGCCTTCCGGGCTCAAGGGATCCTCCTACCTCAGCCTCCTGAGTAGCTGGAACTACCAGCACGTGCCACTGTGCCCAGTTAATTTTTGGTAGAGAGGGAGTCTCACCATGTTGCTCAGGCTGGTTTCCCATTCCTGGACTCAAGCAATCCTCCCGCTTCAGCCTACCAATATGCTGGGATTACAGACATAAGCCACCGGACCCAGCTGAGAACCTGTGTTCTTAACCTTGATATTCATCGGCATATTAATGAACTACATATTTTTCAGTAAAGAGTTCATATATGAGTTTCTTTTTCAGAGATCAGGGAAAAAAAGGTCATATAGATGAACACATAGATAGGTAGTTGAACTTGTCTTACACACTTGTGTTTACCCCCTAATAAAAGAGTTTACTGATACGGCAATATTAAATTCTTTGGAGCAAATGTGGGTATCAAGATGGCTTCTAGATATGTTTCTAAAATGCCACACCCATAGGCGGCTATCACAAAAGGACACTGTCTACTACATGTCTATTTCCATAAAGAAGACAGAAGGATAAATAAGGCACGACCCCTTCTCTGTCAAAACTGAGAATCTAGTGGAAGAAATCCAACATATGTACAGGACCAGGCCCTTGGTAACTACTTGCACAATTGCACAGCACAGATTGCCAGGAGCCTAGGAATCAAGGGAGAGCTGGAACAGCCAGGAGAACTTCAAGCAAGAAGTGAAAACTGCAAGATGTTCAGAATTTGAGACTGCACAGGAAATAAGAGAGGTGTACTGGTATGGGGAACAAGAGTAGAGGGTTTGCTAACAGCAAGGAGGTGTCTAATTTAAGGAGGAGGGGGCTCATGTGTGGGGCTGTTGGCGAGGGCACAATGATAGACTCAGAGGAAGTCTACCCTAAAGTGTCCTGGGACCAGCGGCCTCTGATGTAGCCCCTCTCTAAATGCCCACAAAGACACAGAGGAAGACGAAAACTGAAAAAAACAGTGAACACTAGAACTGATGGCTAATCTATTTCCACAGTCTGGTAGAAATTTCCACTGACTATAAAGCAGGTGGAACTGAACTGAAAAACTCTCCATCCACCTGATGTTGGCAGTAACAGAGCAATCTTATCTTTCTTAAAGAAGGTGGTTGAATTCCTCACCTCTATCCCATCACCTGGCCCCTGGCTAGAAAAACACCACACCACCAATTAGCTCTGTATTTATTGCACCAAGCTTTTTTGATGCATACATTACCTCTTTCTATATCCAGTCAAGGGCTATAGCATCCAGAAATCATATCAGTAGTAGGAAGAGGCCCTTGAAAGTGGATATGCTGGGAGATATGACCCCCTCAAAGAAAGCATTAAAGGAGAAGCTGGAGGCTTAATGCTCACCTGGGTCATGCATCCTTACAAACGGAGTGTATGTGTGTGTAACGGGGAGTGTGTATGATCTCTGGGCCATAGAAATAAGAGAAATTTTCTCTCATTCTAGGGGAGTAACACTGAAGGAAAGCCTGCAAACACTGTGAAATTTGATGCCCAAAATACAGTTTAACCAGTGCGTATTATAGACAGAGTGGGGCCAACAACAATCTACAAAGCTCATCAGGATAGGTTTATCCCTCTTGTTCGAGTGAAAAAGATGAAAAATACTGGCAAGATATCTAAGTAGGGAAAAATGCTGAGATCAAGGAAAATAGAACTGATGATTTTTTAAAATCCTCTAAAATTATTTGCTATTTCAACTGAATGAAAATCCTTAGAAAATTAATTTAGTATTTATAAGAGGGAAAGAACAGATTCTGACAAAAGAATGACAGAATTATCTAAATGAGGTGAAGATTTCAAGGAAACGAAAAATGCAAGATCAGGATTAAATGTAGGCAGTGAAGAGCAGAAAAGCCATTGGGAAAGGGGCTGAAAGAGTTACTTGTAAAACAAACCTAAAGAACACCCCAAAATTTAAATACAGAGAACCAAGAACTTCTTTTAAAATTAAACCTAAGATTGTGAATCTAGAGGAAAGGAAAGGAAATTCTCGCCTGAGAAGCACGAGCTTGCAAATGTGCTCGCTGTAGTTCCTGCTCCTCCTTGGATTTGTTTGGTGCCTCTGGCCCCAAGGATGCTTGGCCACTTGCTCATCTCCTGACCCCATCACTGCCTCACGTCCCAAGAGGCGAGCGCCACTCCTCCGTTGGTAAGAGTAGGCCAGGCCTCCACAGATCACTGTGACTGAAGCCAGGCAGCTCTCAGCAGCCAGGCCAGATCCCATCTGACCCCAGAGGCCCTGATCCTCCTTCCTGCACTTCTGAACCCCAATGGCACACCCTGATTCAGGGGACTGGGTGTGGCTTCCCCAGTGGCTGCTGGAAGAGGCAGCACATCAGGACCTGGAAAGGAGAGAAAGTTAACACCCAAGGAGGAACTCCGAGCAATGAAAGGCAAGAGACTGTAAGGAGCAACAGATCGATTTCTCTCTCATTCTGCACCCAATGATGGTTCCAAGGTGCAGCGGTACCGCAGCAACTCTGGAAGACGTGCTCATAACCAAGGGAAGAGTGGTGGTTCTAAGGTGCAGTGGTCCCATGGCACCTCTGGAAGACACACTTATAATCAAGGAATGAGAAGCTACAGCCAGCTCTGTCACTCGCCAACTTATATTTGCTTTCTTTCTCTTCTTGCCTTGCCCTCAGCCTTGCCTTCCTGGGATCATACTTTCCATGAGGCTTTAGCATATAAGCTTTATCTCAGGCTCTGTTTTCTAGAAAACCCAGACAAGGACAAAGACCATGCAGATAAAAGGTTTCACAACAAGGATTAGTGAAAAGAGAGTTTATATAAAAGACAGATGTTTGATTTGTAATTTTTATGCAAATATTAGATAAAGAAAAGGTAAGACAAGATTTCAGTCCGGGAAAAAAAATAAGCGTTTTTAAAAACGTTATGTAAATTGAGGAAAACCCCTTGACTTCATATTTCTCTACAAAAATAAATGCCGAAAGACAGTCTAGCCACTTATACAGACTCCTAAGGGAGAACTTTGTGTCCACAGAATTTTTCAATAGCCCCTGTGTTTTTCACATGTGACTTTTCAGATATTCAGATATATATCTCATATGTATATTTCCTTATATGTTTATTGACAACTAAACTGATGATTCAGTCTAGCCAACCAATAAATGAATTAATATTCACCAATAAATATTTTAACCAATAAATTTTTGCCAATAAACATTCATTTACTGGTGAAAACGAAATTTAGGTGAAAAGGGATTGGCATTCTTTTGTTATCATCGAAAGACCAACTAAAGCAAGATTAGAGAGGCAGCATGGAGAGAAGGCCATATTTGCAAAAAAAAAAAAAAAAAAAAGAATATAGAAAGGAAGGGAGGCTGTTCTATTTGTAGTTTCAACATACGATATGCAGATGGTCTCTTACAATGGTTTGACAAGAGTTTTTGACTTTACAATAGTATGAAAACAATATGCGTTCAATAGAAACTGTACTTGCCTTTTTTTGCGGGGAGAGGGAGACAGGGTCTGGCTCTGTTGCCCAGGCTGGAGTGCAGTGGCACAATCTTGGCTCACTGCAACCTCTGCCTTCTGGACTCAAGTGATCTTCCCACCTCAGCCTCCCAAGTAGCTGGGACTACAGGCGCATGCCACCACACCTGGCTAATTTTTGTATTTTTTATAAAGATGGGGTTTTTCCATGTTGTCCAGGCTCGTCTCCAACTCCCGAGCTCAAGCAATGTGCCCCCCAATGGCATCCCAAAGTGCTGGAATTACAGGCATGAGCCACCACACCCTGCTATACTTTGAATTTTGAATTTTGATCTTTTCCTGGGCTAGCAATATGCTGTAAGATACCCTCATGACACTGGGTAGCAGCAGCAAGCTGGAGCTCTCAGCCAGCCATGCTATCACAAAGATGAACCACTAATACTATGCCTTACAGTGTACTGTATTCATTCAATCACATGAGCCATTTGTGGAATCCTGATAAGATAAGGTAGCAAGGAGGGAACCCCAGGGTAGGGGGGAGCAATTGTTCTGAGAGACAGCTAACCACAAACTACTCCTTAGCACAACATCCTGTTCCCAAATACCTTGCTCTTCATGTAGCCCTAGCACCATAGCCTTATCTGCTTGTAGCCTCTCCAGCATGACCCTATAAACCTTCCCTCCAGCCTCTGCCTCTATGCAGACAGCCCCTTCTCTGCTGTGCTATCCATTGCACTCTGGCAACATATCTTTATACTTTCTCTTATAAATCTGCCTTTCTTTACCCATGACTGTTGGTAAATTCTTTTACTGACTGCAAGGCTGGGCCCAGTCAATCACACCTGCAACAATATTTATTATAAAATGGGCTTTGTGTTAGAAGATTTTGCTCACCTGTAGTCTAATGCAAGTGTTCTGAGAACATGTAAGGTCATCTGGGCTAAGATATGACACTCAGAAGATTAGTTGAGTCAAATGCATGTTTGACCTATGACATTTTCAATTTACAATGGGTATATTGAGACGTAATCCCATCATGAGTTGAAGAACTTCTGTATATTTATGAATCTGTGAAATCTTAGTAGCACAACAGTCTTGGCATAGAAAGTAATCTATATAAAACATTAAAGAAGAGAAGGAACTGTACATGTTTCTCAAAAGGAGAAATGAGGCCTTTTTTTAACTTTTAAGTTCAGGGGTACGTGTGCAGGTTTGTTATCCAGGTAAACTAATGTCATGGGGATTTGTTGTACAGATTATTTCATTACCTAGGTACTAAGCATAGTACTCTAGTTATTTTTTCTGCTCCTCTCCCTCTTCCCACCCAACCACCTTCAAGTAGGCCCACCTTCAAGTCTGCTGTTCCTCTCTTTGTTTCTGTGTGCTCTCATCATTTAGCTCCCACTTATACGTGAGAACATGTGGTATTTGATTTTTGTTCCTGCATTAGTATGCTAAGGATAATGGTCATCAGCTCTGTCCATGCTCCTGCAAAGAATATGAGCTCATTCTTTTTTATGGCTGCATAGTATTCCATGATGAATGTGTACCACATTTTCTTTATCCAGTCTGCTACCAATGGGCATTAAGGTTCATTTCATGTCTTTGCTATTACGAATAGTGCTGCAATGAACAGACATATGCATGTGTCTTTATAACAGAATGATTTATATTCCTTTGGATATATACCTAGTAATAGGATTGCTGGGTCAAATGGTAGTTCTGTTTTTAGATCTTTGAAGAATCGCCACACTGTCTTCCACAATGGTTGAACTAAGTTACACTCTCACCAGCAGTGTATAAGTGTTCCTCACCAGCATCTGTTATTTTCTGACTTTTTAGTAATAGCCATTCTGACTGGTGTGAGATGGTATCTCACTGTGGTTTTGATTTGCATTTCTGTAATGATCAGTGATGTTGAGCATTTTTTTTTCTAAAATATTTTATTTATTTATTTATTTATTTATTTATTTATTTATTTTTTTAGTATTTATTGATCATTCTTGGGTGTTTCTCAGAGAGGGGGATTTGGCAGGGTCATAGGACAATAGTGGAGGGAAGGTCAGCAGATAAACAAGTGAACAAGGGTCTCTGGTTTTCCTAGGCAGAGGACCCTGCGGCCTTCCGCAGTGTTTGTGTCCCCGGGTACTTGAGATTAGGGAGTGGTGATGACTCTTAATGAGCATGCTGCCTTCAAGCATCTGTTTAACAAAGCACATCTTGCACCGCCCTTAATCCATTTAACCCTGAGTGGACACAGCACATGTTTCAGAGAGCACGGGGCTGGGGGTAAGGTTATAGATTAACAGCATCCCAAGGCAGAAGAATTTTTCTTAGTACAGAACAAAATGGAGTCTCCTACGTCTACTTCCCTCTACACAGACACAGCAACAATCTGATTTCTCTATCTTTTCCCCACATTTCCCCCTTTTCTATTCTACAAAACCGCCATCATCATCATGGCCCGTTCTCAATGAGCTGTTGGGTACACCTCCCAGACGGGGTGGCTGCCAGGCAGAGGGGCTCCTCACCTCCCAGATGGGGTCGCGGCCAGGCAGAGGTGCTCCTAACATCCCAGACGGGGTGGCGGGGCAGAGGCACTTCCCACATCTCAGACGATGGGCGGCCGGGCAGAGACGCTCCTCACTTCCTAGATGGGATGGCGGCCGGGAAGAGGCGCTTCTCACTTCCCAGACTGGGCGGCCGGGCAGAGGGGCTTCTCACATCCCAGACGATGGGCGGCCAGGCAGAGATGCTCCTCACTTCCCAGATGGGGTGGCGGCCGCGATGTTGAGCATTTTTTCATACGCTTGTTGGCTGCATGTACATATTCTTTTGGAAAGCGTCTGTTCATGTCTTTTGCCCACTTTTTAATGGGGTTGTTTGTTTCCTGTAAATTTGTTAAAGTTCCTTATAGATGCTGGATATTAGAGCTTTGTCAGACACATAGTTTGCAAAAATTTTCTCCCATTCTCTAGGTTGTCTGGTACTTTGTTGATAGTTTCTTTTGCTATGAAGAAGCTCTTAAGTTTAATTAGATTCCATTTGTCAATTTTTGCTTTTGTTGCAAATGCTTTTGGCATCCCCCTCATGAAATCTTTGCCAGTTCCTATGTCCAGAATGGTGTTGCTTAGGTTGTCTTCTGAGTTTTTGTAGTTTGGGGTTTTACATTTAAGTCTTTAATCTTCTTGAGTTTATTTTTTTGTATGGCGTAAGGAAGGGGTCCAGTTTCAATCTTCTGCATAATGGCTAGCCAATTATTCCAGCACCATTTATTGAGTAGGGAGTTCTTTCTCCATTGCTTCTTTGTGTCAGCTTTATCTAAGATCAGATGGTTATAGATATGTGGCCCTATTTCTGAGCTCTGTACTCTGTTCCACTGGAGACCTTTCTTTTTTAAAGGTAGAGAAATGCTGTGTAAGAGAGAGAATAGAAACCAGGAGTCAAATGACACAAGACTGACTCCATGCTCTACTGCTAATTGTATATGTTTGGGCATGTTGTCTAGCAGAATGAGCATTCATTTCTTTATTTTTAAAATCAAGATAATAATTAAACCTACCTCGCAGGTTTATTGCAAGCACAAATTAAATAATGGGTGCTAAAAGCTTTCACAAAATGCTATAGAAATGTAAGAAATTATTATTAATAGAGATTTGTACCTACAAGTTCTCTACCAGAAACTCCTAATAGACTGTTTTTTCTAGGAATGTCCCTGTTGTTACAGCATTTTGTCTTGTCTCTATCTATGAACAAAGAATATGAAGATGAAAAATAAATATCCCTTTCTGATCTTAAAACAGTTCTGGATGTAGCTAAATAAAACCAGCTAGAACTAACAACAAATATTTTCCTGATAGACATAAAATAGCAACTCTTTGGACTGGTTTGCAGGTTATCTGAAGCCTAACCCACCCTATTTTTGCAAACTTATTTTTTATTCATTTCCTATATGAACCACTAAATTCAGTCCTCCTGTCAACCCTCTCCATAGACGCATCCTTACTGACACGGTGGGACTCATTGCAGATGCCACTGCAGCCTGTGATCACCTACCCCTGTTGCCTCATGACAGCTGCAGCAGCTCACAGTTGTCTGTGGTGGCCTTTGCTGCCATTGCCATTGCTGGCTTCAAGAGTCAAGAGTCCATGAGCTTCCTGCTCCTGTTAACTGGGACAGCAGAATCTCACAGTGACTTCTCTCTGTCTTTCACATTTTCATCTCTTGCCAGTAGATGTCTTAGAAATGTAGTTTTCAGACTTCCAGCCCCTGGAATCTAGAAGAGATTACTAAAGACCATAAATGAAGCCCAAAATGTTTCAGTCCAATACCAACGACCAAGTGTTAAAATTAACATTTGACTAATGTCAAAATAGTGCTCTCATAGAATGAACTTATGAGATATAGAGTTGGCCTGGAACAGTGTTCAAAAAATTAATTATTACATTCTTATTATGAGAAGTTTTAGTAGTAAATCTTAAAAGTTTAATATTATGCTGCAGAAACAATAATAGTTTGTAAATTGGTGTTCACTTTCAATCAAGGCTGGTGAAAGAAGAAGCTGGATATTTGGGAGTATCTTATTTTGCTGTCACATTTTAATCTTTTCTAAATACTTTTCACAATTTGTATTATGTTTGGGTCAAAGATAATTAATCATAATAATCATAGTATATGACTTTAGAGTTTCCATTTCATGAAACTTTGGGTTTACAAAGATGGCAATCTGTCTGGCTTCTCCTTCACAAAATGTGAAAGAATCCCAAATGGTACTTTGTCTTAAAAGAATTCGTGGCCCCCATGAAATTAAGTGACAAATATTGATAGAGTTTTTCAAGGTCCTTAAATGTCGTGAATGACACCAATCAATTATATAAAGATTGGAATATCATATAATATCATAGCTATGATTCTGTGTTGTATTATTACTTAAATGCTTATAAGCATTGGTTGCCTCAAAAAATATGTAAGCATCCTTCATAGTTATCCATCTAACGTACTATCCCTTAAATTTGTATAATGATCAACATATTTCTTTGTTTATTTAAAAGTTTGAAAGTACTTGATAATTTTCATATCAAATGAACAGCTTTTCATAAGTGATTAATTATTGCAGCATTTGACTGATAGAATACAATGTCAACATATAAAGGACATAAAGAGATTTTGTACTCCAGGTTACATCTATAGTGCTTTTTGTGAAAGTGAATGTTCACACATTAATAATAAATTGAAGTCATATGCCAAGTTAATATGAATAACATTCAGTGTGTTGTTGATCTGTGTGATCTCACAGTCATTGATTGCACACAAGTTCAGAGATGGCAGAAATGACACTGCAGTCAGCATGGAGCTCTTCGACTTTCCAAAGTTCCCAGTCAAAGCCAAACAACAGATTTTTGGAAGAATATCAAGGCAGAAGCCAAACTTTGATGTATCATAAGCTATGAATGAGTTTTATTTTCTGTTTCAGTTCTTTTACTCAAAAACCTCATTTGAGCACATACTTGCCTAGAATTGGCCATACCAAACGAGAGCAGCTTGTTGATGAAGTAAGGGCAATTTCTTCTCCTAAAGAAAAGCGAGGTTCCATAGGAAGAACCTGGCTTCATTTCCAATCCATCAGGCAACTTCCTGACTGTCCTCAGATCTTTTACACGCACCACTGGCAGCCACAGAATATAAGATATCTAAGCTTCCAGATCACTTGCTCAAGTTTTCAAGCCAGGAAAACTTTCTTGGTAGAATATGCAAACAGCAAGTGTAAAAGACTAAGTGATGTGTCTCTGAAAAACCTCTTGTGAAAATGCCTAAATGTCTCCAAAGATGTTTTCTGTTCCTTTTCTTCTCTTCCCACCATTCACTTAAAAAATTCTCCTTTTAATCACAAGAAGTAATTTGGGGGAAAGCATTTCTCAGAGACATCCACAGAGGAAGGCAAAAGAGGATGTTTTAGATCTGCGGCAGAGAAGCAGTTGAAGTTTATGACCATCACCATCTCATGTGTACTTGAGGTTTCATATTCTTCCAGTTTCACTCTGAGAGGACCCTCTACTCTCCTGATCTGAGACTGATTAGACATTGACCCATCCTGACCTTGAAGCTGAGCCAAGGGACTTCCTTGAATGGGTATGAAGCCAAAGACTAATTCCACCGAATATCCTTCCTTGCCTGGCAGGTCACTCCATGAGGACATCAAAAGCACATTGAGTAAGAAAAGGAAGTCACTAGAGGTTTGGATGGGAGAAGACAGTGAGCTAAATTGCCTTAGTTGGCCAATTGGCCTGTAAGTGAAATCCAGCCAGCTGCCTGGTTTTTTTGTTTGTTTATTTGTTTGTTTTGTATTGATTTTTGGATTTATTGTACTTTAAGTTCTGGGATACATGTGCACAATGTGCAGGTTTGTTAAATAGTATACATGTGGCATAGTGGTTTGCTGCACCCATCAGCCCATCATCTATATTAGGTATTTCTCCTAATGCTATCCCTCCCATAGCACCCCACCCCCCAACAGGCCATGGTGTACGGTGTTCCCCTGCCTGTGTCCATGTGTTCTCATTGTTCACTTCCCACTTATGAGTGAGGACATGCGGTGTTTGGTTTTCTCTTCCTGTGTTAGTTTGCTGAGAATGATGATTTCCAGCTTCATCCATGTCCCTGCAAAGGACATGAACTCAACCTATTTATGGCTGCATAGTATTCTCTGGTGTATATGTGCCACATTTTCTTTATCCAGTCTATCATTGATGGGCATTTGGGTTGGTTCCAAGTCTTTGCTATTGTGAATAGTGCCACAATAAACATGCATGTGCATGTGTCTTTATAGTAGGGTGATATATAGTCCTTTGGGTATATACCCAGTGAGGGGATTGCTGGGTCAAATGGTATTTCTAGTTCTAGATCCCTGAGGAATCACCACACTGTCTTCCACAATGGTTGAACTAATTTACACTCCCACCAACAGTGTAAAAGTGTTCCTAGTTCTCTACATTCTCTCCAGCATTTGTTGTTTCCTGACTTTTTAATGATAGCCACTCTAACTGGCCTGAGATGGTATCTCATTGTGGTTTTGATTTGCATTTCTCTAATGACCAGTGATGATGAGCTTTTTTCATATGTTTGTTGGCCACATAAACGTCTTCTTTTGAGAAGTGTCTGTTCATATCCTTTGCCCACTTTTTGATGGGGTTGTTTGTTTTTCTTGTAAATTTCTTTAAGTTCTTTGTAGATTCTGGATATTAGCCCCTTGTCAGATGAATAGATTACAAAAATTTTCTCCCATTCTGTAGGTTGCCTGTTCACTCTGATGATGGCTTCTTTTGCTGTGCAGAAGCTCTTTAGTTTAATCAGATTCAATTTGTCAATTTTGGCTTTTGTTGTCATTGCTTTTGGTGTTTTAGTCATGAAGTCTTGGCCCATGCCTATGTCTAGAATGGTATTACCTAGGTTTTCTTCTAGGGTTTTTATGGCTTTAGGTCTTATGTTTAAGTATTTAAACCATCTTGAGTTAATTTTTGTATAAGGTGTAAGGAAGAGGTCCAGTTTCAGCTTTCTGCATATGGCTAGCCAGTTTTCCCAACACCATTTATTCAATAGGGAATCCTTTCCCCATTGCTTCTTTTTGCCAGGTTTGTCAAAGATCAGATGGTTGTAGATGTGTGGCATTATTTCTAAGGCCTCTGTTCTGTTCCATTGGTCTATAAGTCTGTTTTGCTACCAATACCATGCTCTTTTGGCTAACTGTAGACTTGTAGTATAGTTTGAAATCAGGTAGCATGATGCCTCCAGCTTCACTCTTTTTGCTTAGGATTGTCTTGGCTATATGGGCTCTTTTTTGGTTCCATATGAAATTTAAAGTTGTTTTTTCTAATTCTGTGAAGAAAGTCACTGGTAGCTTGATTGGGATAGCATTGAATCTATAAATTACTTTGAGTAGTATGTCCATTTTCACAATATTGATTCTTCTTATTCATGAGCATGGAATGTTTTTCCATTTGTTTGCGTCCTCTCTTATTTCCTTGAGCAGTGGTTTGTAGTTCTCCTTGAAGAGGTCCTTCACATCCTTTGTCAGTTTTATCCCTAGGTATTTTATTCTCTTTGTAGCAGTTGTGAAAGGGAGTTCACTCGTGATTTGACTGTTTGTCTATTATTGCTGTATAGGAATGCTTGTGATTTTTGCACATTGATTTTGTATTCTGAGACTTTGCTGAAGTTGCTTATCAGCTTAAGGAGAATTTGGACTGAGACGATGGGGTTTTCTAAATATACAATCATGTCATCTGCAAACAAAGACAATATGACTTCCTCTCTTCCTATTTGAATACCCTATTTGAATTCTTTCCTTTGCCTGATTGCCCTGGCCAGAACTTACAATACTATGTTGAATAGGAGTGGTGAGAGAGGGCATCCTTGTCTTGTGCTGATTTTCAAAGGAAATGCTTCCAGCCTTTGTGCATTCAGTATGATACTGGCTGTGGGTTTGTCATAAATAGCTCTTATTTTGAGATACGTTCCATCAATATCTAGTTTATTGAGAGTTTTTAGCATGAAGGCGTGTTGAATTTTATCAAAGGCCTGTTCTCCAGCTATTGAGATAATCATGTGTTTTTTGTCATTGGTTCTGTTTATGTGATGGATTACATTTATTGATTTGCATATGTTGAACCAGCCTTGCATCCCAGGGATGAAGCTGACTTGATTGTGGTAGATAAGCTTTTTGATGTGCTTCTGGATTCAGTTTGCCAGTATTTTATTGAGGATTTTCGCATCGATGTTCATCAGGTATATTGGCCTGAAATTTTCTTTTTTTGTTGTGTTTCTGCCAGGTTTTGATATCAGGATGATGCTGGCCTCATGAAATGAGTCAGGGAGGAGTCCCTCTTCTTCTATTGTTTGGAATAGTTTCAGAAGGAATGGTACCAGCTCCTGTTTGTACTTCTGGCAGAATTCATCTGTGAATCCTTCTGGTCCTGGGCTTTTTTTGTTTGGTAGGCTATTAATCACTGCCTCAATTTCAGAACTTGTTATTGGTCTATTCAGGGATTTGTCTTCTTCCTGGTTTAGTAGTGGGAAGGTGTATGTTTCCAGGAATTTATCAATGTCTTCTAGATTTTTCTGGTTTATTTGCATAGAGGTGTTTATGGTATTCTCTGATGGTAGTTTGTATTTCTGTGGGATCAGTGGTGATATCCCCTGTATCATTTTTTATTGTGTCTATTTGATTCTTCTCTCTTTTCTTCTTTATTAGTCTGGCTAGCAGTCTATCTATTTTGTTAATCTTTTCAAAAAACCAGCTGATGGATTCATTGATTTTTTTGAAGGATTTTTTGTGTCTCTATCCCCTTCAGTTCCACTCTGATCTTAGTTATTTCTTGTCTTCTGTCAGCTTTTGAATTTGTTTGCTCTTGCTTCTCTAGTTCTTTTAATTGTGATGTTAGGGTGTCAATTTCAGATCTTTCCCACTTTCTCCTGTGGGCATTTAGTTTTATAAATTTCCCTCTAAACACTGCTTTAGCTGTGTCCCAGAGATTCTGGTATGTTGTGTCTTTGTTCTCATTGGTTTCAAAGAACTTACTTATTTCTGCCTTAATTTTGTTATTTACCCAGTATTCATTCAGGAGCAGGTTGTTCAGTTTCCACGTAGTTGTGCAGTTTTGAATGAGTTTTTTAATCCCGAGTTCTAATTTGATTGCAGCTGCCTCTTTTTATATGCCCTTTGAACTAAGAATAGTTTTCTTTTGTCCACTTTTAATGGCTGAAAAGTTGTAAATGGTTAAAAAAGAATATTTTATAATGCAAAAATTGTATAAGATTTACATTGTATGTATTGGTTATTTACAACAAATAAACATCCCCAGGGACAAATAGCCCAATTTTCAAACCAAAGAATCAATCAGTGATTTATTTCCAATATACAGAACCCAGATGCTTGGGAAAATCTCAGTCTTCATAAGCGATCTGAGTATTCATCCACACATCAAGAACTAATGAATAAATACGTCCTGTAATTATAAATGAATCAAGTATAAGTGCTGTAGTGACTTATAAAAGAAACTCACTTTAGGGGTTTACCTTTTTTTGTCATTGTGCTTCTTTTTTTCAATCTGCTGTTTCCATCAACTGTAATGGGAATTACATCACCCTTCGGGATGGCCTCCTGCTGCAGTGACTGGAAATCATGGCTGTGGCATTTAGTCTGACAATGGAACAAATGTTTGCAGCTGGTACTCGCCAAATAAATCCAGGGCATCTGAGCACTTGATTCAGAGCCCCTCCAGTTCTACAGTCTTTCCAATTGAATTATCTAGCTCTATCTGTGTATAGCTACAAGAAATGAGTAGAGTGAGAGTTTATTTTGTGTCCCATCCAGAAGTTTATTCTAGAAACAGATTATATTTTGAGTCAACTATGAAGTGGCTACTCGCTAAGATAAGCTTTCTATTTGCTGACAATGATTGGCTGCCTCAAGCTGCCTTGAGCTCCCAGTCACTGGAAACTTTTTTTTTTTTTTTTAAGGCTGGATATAACCATTTATCGCAGTCCCTGCAGATGGGATTTTTACCCTGGGCGGCAGATTACCTCTAAATTCTGATAACCTTTAAGGTCCCCTCTGATTCAAAATCTATTATTCTTAGATAAGGCCCAGGAGCATTTTTCTGAGACTGCCCCAGAAAAAAATTTAATAACTCCAGGCACACAATGACTCTTGTTCATCATTTACCTGTTACTGCCACCTGCCTCCCTTGCTTTCCATTAAGTTTGCAAAGAGTAGAAGATCTGGCTTCTGGGCTGCAATTTAATACGTGTGCAAAAGTAATATCAGAATCCTGCCATTAATAGGGCTGTACTCCAAGGAACAGGGCATGCTTTATTAGTTCCTCATCAATTAAGCAAGGGAAACCTTCAGGCTTCAAAACGAACTGTGTCTCAGTGGCGACAGAGAGAGATGATTTTGTCTACAAGACGGAAATCCACAGGGGACAATGAATGCCTCTGTTCCACATGGGGAAAGGGTGGGGGTCATATCCGCCCTCAGCAGCTATTTTCAGTGACAGAGAAAAATCCCCTCCTGAGGGAGGGCGTGACAAACAAGGTGACTGGGGGCTTTCTCAAACTCCACATTGTTCCATACCAAGATTCCAAGATACCAAGGTACTCTGTAGGAACACACATGGGGAATCCCAAACAAAGGAAACTTTTTCCTATGACAATATTTTTTCTTTAAAAAAAGTCATGGGCTGGGCATAGTGGCTCACTCCTATAATCCCAGCACTTTGGGAGGCCAAAGCAGTCGGATCACTTGAGGTCAGGAGTTTGAGACCAGCCTAGCCAATATGGTGAAACCCCGTCTCTAATAAAAATACAAAAATTAGCCAGGCATGGTGGTGGGCACCTATAATCCAGCTACTCGGGAGGCTGAGGCAGGAGAATTGCTTGAACCCAGGAGGCAGAGGTTGCCATGAGCTGAGATCGTACCACTGCACTCCAGCCTGGGTGACAGAGCAAGATTCCCTCTTAAAGAAAAAAAAAAGTCATGGATAGTAGTGACATCTATGTCTCAACATACCAGTGCAGAAAGAGTTCAGAACTTCAAGGTATACCAGGTGGGGCACACAGGGATGGAAGGAGATGATGGCTATCAGGTGTTATTATGGGACATAGTGAGAGGCAAGGACTGTAAAGTGGTAATGCTAGAAAATTAGGCTGATGCCCAGTCATGGAGGCCCTTGTGTGCCCAGTTACATGCTCCTGCAGGTGTTAAAGAGCCAGTAAAGGATTATATAAAGGGAAGTGATGTAGACGCAGCTCTGTCCACCACATACTGAGGGGACAGACTGGGATGCTCCACAGGCTTCGGAAGCCAAGGAAACAAGCTTTAATTGGAGATATTAGTTTGGGCATCATTAGGGTATAAGTAGATGATAAAGTCTGAGTGTTTGTCTCCTCCAAATCTCATGTTGAAATGTGATCCCCAGTGTTGGAGGTGGGGCCTAGTGGTGGCTGTTCAGGTCATGGGTGCGGATCCCTCATGAATGGCTTGGTGGGGTCCTCAAGATAATGAGTGGGTTCTTGTTCTGTGAGTCCCCGTGAGAACTGACTGTTGGGAGAAACCTGGCACCTCCTCCTGCTGCTCCCATCTCTCTTGCTCCCTTTCCTACCCTGTGACATGCCTACTCCCCCTTCTCCTTCCAACAAGATTGGAAGCTTTTTGAAGCCTCACCAGAAGCAGATGCTGATGCCACACTTCTTGCACAGCCTGCAGAACCATAACGCAAATCAACGTCTTTTATTATTTTTTAAAATGTATCTATTTTTGATGGACATTTAGGTTGGTTCCAAGTGTTTGCAATTGTGAATAGTGCCACAATAAACATACGTGTGCATGTGTCTTTATAGCAGCATGATTTACATCCTTTGAGTATATACCCAGTAATGGGATGGCTGGGTCAAATGGTATTTCTAGTTCTAGATCCTTGAGGAATCGCCACACTGTCTTCCACAATGGTTGAACCAGTTTACAGTCCCACCAACATTGTAAAAGTATTTCTATTTCTCCACATCCTCTCCAGCACCTGCTATTTCCTGACTTTTTAATGATTGCCATTCTAACTGGTGTGAGATGGTATCTCATTGTGGTTTTGATTTGCATTTCTCTGATGGCCAGTGATGATGAGCATTTTTTCATGTGTCTATTGGCTGCATAAATGTCTTCTTTTGAGAAGTGTCTGTTCATGTCCTTAGCCCACTTTTAGATGGGGTTGTTTGTTTTTTTCTTGTAAATTTGTTTGAGTTCTTTGTAGATTCTGGATATTAGTCCTTTGTCAGATGAGTGACAATAAGAACACATGGACACAGGAAGGGGAACATCACACATCAGGGCCTGCCGGGGGTTGGGGGAGTGGGGAGGGATAACATTAGGAGATATACCTAATGTATATGACGAGTTAATGGGTGCAGCACACCAACATGGCACATGTATACATATGTAACGAACCTGCACGTTATGCACATGTACCCTAGAATTTAAAGTAAAATTTAAAAAAAATTATCTATTTTTGAGACACAGTCTCACTCTATTGCCAAGGCTGGAGTGTTGGAGTGTAGTGGTGGGATCACAGCTCACTGCAACCTCTGCCTCCCAGGTTCAAGTGATCCTCCTGCCTCAGCCTCCCAAGTAGCTGGGATTACAGGTGTGCACCATCATGCCTGGCTATTTTTAAGTTTATTTTTGTGGAGACAAGGTTTCACTATATTATCCAGCCTGCCTCTTTTCTTTGTAAATCACCCAGTCTCAGTATTTCTTTACAGCCATGCAAAATGAACTAAGGCAGTAGGTGACAAGGTCATGGAAAGTACGAAACCACCCAAAGGAACAGAAAATATGACAAGTATGAAGAAAATCAGGAACTTGTGTGTGAGATCAGAAAGCAACACATGAATCCATACAAGAACGACCAGGAGAGTCGGGAGAGCAAGGGGGCCCGGAGAGAGACACCATCAAAGCACCGTAGAGTGCCACCTTCTTCCATCTGAGCACTGCTTCCTGTCTGGGGGATGGGGAAGGAGGTACTTACATGCAGGCAAATCTGAATCAAGGGTGAACTCTCCTTGGATATCAATTTTATTCTTGGAACTAAAGAAAAGAACAGGCATACGGAGATACAGGATGATAAAGTGGACACGGCCCTGGTCTTGGTGCCAAAAGGTTGAGTTCTGATTTCTGTC
The DNA here is from genome assembly GCF_000001405.40 of Homo sapiens. Lineage (NCBI taxonomy): Eukaryota > Metazoa > Chordata > Mammalia > Primates > Hominidae > Homo > Homo sapiens. Next base: position 41,025,680 of record NC_000008.11, read on the forward strand.
CATTCTGTGTGACCTTGGGAAGGGCACTTTACTCTTCGCAGCCTTTATTGTCTTATCTGGAAATTAAGGGTGTTGTTTGGTATGTTCTCTGCTCACAACTCAAAAGTCATTTCTATTAGGAGATGAAGTTGACCATTGTCTCCCCAGCCAAGTCGAACCAACAATCACCATCCTTCCCAATGCCAGAAATATATCTAATTTAATGCAAGTGGCAAGCTATTTCAAAAAATGTCACGTTTCCTTTTCTACCTTAAACCTGCCATAACGTACAGGCCCCAGGTCATATCTGGCTCTAATATGAAAATCATAAGCTCTGTTCCTTCTGATCAACAGGAGGAACATTCCTCTTGGACTACTCTAAAAGTCATCACAGAACATTCTTAAAAGTCTTGAATGAATCATTACATTCAAGCTTCTACAAGCTCATTTTGGGAAATGCAGTATTTCAGGGCACAGAGGGACAATTTTACATGCACCTTAAGTGGGGACTTGTTGACATTCACCCATCCTCTGCCAGGAGCATTGTTCTACTGTGCAGCAAGAACAAAGTCCCAGTCCACATTATGAGATATTCTTGTCCAAAGCCCCAGACACACACATCTCAAGTTACTGCAGCCCAAATCTCTACGTTCCAAGATACTCCTGGCCAGAGAAAAGGTAAAACAATAGTTCTTGGGGGAGAAAAAAAGGCCTCTTATTATAAAGACAATCCTTATAAAGAAATCTTGGCTGGGCATGGTGGCTCATGCCTGTAATTCCAGCACTTTGGGAGGCAGAGGTGGACAGATTCCCTTAGGTCAGGAGTTCAAGACCAGCCTTGCCAACATGGCAAAACCCAGTCTCTGCTAAAAATAAAAATAAAAAAAAATAGCCAGTCATGGTGGCATGCAACTGTGGTCCCAGCTACTCAGGAGGCTGAGGCAGGTGGATCGCTTGAGCCTGGGAGGGCGAGGCTGCCATGAGCTGTGATTGCATCATTCCATCCCAGCATGGGTGACAGAGTAAGACCTTGTCTCAAAAAAAAAACAAAGGCAAGAAAGCAAGACAGAAAGGAAGGAAGGAAGGAAGGAGGGAAGGAGGGAGGGAGGGAGGGAAGGAAGGAAGGAAGGAAAGAAGGAAGGGAAGGAGGGAAAGAGGGTGGGAGGGAGGGAAAAAAGAAAGAGAGAGAGAGAAAGAAAAAGAAAGAAGAAAGAAAGGAAAGAAAGAGAGAAAGAAAGGAGAGAAAGAAAAAGAAAGAAAGAAAGAAAGAAAGAAAGAAAGAAAGAAAGAAAGAAAGAAAGAAAGAAAGAAAGAAAGAAAGAAGGAAAAGAAAGGAAGGAAGGAAGGAAGGATGGTGGGAGGGAGGGAAGGAAGGAAGGAAGGAAGGAAGGAAGGAAGGAAAGAAGGAAGGAAGGGAAATCTCTGACCCCTTGCTTAGGAAAAGAAACCTCTGACCCCTTGCCTAAGTGACTAAGCTATCCCTGCGTAAAGGTGTATAAAGGACCAAATGTGGCTTGACGGTCACAGCGCTGAGACTTGAGTGCTTGCCATCACCTCTCCATGCATCCTGACCATCAGTGAAGGCAGAATCGGTTTTAAAATATTCAAGACGTGGTCCCTAGTACTACAATAGTACCAGCGCATAAAACCGAGGTGTGTCAGTGATTCATTCTATGCCTGTAGCGGATAATATACGGAGTAGCCAGCTGAAGAACTGTGCTTGTCTCTAAAGAGTTCAACAGCAGGCATCACCAGCCCAGCCCACCATTAGTCCTGATACGGTGCTGTCATCTCCATTTCCTGGAACGTTTGAAAAGTCCAGGGACCTCCTTCCTCTCTTTCCATCTGGAAACCATGTCACTGAGACTAGTGTCAGGAGAAAGTGTAGCAAATCGCAGCAGAAAGAGACCAGATAGACGACAACATCTGTGAATTGGGATGAGCCAAACCCCAGTGCCGCTGTGTCCCCACTTTAAGACTGGAGCAGCCAGATTCCCTCTGCCCCCACTGTTCCACGCTGTCACCCCCACCCCCAGTGTCACCCTAGTCACTCGCACCCCTCTCCAAACTACAAACCCATACCTGATTGCCTCTGCCTGCCAACCACTGCTACACACCTCAGCGGTGAAACCCATCCTCACATCACAGCCCCTTCCAGAAACCGCTGAATTCTAAGAAGGCTGAGTGTCTGACATCCCTCAGGGAGTACCAGGCCTCCAACCCCAACTGCCAGACCCCACGTCTCTGCTTTCATCCAAGTCCACACATAGAAGTCCATTCAGTCTTTTATTCTCTATGCTTATCATGGGCTGCGCTGCCTCTCCCAAACCTAACCACCCCCAAGTCTTGCCATGGTCCAGTCTGTAATTCCCAGCCCTTCATTACTCCATTCTCTCATAGTTCTGGGCCCACATCTCCTGTCTGTGTCTCTCCCTCAGACTGTTCTCTGAGCTCTAGACGGCAGGTGCAGTGCTCGCAGACTTGTGCATCTGAGCAGCCTGCAAACATGACCCAAACCAGCACAGCCCGAGCAAGCTCGATGTCTGTGCCCTGACGTCTGCTCTTCCTAGGCGGTCACGGTCTCAACGAACAGCACTGTCATCACTAAGGATAACATTGAGAGTCATCCCTGACGCCTCGCTCCTTCCTGCTCTCAGCCCACTACATCTGATCCATCTGGAATCTTCTCCCTTCTACCTCCTGCACCTCTCAAACCCATTCACCTTAACTCCACTGCCCACAAATCAAGTCAGACCACCCTCCCTCACCTGGATGACTGTCATTGCCTGTTCATTAACCTTCCCGTGTTCATATTGTCCTCTCTATTTATTCTTCATCCTGAAAAGCAATCTTTATTTATTTATTTATTTATTTATTTATTTATTTGAAATGGAGTCTTGCTCTTGTCGCCCAGGCTGGAGTTCAATGGTGCAGTCTCGGCTCACTGCAACCTCTGCCTCCCAGGTTCAAGTGATTCTTCTGCCTCAGCCTCCCAAGTAGCTGGGATTACAGGTACCCACCACCAGCTAATTTTTGTATTTTTAGTAGAGACGGGGTTTCACCATGTTAGCCAGGCTGGTCTCAAACTCCTGACCTCAGGTGATCTGCTTGCCTCAGCCTCCCAAAGTGCTGGGATTACAGGTGTCAGCCCCCATGCTCGGCCTGCAATCTTCTTTTAAAAAATCAAGTCATCTTTCTGTTTAAATCCCATTAATAGCTTCCCACATCCTTTGGGCTGAGTCCAAATCCTTCCTGTGGCCTCATGTATCCTCAGCCTTCTCTGCCTGCCTCCCCTGCCTCACCCTTCCCCACTCCCTCTCTCACTCTGTGCTCCAGCAACGCCTGCTTTTTGCAATGCCTCTTGAATTTTCAACCGAAACATCGATTTCATAAGGAGTCTGGTCCTATACTTCATTTTATGATGCAAGCCCCACATCACCTCTGTCTCTAGCACCTAGAACCGCTGAAGGCAAGTGGTAAGCATGTCCTGAATGAATGCTTGCAGGAACAAATGAAGAAATCACCATTTCCTAGACCTTTCCTCTTTCCAGAAAAGTTTGCTTTCTAATGAGAATTGCATTTTCCAAAGTCAGTTTTCCCTGAATGGCCTGGCCTATGAAGACTTTATAGTTAAGGTGGCTACTTGTTATCCAAGTAAAAGTGACTGTTAAAAATAGTTAAAATGATGTGGGGTTCTTCTTTGCTTTTTTTTTTTTTTGGTTTTTTGGTTTTTTGTTTTAAGATGGAGTCTAGCTTTGTTAGCCAGGCTGGAGTGCAGTGGCATGATCTCGGCTCACTGCAGCCTCCGCTTCCCAGGTTCAAGTGATTCTCCTGCCTGAGCCTCCTGAGTAGCTGGGATTACAGGCCTGTGCCACCACACCCAGCTAATTTTTGTATTTTTAGTAAAGACAGGGTTTCATCATGTTGGTCAGGCTTGTCTCAAACTCCTGACCTCAAGTGATAGGCCTGCCTCAGGCTCCCAAAGTGCTGGGATTACAGGCATGAGCCACTTCGCCCATCCAAAATGATATATTTTTGAATATATATTTATTGACTGACATTGATTGTAGTATATTGGTAGACCAATAAAGTAGTTCTATTTGAAGATAAAATAATTCATAAAAGTAATTTCAAAAGGAAAAAGCCTCCATTGCAAAAATTAAACATTTTTTAAAACTATTGCAAAATTAGAAATACTTCTTTAAAAGTTTAAATAATGAAAATTTATACACTAAAACCAAAACAAATTATTGATATTGATTATCCAAACATTGGAGAATAATGATAGCAGAATTTCTATCTTGTATTATATATATTATATATAAAATATTTATTATATAACATATAATATAATATAAACTACATAACAATATATATTATATTATATATCCTAATATAATAACCTAATACATTATAATATACTATGCATCCCGTATAATTATGAAGGAATTCACGTATTTAGATCAGTTTGTAAGATGCATTTGTCTCAAACACCACAACATTGATTTTTTTAATCATTTCTTTCAAAATGTTCTTATTTTTAATTCTTTCATAAAATTGCCTACAATTATCTTCAAAGCTGCATTTTATGGTTAACAATATGAAATTGTTGACACATTCAATTGACCCTTTTCTGTAAACCACAATAATTTTATTTTAGAAAACATAGTCTGTAGAAGCGAATTCTGCTATGTGGAGAATAGTCTGAAATTTAATTTTTTTTACATTAAAATGTGCAAACCGGTGGGGTGCAGTGGCTGCAGTGTCTCACGCCTGTAATCCCAGCATTTGGGGAGGCCCAGGCAGGCAGATCACTTGAGGCCAGGAGTTCAAGACCAGCCTGGCCAACATGGCGAAACCCCATCTCTACTAAAAATACAAAAATTAGCTGGACATGGTGGTGGACACCTGTAATTCCAGCTACTCGGGAGACTAAGGCACGAGAATTGCTTGAACCTTGGAGGTGGAGGTTTCAGTGAGCCAAGATCACACCACTGCACTCTAGCCTGGAGAATAGAGTGAGACTCTGTCTCAAAAAAAGAAAAAAAGTATAAATATTTTAGCCCAAATCTTTTCACGGATAGCATTTTTTGTTGCCTCCACTCATAATAGCTCTCTTTGACAAATACTTTAATAAGACAAGGCATCAGAAAAATTGCCGGATCCTTTTGAACGTTCAGCTGTACTTAGATTGATGCAATGTTGTAGGTCTTCATTTCATTTCATTTTAGTACTAAATATATATTTTTCAGTTGAACCAAAGTGAAATCACAGAATGTCAAAATTAACTCCTGTTCACCATTTGCATTTGCATTGTTTAATTTATTCAATTCTCCCCTACTTTTATGAGGATAAACTTCAATGGTTTTCTGCTCGCAAACTTTGTTTTCGTTAATGGCAATACTACAATTGGCTGAAAGTTTCAAAATCTAAAGATTGTTGGTGTTCTGTTTATTGAATACTTTTATAAAGATTTTCAACACATTTTGAATAAAATGTAAATAAAAACTAAAGGACTCGTTTCCAAAAAATGTCAAAATCAACACAGAGCTTGGTTCACAAAGGCCCAGAAATTTCTAAAATCCGACCAGTGATAAGTAGCAAGAAAGAGAGCCCCAAACGCCATGCCAAACTTGTTATTTAATTCAACAATAACTTCATTAAGATAATTTCATAGTTTATTCTGTGTGTATCTGAAAACCTTCATAGATTGTGGCAACTGTGGCTTCTGTTTTAATTGGTAGAGTATCAGAGCATGTTTGGACACAAGTATGAATTTTCAGTGTACCAATTCCAAGTATATTTCTGCTCCACATCATTTTTTTTTGAGTAAGAACATTAGTTTTACCAAAATACGGTGTTCTGCCAGATTTTGTTTTTATTATCACTGTAAAAACTATAATTTTATCTTCAATGTGGAACTTTATAACTACATTTACAATAGTATTCACAACAATGTTCAGATGCTGAATTTGAGGAAACTTCCAGAAGCTTTACTTTGATGAATTGGACAAAAAAAAAAATCTATTATTGCAAGCAACTGATTTTTCTACTTGGAGCATCTGATTACACTTTATAAAGCTGGCATCACCTAACTGCATGATGAGTTTTTCTGCTAATGACACACATCAGTAGCTATGATTTTATTTTTTGTTTGTACCCAGGAAAACTTGGAATTGAAAATGAGTGAAATTAATTTAGAAGATATAGATGATATAAATAAATACATAGGTATAAATGAAAAGTCATACTTCTCAGAGTAATCTTAAAACATACTTTCTGCCACTGCCTACAATCTTCTTAAAATAACTACCATAGTAACTTTTGAAATACATGTGGCTGTTCCTTTATCAGATTTGAGACAGCTGGTACTGATACCTCTGTGGTCCTCATAGTGCACAGCAAATGTTAACAAACATTATCATTTTGTACATATTATATGTCTATCATCAATGTTCTTACAAAACAGAAATTTAGTACTTTATTTTTATTAAATTTAATACTTTATTTTATTAAATATGTGCTTGTCTTAGCTCATTTTTGCAAATAAGTTTAGGGCAAGCTTGTCTAACCCACACCCAAGACTTTGAATGCAGCTCAAACAAATTTGTAAACTTTCTTAAAACATTATGAGATTTTGAGAGGATTCTTTTCTTTTTCTTTTTCTTTTTCTTTTTCTTTCTTTTTTTTTTCTTTTTCTCATCAGCTATTGTTAGTGTTGGCGTATTTTATGTGTGGCCCAAGACAATTCTTCTTCCAATGTGGCCCAGAAAAGCCAAAAGACTGGACACCTCTGGTTTAGGGCAAGATAAAAATGCATTTCAAAAAATTTAAGTAGCAGGGTGCAGTGGTTCATGCCTGTAATCCCAACACTTTGGGAGGCTAAGGCGGGTGGATTGCTTGAGGTCAGGAGTTTGAGACCAGCCTGGCCAACATGGCAAAACCCCATCTCTACTAAAAGTACAAAAATTAGCCAGGTGTGGTGGGGCAGGCATCTGGTCCCAGCTACTCAGGAGGTTGAGGCAGGAGAATTGCTTAAACTTGGGAGACAGAGGTTTCAGTGAGCCAAGATCATGCCACTGCACTCCAGCCTGGGTGACAGAGTGAGACTGTCTCAAAAATAAAATAAAATAAATAAATAAATAAAAATAAGTAAATAGCAATATATTACACCATACAATAAATGAAGGCCTCCAGGTGCATTTTAGTGGAACTGTTAATAATAACAGCTCAGTGCTTGCTTCAGCAGCACATACACTAAAATTGGAATGATACAGAAAAGATTAGCATGGGCCCTGCATGAGGATGATGTGCAAATTCGTGAAGTGTTCCATATTTTTACTTTAAATTTCATATGTAACCAAAAATGAGCCTGCATAGCCAAGACAATCCTAATCAAAAAGAACAAAGCTGGAGGCATCCTGCTACCTGACTTCGAACTATGCTACAAGGCTACAGTAGCCAAAAGAGCATGGTACTGGTACCAAAACAGATTTATAGACCAATGGAACAGAACAGAGGCCTTAGAAATAACACCACATATCTACAACCATCTGATCTTTGACAAACCTGGCAAAAAGAAGCAATGGGGAAAGGATTCCCTATTGAATAAATGGTGTTGGGAAAACTGGCTAGCCATATGCAGAAAGCTGAAACTGGACCTCTTCCTTACACCTTATACAAAAATTAACTCAAGATGGATTAAATACTTAAACATAAGACCTAAAACTATAAAAACCCTAGAAGAAAACCTAGGTAATACCATTCTAGACATAGGCATGGGCCAAGACTTCATGACTAAAACACCAAAAGCAATGACAACAAAAGCCAAAATTGACAAATTGAATCTGATTAAACTAAAGAGCTTCTGCACAGCAAAAGAAGCTATCATCAGAGTGAACAGGCAACCTACAGAATGGGAGAAAATTTTTGCAATCTATTCATCTGACAAGGGGCTAATATCCAGAATCTACAAAGAACTTAAAGAAATTTACAAGAAAAACAAACAACCCCATCAAAAAGTGGGCAAAGGATATGAACAGACACTTCTCAAAGAAGACGTTTATGTGGCCAACAAACATATGAAAAAAGCTCATCATCACTGGTCATTAGAGAAATGCAAATCAAAACCACAATGAGATACCATCTCAGGCCAGTTAGAGTGGCTATCATTAAAAAGTCAGGAAACAACAAATGCTGGAGAGAATGTAGAGAACTAGGAACACTTTTACACTGTTGGTGGGAGTGTAAATTAGTTCAACCATTGTGGAAGACAGTGTGGTGATTCCTCAGGGATCTAGAACTAGAAATACCATTTGACCCAGCAATCCCCTCACTGGGTATATACCCAAAGGACTATATATCACCCTACTATAAAGACACATGCACATGCATGTTTATTGTGGCACTATTCACAATAGCAAAGACTTGGAACCAACCCAAATGCCCATCAATGATAGACTGGATAAAGAAAATGTGGCACATATACACCAGAGAATACTATGCAGCCATAAATAGGTTGAGTTCATGTCCTTTGCAGGGACATGGATGAAGCTGGAAATCATCATTCTCAGCAAACTAACACAGGAAGAGAAAACCAAACACCGCATGTCCTCACTCATAAGTGGGAAGTGAACAGTGAGAACACATGGACACAGGGAGGGGAACATCACACACCAGGGCCTGTCACAGGGCAGGGGGGCTAGGGGAAGGATAGCGTTAGGAGAAATACCTAATGTAGATAACAGGTTGATGGGTGCAGCAAACCACCATGGCACGTGTATACCTATGTAACACAGCTGCACGTTCTGCACATGTACCCCAGAACTTAAAGTATAATTTAAAAAGAAAAAAAGAAAAACAAAACCCTCCAAATGCCATTGTCAGAGGTTCTGTTCTCCTCTTACTGCAGGAGCCTGCAGGACAGCAAACGGCAGTCTCTTCCAAAATGTTCCAATCAACCCCTAAGTAGACACTCTAGGACTTTATAACATTTTAAACAAGGCCACTCACCTATCTTTTGCCTGACTTAAAATTTCTCTGAGATATTACATTGACCAAACTGTTAATAAACATGCATACATATTAAAAAATAATAATAACACTTCATTTTATTAGTTTTTTTTGTTTGTTTTCAGACAGGATCTTACTCTGTTGCCCAAGCTCAAGTGTAGTGGCACAATCACAGTTCACTGCAGCCTCAACTTTCCGGACTCAAGCAATCCTCCCCGCTCAGCCTCCAGAGTAGCTGGGACTATAGGCATGTGCCACCACATCTGGCTAACGGGATTTTGCATTTTTAATAGAGATGGGGTCTTGCTATCTTGCTCAGGCTGATCTCAAACTCTTGGGCTCAGGTGATCCACTCACCTCAGCCTCCCAAAGTGCTGAGATTACAGGTGTCAGCCACCATGCCTGGCCAATATCTCATTTTAAAATGAAGAATCTAAGACATGTTTAAATCAAACTGGCTGCTAAGGCAATGGGCACAAACTAACTCAGTCCCAGGCAAACCAATATATGTGCCTCCTATATTCTTCCCTGGCACGAGATTTTTATCTATTTCCCATTCCTGTATAGGGGTAAAATGTGATAAAAATTTGGAAAATTCGCTGGGCACAGTGGCTCACTCCTGTAATCCCAGCACTTTGGGAAGCCAAGGTGGGTGAATCATTTGAGGCCAGGAGTTCAAGACCAGCCTGACCAACAAGGTGAAACGCTGTTTCTACTAAAAATACAAAAATTAGCCAGGTGTGGTGGCAGACACCTGTAATCCCAGCTACTGGGGAGGCTGAGGCAGGAGAATTGCTTGAACCTGGGAGGCGGAGATTGCAGTGAGCCGAGATCATGCTGCTGCACTCTAGCCTGGGTGACAGAGTGAGACTTCATCTCAAAAAAAAAAAAAAAAAAAAAACCATTGTTCCAAAACCTGCATAAATATCTTCTTCCACTAAGCATTTCTCCTGAAGCAATGCTTTAGTAGAGTTTTACTAACAAAAGTAACGCGTATCTTGTAATCCACTTACAGACCCTCTGGCATCAGCAAAGTCAGATGCCATCTCTGCAGAAGCTGCCAACCTCCCTTGTTTTTCCCTCAAAGGGGAAGTCAAGAAATTCAGTTGTTGCCAGCAAGATAAACCCACGTTTCAAACTACCTTTAGTCAAAACTCATTAGTGCAAACCTGACTGATCCAAAATTCACAATAGTCTCTTTATGCTGGACTGAAATTAAGGTTTGCTATTGTTATTAAACAGGGAACAAAGGGGAAATTGGATGCTGAACAATGGATAAGGATACTTTCTATTCAGGAAAGCATTTCCTGATAGGTTCTCTAAGACAAGGGCAGCCTCCTCATTTCCACTGTTTCCTCTGACAACAGTGTTTATACCTCATGGGTGTCTGAAAAACAAAAAGCAGAAGTTGACTGTGAATTTTTTTTACTACAGATATGCAATCGATAGAAACCAATCAATCTTTCTACTTCTCAAATGAGGATGGTTTGTACAGTTTGTAGACTTTCTCAGCTGTTCTTTCTTTAGCCAAGAGGTGGCAATACTGTAAGAGCACTAGAATCTGCTATTAGCAGAGCCACTAATGTGCTTTGTGGCCTTCGATGACAGCATGTACCTCTCTGCGCCATTGTGCCAGCGTTCCAGGCTCTGAGGGGATGCAGTTTCACGTCAGTAGAGGCAAGGGGACCAAGTGAGAACATGCAGTTATTTGCTGCCAGCATCCTCTGCCCAGCCATCAGTTCCTTGAAGGCAGAGCCCAATTGCCTCCTTCTTGTCTTTATCGAGTTACCAAGCACAGATAGTGCCTGGTGCCCAGCAGAGACTCAGCAAACAATTCTTCAATTGAGTTCATCACTGCATTCCAAAGGGCCAGGGTGCCACAGCAATGACTGTGTGCTATTTGAATAGATTTGGACCTCATTTTGCCCTCTAAATCTAGTAAACCCTTTTTCCCAAGAATGACAAATTAAATTAAGTTAAATAGCACAAGCATTTTCAGACACAATAATCTAGACAGGATGTACACAGCATGCCAGCATGCACAACAAATCTTATTTCTTCCTTTTTTTTTTTAATGAAGATGGGGGTCTTGTTTTGTTTTGTTTTGTTTTGTTTTGTTTGAGACAGAGTCTTGCTCTGTTGCCCAGGCTGGAGTGCAGTGGCAAGATCTTGGCTCACTGCAACCTCCGCCTCCCAGGTTCATGTGATTCTCCCACCTCGGCCTCCGGAGTAGCTGAGGTTACAGGTGCGCACCACCTTACCCAGCTAATTTTTGTATTTTTTTTGTAGAGACAGGGTTTCACCATGTTGGTCAGGCTGGTCTCAAACTCCTGACCTCAAGTAATCCACCCACCTCAGCCTCCCAGAGTGCTGGGATTACAGATGTGAGCCACTGCACCAGGTCAGGGTCTTGCTTTATTGCTCAGGCTGGTCTCAAACTCCACAGTTCAAGTGATCCTCCTGCCTCTGCCTCTCAAAGTGCTGGGATTACAGGTGTGAGCCCACTGTGCCCAGCCTTGGGACAGAGTTTTTCTTGTCTTTTTAGCTGCAGCAGCTGGGCCCTGCCCACAGGGCTATAGCTTAAATTGTTCTTATTAAAAATCACAATTTTTGGTGAGCTCTCACATACATTATCTAAGATTATGATAAATGCTATTATTGCCCATATCGTCCTCAAATTCTTGCTGAATTTAACAGACCTGCCCAGAAAGTGTGCTGACAACATAGTCACAGTAAAACAACACAGCTTCTCAAAGGCGAGCTGGTAAACAGCAGCCAGAATGCAAACCCAAGGCCATCTGGGGGACGCTCTTCACAACCAGGCTGTCCTGTTCCCACATCAACACTTCAAGGTTGGACTTGTGGTCCTAGCCATGCAGGGGGTGAGAAAAACTGAAAATAAAGATAGAGTGGAGAAAAACTCAAGTGCTGAACTTTGAGCAATTGCAGTCAGAAGGATTTGGAATTCTCTATAATTAGTATTGCTAGCTGCAAGGAAATGGATTTGTGATTGCTTTTTGGAACTAATCTGGTAAATGTGTATTAAATTGGCAAAGGGTAATGGTTGGTATCCCTGGGGAAATGGGAGTCCAGTCAACTGGAAACAAGAGGGTGAGCTGAGATGCAGAGGCACCCGAGCACTTATCCTGCTTTCTCCATTAGATGAAAGAACCAAGGGAGCTCAATGTTTGCAAACTTTTCTCTATAATAGTGGTTCCTGCTGGAATAGCTGGAGAAGCTTAGAAACTATTGATACCTGGACCCTACCCCAAAAAATATTGATTTCACTGATGTGGAGTACAGCTTGGGTACCCAGGTTGGCTTATTTTTCTTTTGTTTTTTAAATCTTATTTATTTTTGAATAGGGAATACATGCATATAGCATACAATTAGAAATGTACACAAGGACAATACAATGCAATAAATGATATATGATGTTGAGCATTTTTTCATGTGCATAATTGCCAAATGTATATCTTCTTTCATGAAATATATCTGTTCAGATATTTTGCCCTTTTTTTTTTTTTCCTAACAGAGACAAGGTCTCCCTACGTTGCCCCAGATTGGTCTTATATTCCTGAGGTGAAGTGATCCTCCTACTTCTGCCTTCCAAAGTGCTGGGATTAAGGCATGAGCCACCATGTCCTTCCACTTTTGCTCATATTTTTAGTTGGGTTGTTTGTTTTCCTTCTTTAAAAATTTTTTTATTTCCATAGGTTACTGGGGAACAGGTGGTGTTTGGTTACATAAGTAAGTTCTTCAGCGGTGATTTGTGAGATTTTAATGTACCCATCACCCAGTTCGTAGTTTTTATTCCCCACCCCTTCCCACCCTTTTCCTCTGAGTCCCTAAACTCCATTGTGTCATTCTTATGCCTCTGCATCCTCCTAGCTTAGCTCCCACTTATGAGTGAGAACATTCGATGTTCAGTTTTCCATTCCTGAGTTACTTCACTTAGAATAATAGTCTCCAGTCTCATCCAGGTTGCTGTGAATGCCATTAATTCATTCTATTTTATGGCTGAGTAGTATTCCATAGTCTATATATACCACAGCTTCTTTATCCACTCATTGATTGATGGGCATTTGGGTTGGTTCCACATTTTTGCAATTGCGAATTGTGCTGCTATAAACATGCGTATGCAAGTATCTTTTTCGTATACTGACGTCTTTTCCTCTGGGTAGATACCCAATAGTGGGATTGCTGGATGAAATGGTAGTTCTACTTTTAGTTTTTAAAGAAATCTCCATACTGTTTTCCATAGTGGTTGTACTAGTTTACATTCCCACCAGCAGTGTAGAAGTGTTCCTGGTTCACCACATCCATGCCAACATCTATTTTTTTTTTTTTGATTATGGCCATGCTTGCAGGAGTAAGGTGGTAATCACTGTGGTTTTGATTTGCATTTCCCCCATGGTTAGTGATGTTGAGTATTTTTTTCATATGTTTGTTGACCACTTGTATATCTTCTTTTGAGAATTGTCCATTCATATCCTTAGCCCACTTTTTGATGGATTGTTTGTCTTCTTCTTGCTAATTTGAGTTTATTGTAGATTCTGGATATTCATCCTTTATCAGATGTATAGATTGTGAAGATTTTCTCCCACTCTGTGGGTTGTCTGTTTATTCTGCTGACTGTTCCTTTTGCCATGAAAAAGCTCTTTAGTTTAAGTCCCAGCTATTTATCTTTGTTTTTATTGCATTTGCTTTTTGGGTTCTTGGCCATGAAATCCTTGCCTAAGCCAATGTCCAGAAGGGTTTTTCCGATGTTATCTTCCAGAATTTTTAGATTTTCAGATCTTAGATTTAAGTCTTTGATCCATCTTGAGGTAATTTTTGCATAAGATGAGTGATGAGGATCCCGTTTCATTTTTCTACATGTGGCTTGCCAATTATCCTACCACCATTTGTTGAATAGGGTATTTCCCCCACTTTATGTTTTTGTTTGCTTTGGCAAAGATCAGTTCACTGTAAGAATTTGGGTTTATTTCTGGGTTCTCTACTACGTTCCATTGGTCTGTGTGCCTATTTTTATACCAATACCATGCTGTTTTGGTGACTGTGGCCTCATAGTATAGTTTGAAATTAGGTAATGTGATGCCTCCAGATTTGTCCTTTTTGCTTAGTTTGCTTTGGCTATGTGGGCTCTTTTCTGGTTCCATATGAATTTTAAGATTGCTTTTTCTAGTTCTGTGAAGAATGATGGTAGTATTGTGATGGGAATTGCAGTGACTTTGTAGATTGCTTTTGGCAGTATGGTCATTTTCACAATATTGATTCTACCCATCCATGAGTATGGGATGTGTTTCCATTTGTCTGTGTCATCTATGATTTCTTTCAGCAGTGTTTTATAGTTTACCTTGTAAAGTTCTTTCACCTCCTTGGTTAGGTATATTCCTAAGTATTTTATATTTTATTTTGCAGCTACTGTAAAAGGAGTTGAGTTCTTGATTTGATTCTCAGCTTGATTGCTGTTGGTGTATAGGAGAGCTGCTGATTTGTGTACATTAATTTTGTGTCCAGAAACTTTGCTGAATTCTTTTATCAGTTCTAGCAGCTTTTTGGATGAGTCTTTAGGGTTTTCTAGGGATACAATCATATCATCAGCAAACAGCAAGAGTTTGACTTCCTCTTTATAGATATGGATGCCATTTATTTCTTTCTTTTGTCTGATTGCTCTGTCTAGGACTTCCAGTACTATGATGAAGACAATTGGTGACAGTGGGCATCCTTGTCTTGCTCCAGTTCTCAGGGGAAATGCTTTCAACTTTTCCCCATATAGTTCAATGTTGGCTGTGGGTTTGTCATAGATGTCTTTTATTACATTGAGGTATGTCCCTCGTATGCTGATTTTGCTGAGAGCTTTAATCATAAAGGAATGCTGGATTTTGTCAAATGCTTTTTCTGCATCTATTGAGATGATCATATGATTTTTGTTTTTAATTCCATTTATGTGGTGTATCACATTTATTGACTTGCTTATGTTAACCCATCCCTGCATCCCTGGTATGAAACCCACTTGATCATGGTGGGTTATCTTTTTGGTATGTTGTTGGATTCAGTTAGCTATTATTTTTTGAGGATTTTTGCATCTGTGTTCATCAGGGGTATTGGTCTGTAGTTTTCTTTTTTGTTATGTCCTTCCCTGGTGTTGGTATTAAGGTGGTACCGGCTTTATAGAATAATTTAGAGAGAATTCCCTCTTTATCTTGTGGAATAGTGTCAATAAGATTGGTATCAATTCTTCTTTGAATGTCTGGTATAATTCAGCTATGAATCTATCTGGTCCTGAACTTTTTTGTTGGTAATTTTTTGATTACCATTTCAATCTTGCTGCTTGTTATTGGTCTGTTCAGAGTATCTAATTCTTCCCGATTTAAGCTAGGAGGATTGTATCTTTCCAGGAATTTATCCATCTCCTCTAGGTTTTCTAGTTTATGTGTGTAAAGGTGTTTGTAGTAGTCTTGAATGATCTTTTGTATTTCTATGATGTAGTTGTAATATCTCCTGTTTCGTTTCTGATTGAATTTATTTGGATCTTCTCTCTTCTTGGTTAATCTTTCTAATGGTCTATCAATTTTATTTATCTTCTCAAAGAACCAGCTTTTTCTTTCATTTATCTTTTGTATTGTTTTTTTGTTTCAGTTTCATTTAGTCCTGCTCTGATCTTTCTTCTGCTGGGTTTGAGTTTGGTTTGTTCTTGTTTCTCTAGTTCCTTGAGGTATGACCTTAGATTGTCTGTTTGTGCTCTTTCAGACTTTTTGATGTAGGCATTTAATGCTATGAACTTTCCTCTTAGTGTTGCCTTTGCTGTATCTCAGAGATTTTGATAGGTTGTGTCACTATTGTCATTCATTTCAAAGAATTTTTTAATTCCCATCTTGATCTCTTTGTTGACCCAGTGATCATTCAGGAGCAGGTTATTTAATTTCCATGTATTTGCATGGTTTCAAAGGTTCCTTTTGGAGTTGATTTTCAATTTCATTCCACTGTAGTCTGAGAGAGTGCTTAATATAATTTCAATTTTCTTAAATTTATGGAGGCTTGTTGGGTGGCCTATCATCAGTCTGTCTTGGAGAAAGCTCCATGCACTGATGAATAGAATGTATATTCTGCGGTTGTTGGGTAGAATGTTCTGTAAATATCTGTTAGGTCCATTTGCTCTAGGGTATACCTTAAATCTATTGTTTCTTTGTTGACTTTCTGTCTTGATGACCTGTCTAGTGCTGTCAGTGGAGTACTGAAGTCCCCCACTACTATTATGTTGCTGTCTATCTCATTTCTTAGGTCTAGTAGGAATTGTTTTATAAATTTGTGAGCTCCAGTGTTAGGTGCATATTATGGGATTGTGATATTTTCCTGTTGAACAAGGCATTTTATCATTATATAATGTCCCTCTTTGTCTTTTTTAACTGCTGTTGCTTTAAAGTTTTTTTGTCTGATATAAGAATAGCTACTACTGCTCACTTTTGGTATCCATTTGCATGAAATATGTTTTTCCACCCCTTTACCTTAAGTTTATGTGAGTCCTTATGTGTTATAGGTGAGTCTCTTGAAGGCAGCAGGTGTTATCCATTCTGCAATTCTACATCTTTTAAGTGGAGCATTTAGGCTATTTACATTCAATATTAGTACTGAGATGTGAGACATGATTCCATTCATCATGCTGTTTCCTGTATACCTCAGTGTTTTTTTTTTTTTAATTCTAGTTTTGTTTCATAGGTCCTGTGAGATGTGTGCTTCAAGGAGGTTCTGTTTTGATGTGTTCCCAGGATTTGCTTCAAGATTTAGAGCTCCTTTTAGCAGTTCTTATAATGCTGGCTTGGTAGTGACAAATTCTCTCAGCATTTGTTTGTCTGAAAGAGACTGTATCTTTCCTTCATTTATGAAGCTTAGTTTCACTGGATACAAAATTCTTGGCTGATAATTGTTTTGTTTGAGGAAGCTGAAAATAGAGCCCCAATCCCTTCTAGCTTCTAAGGTTTCTGCTGACAAATCTGCTGTTAATCTAATAGGTTTTCCTTTGTAGGTTACCTGGTGCTTTTGCCTCACAGCTCTTCAGATTCTTTCCTTTGTCTTAACTTTAGATAACCTGATGGCAATGTAACTAGGCAATGATCTTTTTGTAATTAATTTCCCAGGTGTTCTTTGAGCTTCTTGTATTTGGATGTCTAGGTCTCTAGTAAGGCTGGTGAAGTTTTTCTCAATTCTTCCCCCAAATATGTTTTCCAAACTTTTATATTCATCTTCTTCCTCTGGTATATTGATTGTTCTTAGGTTTGATTTTTTAACATAATTCCTTACTTCTTAGTGGCTTTGTTCATATTTTCATGTTCTTTTTTCTTTGTCTCTGTTGGATTGGGTTAATTCAAAGACCTTGTCTTTGAGCTCTGAAGTTTTTCTTCTGCTTATTCAATTCTGTTGCTGAGACTTTCCAGAGCATTTTGCATTTCAATAAGTATATCCATTGTTTCCTGAAGTTTTAATTGTTTTTTTTTTGCTACCTATTTCACTGAAGATTTCTTCCCCTTATTTCTTGTATCATTTTTTTGAGTTCCTTAAATTGGGCTTTGCCTCTCTCTGGTGCCTCCTTGCTTAGCTTAATAACTACCTTCTGAATTCTTTTTCAGGTAAATCAGGGATTTCTTCTTGGTTTGGATCCATTGCTGGTGAGCTAGAGTGATTTTTTGGGGGTTGTTAAAGAACCTCATTTTGTCATATTTCCAGAGTTGGTTTTCTGGTTTCTTCTCATTTGGGTAGGGTCTGTCAGAGGGAAGGTTTAGGGCTTAAGGCTGTTGTTCAGATCCTTTTGTCCCATGGGGTGTTCCCTCAATGTAGTACTCTCTCCCTTTTCCTAGGGATGTGGCTTCCTGAAAGCCGAACTGTAGTAATTGCTATCTCTCTTCTGGATCTAGCCACCCAGCAGGTCTACAGGCTCTGGGCTGGTACCTGCGGTTGTCTGCACAGAGTCCTGTGATGTGAACCATCTGTGGATTTCTCAGCCATGGATACCAGCACCTGCTCCAGCGGAGGTGGCCGGCGGGTGAAAGGGACTCTGTGAGAGTCCATAGTTTTGGTTGTTTAATGCACTATTTTTGTGCTGGTTGGCCTCCTGCTGGGAGATAGTGCACTTCACTGAAGAGAATCAGGCAGTGGGCGGGGCCCCAGAACTCCCAAGAGTATATGCCCTTCTTCTTCAGCTACTAGGGTGGGTAGGGAAGGACCATCAGGTGAGGGCAGGGCTAGGCGTTTCTAAGCTCAGGCTTTCCTTGGGTGGGTCTTGCTGCAGCTGCTGTGGGGACCGTGGGTGTGTTTCCCAGGTCAATGGAGTTATATTCCCAGGAGGATTATGACTGCCTCTGTTGTGTCATGCAGATTGTTAGGGAAGTGGGGGAAAGCGGCAGTTGCAGGCCTCACCCAGCTCTCATGCAACCCAAAAGGCCAGTCTCACTGCCACCATGCCCCTTCCAACAGCACCGAGTCTGTTTCCAGGCAGTGGGTGAGCAGGGCTGAGAACTTGCCCCAGACTAGCAGCCTCCCAGCTGTGAAAGCAAGTAGGGCTTTCATGCTTCCCTGCATGTGAAGTCTGCACACCAGATTCACGGCCTCCCCTGAGTTCTGGCCAGGAGACTTCTCTTTGGTTGGAATTGTTACATAGTTCAGCTGGCGGTTTACTTCTCCCCGTGGCCTTTTCCCAGTACCTCTGGCAGCCCTCCCCAGGTACCCCTGTGAGGCAAGGCAGAAACAGTTTCCTAGGGGACCCAGAGAGCCCACAGAGCCTTTCCTGATGCTTCCTCTACCCCTGTATTTTGCTCTGCTCTCTAAACTGACTCAGCTCCTGGTAAGGTCAGAATCTTCTTCCATGATCTAGACCTTCAGGCTCCCCAGTGAGTGCATGTGTTCAGGGGTGAACAATCCCCCTTTCCCAATTCCACAGTTTGGGCACTAACAGTATTCGGGGTGTCCCCTGGGTCTTGCAGGAGTAATCTTCTTCCTTCAGAGGGTGTGTGGGTTCCCTTGCTGTTCCTGGTTTATTGCTGCAGGATTTCTGGAGCAAAAGTTCATGATGTGAGACTCCACATGCTGCTCTGTCTGAGTGGGAGCTGCAACCTATTTCTGCCTCCCATCCCCCATGATCCTTTGGTTGTTTTCTTACTGCTGAGTTTTTCTAGCTTCTATCTCAGTCACTCACTTATCCAGGAGGCAACTTACAGAGATCATTTTAAAATAGACAAGAAATAATATATATTTATATATAAAGTGAAAGTATGGAATGCACTGTTCTGCACTTTGCTTTGCTATGTTATCTATATAGCCTGAGTCTGCTTGTTTTTTAAAACATTTCCCCTATTATTAATATGTTGCATTAGTGAGGTACATGTGCTACAACTGATGTGCCAATATTTACAGGTTATTATTAACTAAAGTCCATAGTTTACATTAGGGTTCACTTTGTGTTATGCATTCTATGGGTTTTGACAAATATACTAATGACATGTATCCACCATTACAGTGTTACACAGAATAGTTTCACTGCCTTAAAAGTCTCCTGTGCTCCACCTATTCTTCTTTCCTTCCTTTCTTCCCCAACTCCAAGCACTGATCTCTTTACTGTCTCCAGAAGTTTACCTTTTCCAAATGTCACATAGTTAGAATAGTATACTATGTAGCTTTTTCAGATAGGTTTCTTTCACTTAGAAATACACACTTAAATTCCTCCATGTCTTTTTGTGGCTTGACAGCCTATTTATTTTTATCATTGAGCAATATTCCATTGTATGGATGTATGAAAATTTATTTAGCCATTCATCTATGAAACATCGTGGTTGCTTCCAAGTTTTGGCAATCTCAACTTATTTGGGTAAATACAATGGAGCATGATTGCTGAATCATATTATTAAGAGAATGCTTTGTTTTGTAAGAAACTGCCAGCCTGTCTTCCAAAGTGTCTGTGTGTCCGGAGTTTGTTCCTTCTGGTGGGTTTGTGGTCTCACTGACTTCAAGAATGAAGCCGTGGACCTTCGTGGTGAGTATTACAGCCCTTAAAGATGGCACAGACCCAAAGACTGAGCAACAGCAAGATTTATTGTGAAGAGCAAAAGAACAAAGTTTCCACAGTGTGGAAGGGGACCTGAGCGGGTTGCCACTGCTGGCTGGGATGGTCAGCTTTTATTCCCTTATTTCTCCCCACCCATGTCCTGCTGATTGGTCCTTTTTACAGCGTGCTGATTGGTCCATTTTACAGGATGTTGATTGGTCCATTTTACAGAGCACTGATTGGTCCATTTTACAAACCTCTAGCTAGCTACAGAACACTGATTGATGCGTTTTTACAGAGCACTGATTGGTGCATTTTACAAACCTCTAGCTAGCTACAGAGTGCTGATTGGTGCATTTTACAATCCTCTTGTAAGACCTAAAAGTTCTCCAAGTCCCAGAAGTCTGGGTTCTCCGACCCAGAAGTCCAGCTGGCTTCACTTCTCAGCTGCACCATTTTGCATTCCCACCAGTGATGAAGGAGAGCTCCTATTGCTCCACATGCTTGACAGCATTTAGTGTTGTCAGTGTTTTGGATTTTAGCCATTCTAATAGGTACGTAGTGGTGTCTCATTGCTGTTTTAATTTTAAAATCCCTAATGACATATGACATTGAGCATCTTTTTATATGCTTATTTGCCATCTGTATATCTTATTTGGTGAGATGTTTGTTCAGATATTTTGCTCATTTTTTAGTTGGGTTATTTTTCTTATTGCTGAGTTTTAAGAGGTATTTGTGTATTTTGGATATAAGCCCTTTAAGAGACACATGTTTTGTAAATATTTTCTTCTAGGCTGTGACTTATCGTTTCTTTCTTGGAACAGTATCTTTCCCCTGAACAGAAGTTTTTAATTTTACTGATATCCAACTTATCAATGTCTTTATTTCATGAGTCATGTATTTGGTGTTGTATTTAAAAGTCATCACCAAATCCAATGTCACCTAGATTTTTTCCTATGTTATCTCCTAGGAGTTTTATAGCTTTTTATTTAGAACTGTGATTTATTTTAGTTAATATTTGTGAAAGGCATAAGATATATAGGAATTTTCTGAATGGTATAGACTCTATATGAGTCTAGATTTTTGCATGGGGATGTCCAATTTTTCCAGCCCCGCTTATTGAAAAGATACCCCTTCTTGATTAAACTGCATTTGCTCCTTTGCCAAGCATTTATTGATTATATATACACCTAGAATCCTGGGTATCTGGGGATTTTAACCTCCTACCTCTAGGTGATCCTAACATGCAGCCAGCTTTGGGAACCAGTGCTTAGAGGAAAGTGCATGGATGCTTATAGAAGCTCCTCTGGTAAGATAATAGAAACCCAGCAGGCAGCAGCTTAGCAAGAATACACCTGCTTTATCCATTCTGGAAGGTCCTACCTGCAGGAAAATTGTCATCAGCAGTTGCATGTTCTGTTAGAATCCCAGCTCCAAGAAAGCCACCCCAAGACACGTTGCTGCTGCTTCTGCATGAACCGCTTCCCTACCTTCAAGGGGAAGATGCCTAACTAAAGAAAGTAGGAATTCATAGCAGGTAGATGTGCCTGTAGCCTCCTCCCTCCAATCCCTAAATCATCTGAGATGCTGCAGAGGGATGAGTGTGGCCAGGTGTTCTGGCATGAAGCAGAAGATGAGGCCAAAATGAGAATGGTAGAAGGAAAGGATTCAAACTCTCTCATTTTGGAGAAAGCCCCCATGGCTGGTTCTGATTAAGAGTTTCGCAAATCACTCCTTCATAAGAACAAAATATAGGAGCAAGGCCATGGCAGGTAGAAGAAATCTGGGCTTGAATATTGTGGCTTAGGAAGATAAGCAGGAAGAATAGGGCTGGGAAAACAAGTCCACATCAGTTCTGGTAGCAGAGTTGAGGTCTGCAGCTGGAGGCCTGGCACAGCCCCTGGGTCACCGAGATGGGAATGAGATCGCACAAGAGGGAGAGAGCCATGGCCAGGAACCAGGTGGCAACCTGGGCCAGAACAGAACCTGGGTGAGAAGAAATAAAAAGGGTCTGTCCCTAGTGCCTGCATGCCATCTGCTCTCAAAAGACATTGGGGACATAATAAGTAAACAAATGAAGGAGTGCTGCAGATTCAATCCCTTTAAATCACCCTTTCTGTGGTCAGTATAATAATAGCTCTTTTTTATGGATTTCACATTCTGTTCTAGGTGGTCACCTTATTAGGTAAATACTGTTCCCATGTGTTATAGATTGAATGGTGCCCCTCAAAAAGATACATTGCAGTCCTCATCCCCAATACTTCCAAGGGTGACCTTATTCAGAAATAGGACCTTTGCAGAGATAACGCAGTTAAAATGAGGTCATTGGATCAGACCCTCATCCAACATGGCTGGTGTCCTTATAAAAAGTGGAAATTTGGACACAGAGGCAGGGACACAGCGGGAAGGTGATGTGAAAACTCGCAGAGAGAAGACAACCACGTAACTGGAGTGACACAGCTCAAGCCACAGAACACCACAGATGGCCGCCAGCCCCAGAAGCAAGAAGAGGCAAGAAGGAGCTTCCCCAGATGCTCCAGAGGAGGTGCAGCCCTGCTGTCACCTTGCTTTCAGACTCCCAGCCTCCAGAACTGTGAGAGAATAAATAGCTGTTTTGCTGAGCCACCCAATTTCTGGTACTCTCTTACAGCAGCCCCAGGAAGCAAATATACCTGTCAAGGTGAAGCCATCAAGGTGCCAGGCTATTATGTAAATGGCCCAGATTCCTACAGCTGGGAAATGAGTACATTGCTATTTGGACCATGCTCTTATTTCTCCAAATCTTTGTTTCAGTCTACTATGCAGTCATGTTGAAAGTCTTCAGAAAAAAAATTATTCTAGGAAAGAAGTGACTTGCCTCTGCAAACTCCATGAGCTAGCCAAAACACTGTGAGTGCCCAAAGTGTGAGGGGAGAAAGTCTGCCTCCAAACACACATCCACACTGGGGAAACCTGAAAAATCCAAATCATGGAAGAAGGATTTAAACTTACCTAGAGCTGAAACAAATTTCGAGAGCCAAGCGAAATATAAAAGTAGAAGCAGTAGAAAGAGCCCTGTAGGCACTCCCAGTCCCCAGAGAAGCCCAAGGGAGGCATTTCTGGCTTTATCTCATAGGAGTCTTTGGGGAGGTCAGCCAGTGGAATTGAAGAAGGGCCACAGGAAGAAGAAGAGTTCTAGCTGAATCTCGTAATAATTTTGACTGAGCATGAATTTTTTCCTGGACAGAATCTGGGAAGGAGCAATAAACAGAAATTGCAGATATGACCACAGAAGCCATGGCAGACAGGGAGGGGTGAAGCCTGAAAGCCCTGCTTGCTTTCTCAGTGGAGAGGCTTGTAACCTGAAGCAAGATCTCAGCCCCGTGCACCAGAGGTCTGGATATAAATTCAGCTCTGTTGCTATTGAAGGAGCATGGTGGAAGTGAGACTGGCCCTGCTGGCTGCATGGGAGCTGGGTGAGGCCTGTCACTGCCAGCTTTCCCCCACTTCCCTGGCAACCTGTTTGAAGAAGCAAAGGCAGCCATGATTCCCCTTGGAACATCACTTGATTAGCCTGAGAACCAACCCCCCCATCTCCCACAGTGACTGCAGCAAGCCCTGCCCCAAGAGAGTCTGAGCTCAGACACGTCTAACACTGCCCCTACCTGATGGTATTTCTCTACCTGCCCTGGTAGCTGAAGACAAAAGACATAAACACATGGGAGCTCTATGGCTCTGCCCATCACCTGAGAAACCCAAATACTCCTGGATAGGAGACTGTAGGGCAAGCTTATAGCCCCACTATACTACAGCAGCTGATGCTGTTTTGAAAGCTTCACCTCCTGGCAGGAGGCCAACCAACTCAAGCCACTACAGGAACTCATGAAAGAATAACCCTGCTCCAAGGAAGGAGAAAACAACAGCTAATTTCACTGCCTGTAATATCCTGGCTAATCAGAGATACAGAGTCTGTCCACATGACAACTTCACTGCTAGCATAAGCAGCATTCGAGAAAACCAGTGCACTAAACAAACCTACAACCAAGGATTCTCAGAGTCCCCTTCACTCCCCTGCTACCTTCACTGGAGCAGGTGCTTATATCCACAGCTGAGAGACCTGAAGACAGATCATATAACAGGACTATTTGCAGACACTACCCAGTATCAGCCCAGAGCCCGGTAGCTCTGCTGGGTGACAAGGCTCAGAAGAGCAGTAGCAATCACTGTAGTCTGGCTCTCAGGAAGCCCCATCCATAGGGGAAGGGGGAAAGCACCATATCAAGGGAGCACCCCTTGGGACAAAAGAATCTGAATTGCAGCCCTTGATTCCCAGATCTTCCCTCTGACATAGCCTACCCAAATGAGAAGGAACCAGAAAAGCAATTCTAGTAATACAACAAAACAAGGCTCTTTAACACCCCCAAAATATCACATGAGTTCACCAGCAATGGATCTAAACCAAGAAGAAATATCTGAATTGCCAGGAAAAGAATTCAGAAGGTTGATTGATTATTAAGCTACTCAAGGAGGTACCAGAGAAAGGTGCAAACCAACCTAAAAAATTAAAAACATAATGCATGATATGCACAAAAACATTTCCAGAGAAGTAGATATCATAAATAAAAAACAATGAAACCTTCTGGAAATGAAAGACACACTTAGGGAAATGCAAAATAGGATTGAACAAGTAGAAGAAAGAACTTTACAGCTCAAAGACAAAGCTTTAGAATTATCCCAATCCAACAAAGATAAAGAAAAAAAGAATTTAAAGAAATTAACAAAGCCTCCAAAAAGTTTGGGATTATGTTTAATGACCAAACCTAAGAACAATTTCTGTTCCGTGGAAGAAGAGAAATCTAAACGTTTGGAAAACTTATTTGAGAGAATCATCAAGGAAAACTTCCCTGGCCTTGTGAGTGATCTAGACATCTGAACACAAGAAGTTCAAAAAACACCTAGGAAATTCATTGCAAAAATATCATGACCTAGGCACATAGTCATCAGGTTGTCTAAAGTGAAGACAAAGGAAAGAATCTGAAGAGCTATGAAGCAAAAGCATTAGATAACCTACAAAGGAAAATCTATCAGATTAACAGCAGATTTGTCAGCAGAAACCCTATAAGCTAGAAGGGATTGGGGTCCTATCTTTTGCCCTCTTAAACAAAGCAATTATCAGCCAAGAATTTTGTATCCAGTGAAACTAAGCTTCATAAATGAAGGAAAGATAAAGCTTTTTTCAGACAAACAAATGCTGAGAGAATTTGCCACTCCCAAGCCAGCATTATGAGAACTGCTATAAGGAGTTGGAAATCTTGAGACAAAACCTCAAAATACATGAAAACAAAACCTCCTTGAAGCATAAATCTCACAGGACCTATAAAACAATAATACAATTTTTAAAAACAGGTATTCAGGAAACAACTGGAATGATGAATAGAATAGTGGCTCACATAGTCTATACTAACGTTGAATGTAAATAGCCTAAATCCTTCACCTCCACTTAAAAGATGTAGAATTGCAGAATGAATAAGAATTCACCAACCAAGTATCTGCTGTCTTCAAGAGACTCACCTAACACATAAGGACTCACATAAACTTAAAGTAAAGGGGTGGAAAAAGATATTTCATGCAAATGGACACCAAAAGTGAGCAGAAGTGGCTATTTTTATATCAGACAAAACAGACTTTAAAGCAGCAACAGTTAAAAAAAAAAAGGGACATTATCTAATGATAAAAAGACTAGTCCAACAGGAAAATATCACAATCCTATATATGCACCTAACACTGGAGCTCCAAAATTTATAAAAACAATTACTACTAACGTAAGAAATTAAATAGATGGCACCACAATAATAGTGGGGAACTTTAATACTCCACTGACAGCACTAGACAGGCCATCAAGACAGAAGGTCAACAAAGAAACAATGGACTTAAACTATATCCTAGAACAAATGGACTTAACAGATATTCACAGAACATGCTACTCAACAATTGCAGAATGTACATTCTATTCATCAGCACATGGAACATTTTCCAAGATAGACCACATGATAGGCCACAAAACAAGCCTCAATAAATTCAAGAAAATCAAAATTATATCAAGTACTCTTTCAGACCACAGTGGAATAAAGTTAGAAACCAACTCCAACCCTCAAAGTCATGCAAATACGTGGAAATTAACTAATCTGCTCTGAATGATCTTTGGGTCAACAATGAAATCAAGACGGAAGTTAAAAAAGTACTTGAACTCAACGATAATAGTGACACAACTTATCAAAACCTCTGGGATATAGTAAAAGCAGTGCTAAGAGGAAAGTTCATAGCATTAAATGCCTACATCAAAAAGTTTTAAGAGCACAAACAGACAATCTAAGGAATCTCAAAGAACTAGAGAAACAAGAACAAACCAACCCAAACCCACCAGAAGAAAAGAAATAACAAAGATCAGAGCAAAATTAAATGAAATTGAAACAAAAAAATACAAAAGATAAATGAAACAAAAAGCTGGTTCTTTGAAAAGATAAACAAAATTGATAGACCATTAGTGAGATAAACCAAAAAAAGGAGAGAGAAGATCCAAGTAAGCTCAATTAGAAATGAAATGGGAAATATTACAATTCATGCCACAGAAACGCAAAATATCATTCAAGGCTACTGTGAACACCTTTATGCACACAAACTAGAAAACCTAGAGGAGATGGATAAATTCCTGTAAATATACAACCCTCCTAGATTAAACCAGGAAGAAACAGAAAGTCTCAACAGACCAATAACAAGCAGTGAGATAGAAGTGGTCATTTAAAAAAATTACCAACAAATAAAGTTCAGGACCAGGTGGATTCACAGCTGAATTCTATCAGACATTCAAAGAAGAATTGGTACCAATCCTACTGAAACTACACCAAAAGATGGAGAAAGACGAGATCCTCTCTAAATCACTCTATGAAGCCAGTATCATCTTAATGCCAACACCAGGAAAGAACATAACAAAAAAAGAAAACTACAGACCAATATCCCTGATGAACATAGATCCAAAAATCCTCAACAAAATACTAGCTAACCAAATCTAGCAGCATATCAAAAAGGTAATCCACCATGATCATGTGGATTTCATACCAGAGATTCAGGATGGTTTAACATGGGCAAGTCAATAAATGTGATACACTACAGAAACAGAATTAAAAACAAAAATATAATCATCTCCATAGATGCAGAAAAAGTGTTTGACAAAATCCAGCATCCCTTTATGATTAAAACCCTCAGCAAAATCGGTGTAGAAGGGATATACCTTAACGTAATAAAAGCCATCTATGACAAATCCACAGCCAACATTACACTGAATGGAGAAAAGTTGAAAGCATACTACCTGAGAACTGGAACAAGACAAGGATGCCCACTTCCAACACTTCCATTCAACATAGTACTGGAAGTCCTAGCCAGAGCAATCAGACAAGAGAAAGAAATAAAAGGCATCCAAATTAGTAAGAGGAAGTCAAACCACCAGCCTGTAATCCCAGCACTTTGGGAAGCCAAGGGTAGTGGATCACCTGAGGTCAGAAGTTCAAGATCCGCCTGGCCAACATGGTGAAACCCCATCTCTACTAAAAATACAAAAAAATTAGCTGGGCATGGTGGTGGGCATCTGTAACCCCAGCTACTCCGGGGGCTGAGAGAGGAGAACTGCTTGAACCTGGGAGGCGGAGGTTGTAGTGAGCCGAGATCATGCCATGCACTCCAGCCTGGGCGATAGAGTAAGACTCCATCTCAAAAATAAATAAATAAATAAATAAATAAATAAATAGAGATTTTAGGTAGGACATTTGACCCAACTTCATTTTTGTGAAAGGTGCAGAATCTGTGATAATTCCAAAGGAGTATTCTCTTAAGACAAGGTCAAAATATGGTTAATGTCAGAATTCTATCTCTTTCACCCAGGCTGGGGTGCAGCGGCACAATCTCATCTCATTGCAACCTCTGCCTCCCGGGTTCAAGTGATTTTCCTGCCTCAGTCTGCTGAGTAGCTGGGATTACAGGCATGCACCATCCCGCCCAGCTAATTTTTGTATTTTTTTGTAGAGACAGGGTTTCACCATGTTGGCCAGGCTGGTCTCAAACTCCTGGCCTCAAGTGATCCGCCCATCTCGGCCTCTGCCCATCTCGACCTCCCAAAGTGCTGGGATTACAAGAGTGAGCCACTGCACCCAGCCAGTAATGTCAGAATTTTAAAACTTGGTAAACAATTTTTCTGCCAAAACACCAGCCTCCAGGGCCACCCCAAGGGGACTAACATGACGTTTGGGTCCAGCAGTAGGACTGAGTCCAGGCACTGCCCCGAAGTGATGAGAAAGGGTCACATCTGAAGAGTTTGCCCAAGGTGTCAAAGATGCTCTCCTTTTACCAAAACATTCGTCAGGCTCTGTTTGACTAGGCCTGACCTTGAGCTTCCCTCTCTGTCCTTGTAGAATCCAATTAGAGCAAGAATCCTGCTAAGTCAGTTTAGTGAAAATCCCCCACCCTAGATATCTCACTACCCTCAATATTTTATCACCTTGACCTTCCTTTGGCAATAATCCTATCAAGTCAGTTTAGCCAGAAATCCCCTTTACCCTTGAGGTTTCTTCTTACTAATTTCCCACCCACTGACCTCCTCCCTGTCCCTTGGCTGTAAAGGCCCAATTGTCCTTGTTGGAATGGGAGTCAAGTCTTGTCTCTATCCCTCACTGCAAGACCACATTGTAGTGGTCCCATCACTGTGGTCCCTCTTGAATAAAGTCTGCCTTAATGTCTCTACCAAATGGCCAATATTTTTTTCTTCTTTTTGCTTTAGTTTCAGTTTTTTGTTTTTTGTTTTTTTTGAGATGGAGTTTCACTCTTGTCACCCAGGCTGGAGTGCAATGGCACGATCTCGGCTCACTGCAACCTCCACCTCCTGGGTTCAAGTGATTCTTCTGCCTCAGCCCCCCAAGTAGTTGGGATTACAGACATGAGGCACCACGCCCAGCTAATTTTTGTAATATTAGTAGAGACGAGGTTTCACCATGTTGTTCAGGCAAGTCTCGAACTCCTGACTTCAGGTGATCTGCCCCTTTGGCCTCCCAAAGTGCTGGGATTACAGGCGTGAGCCACCACACCTGGCCCACTTTTGGTTTTTACAGAGATGAGGTCTTGCTGAATTCCCCAGGCTGGTCTCAATCTCCTGGCTTCAAGCAATCCTCCCATCTTGGCATGGTGGCTCACACCTATAATCCCTGCACTTTGGGAGACCAAAGTGGGAGGATCACTTGAAGCCAGGTGTTCAAGACCAGCCAGGGCAACATAGTGAGACCTCGTCTCTATGAGGAGATTTTTAAAAATTTTTTTTAAATTTTTTAAACTTAGCCAGGCATGGTGGTGCATGCCTATAGTCCCAGCAACTTGGGAGGCTGAGGAGGGAGGATAGCTAGATCCCAGGAGTTGGAGGCTGCAGTGAGCTATGATGGCATCACTCTACTCCAGCCCAGGCAACAGAACAAGATTCTATCTAAAAAAAAAAAAAAAAAAAAAAAAAATTCCTTTCATTTTTTGCAAATATAGAAAGAAAGAGCGGGATGAAATGGGAATGAGCCAAGGTAGAGTAAAGCTACACTGGGGCCCTGAAAGAGCAGGGTCAGGAGGGAGGCCAGGAGAGCCAAGAGTTTCTGCCAATGGCTCTGTGGGATGCTGAAGCTGGCTTTAATACCATGCCAGCACTGATCAGCTGCCCTTGAGCAGTGATCCAGACAGCCACTTCCTCACTATCTGAGAGAACTTCCCTCCAACAAAGGCTGTAAGCACCTCCTCACATCTCTGTCCCTGCCCACCCCTGTCTTCTCTGCAGAAGAGAACAGCACATAGCAGGCATGCACATAGCAAGCATTCACTGAATGAATGATTGTGTGGAATTTGCAGACTAGTTAAAATGCAATCACAACAGCACCAAAGTAGCATTGTCTTCCCAGGCAATGTTCCTTTTCATTTACTTTAAGCTATGAATAGACAACCACTGTATCAAGGATAAAATCATGAAAAGCAAGCACATGTGTAGAACTTATTGACTGAGTAAAACAGAACCTATTGAAAGTGGCATGTTGACAAGTATACATAATTGTTACCATATTGCAGGTAAATAAGCTTAAATGGTCAGTCATTCTCATAAATGACCTCTGTTAATAATATTCTTACCCAGAAAAGCAAATTTTAGAGTTTTATTCTTTTGCTAGTTCTGCAGTATTTATAACTGATATCAATGTCAACTCTCTTCCCTATATTTCCCAGCTGTCATTTAATCAAATATCCTTAGAATGTTGAAGTTGAGCTAGAAACTCAGAGGTGTTCAATGTGAGCCTCCACTTAACAGAGAAAATCTTTTTACAGTATCCTTCACCAACACCCCCATACACACAGAGAGAGACAGAGAGAGAGAGCTTTAATCAGATGCCTCCAGCTCGCTACCTCCAAGCTAGGTGCCCTAGGAACTCTAGAGCCTTGACATCAGAAACTCCAAGCCTAGGGCTGAGTCGCCTGCCCAGAGGTCAAGGTCACACACAAGAAGAGGAAATGAAGGTGAAGAGCATTGGCACAGGAAAATTCCTGGGCATGTGAGAATTTTGGATTCAAGAAATAAAATGAGATGAGTTAGAACTGGAGGGAGGAGGAGGGAGAAGGAAAAGAAATGACCTGGTCCCCTACTGTTTCTTTTAACTCCATCCTGCTGTACATCTAAAGCAGATTTACTTTCCCAGCCAGTTTCTGCAACAATGAGTCAGTGGCCAGGAGAAATCTGTCTCCACCTCCCTAAAAATACTAACTTGCTATTGCCAGATGTTGCTCTAACCAGAGACAGAGCACTCCCAGACCCCAGTGACAGATAGAAGTCTTTTATGGGCAAATACCTAGAAGGCAGAACTTATTGGTGTGAATGAGTTTCTGTCAATGTGTAAAAAAGATCAGGTATTTTTCTGTTTGGACAGAGAATCAGCCAGATGGCAAATAATTTAGGCAAGAGCAAAAGAAAAAGAAAGAATAAGTTGTGCAGAGGGAAGTACAGACATAGGACTGTTCTGATCCGGGCTTTTCCTGATGATTGATCCTATTTCCAGCTGCAACGTGCATTGTATTTTTCTATGAGTTTGCTTTTTTTTTTTTTTTTTTTTTTTAGAAGAGTCTAGCTCTGTCACCAGGCTGCAGTGCAATGGCGCGCGATCTCAATTCACTGCAACCTCCGCCGCCCGGTTTCAAGCGATTCTCCTGCCTCAGCCTTCCGAGTAGCTGGGACTACAGGCACAGGCGACCATGCCCAGCTAATTTTTGCATTTTAGTACAGACGGGGTTTCACCACGTTGGCCAGTATGGCCTCAATCTCCTGACCTTGTGATCTGTCTGCTTCGGCCTCCCAAAATGCTGGGATTACAGGTATGAGCCACTGCGTCCAGCCAAAAATAACCTAGCTAGATTACTTGTTTTCTTTCCTAAGCCACCTGACCCTGTAGGTCTATCTGATGTCTGTCTTATCGTGTGCCTCACATTGTATTGGGGAGTATTAATGGCCTCCTTCACTAAACCACAAACTCCCTGAGGGTAGACAGCGTCTGGACCTAATATCTCTCTTTAAGATAATTGGGGTGTAGAGCACAATGGGCAGAGGGACCAGTGATGGGGGTCCCCAAGACTACCCTCAGGTTCAGGGACACTTCAGAAAAATTTGCAGAATTCAGAAAAGCTATTATACACATGGTTATAGTTCTTGACAGCAAAAAGACACAGAGACCAATCAGCAGAGATAAAGAGCACATTAGTCAGGCCAAGCAAGGTGGCTCGCGCCTATAATCCCACCATTTTGGGAGGCCGAGGCTGGATGATTGCTTAAGCCCAGGAGTTCAAAAGCTTGGGCAACATAGTGAGACCCTGTCTCTAAAAAAAAAAAAAAAAAAACACATCAGGCAGAGGCCAGGAGAAGAAAGACCAACTGTCTTCTTCTCATTCTAGATGTCCTCTCCTCTTCTCATGGGTTATACAGGCAGCACCTGTCATTCTCCCAGCAATGAGGTGTGATGCCAACCTGAGAAGCTCGCTTGAGCCTCAATGTCCAGGATTTTTATTGGTAGTCAGTCACACGGGCATAGAGCACCCACATGGCTCACCCTAGTTTCTCAATCTCCAGCCACTCCAGATGTCAACTAGATACTGTGTCACCCAAGTCCCCCACCATAAATCACATTGCCAGCATGAACTACCTGGGTGGCTCAAGGTCCCAGGTAAACAGAAACACTTTCATCAGGCATGACACTCAAAGGGCTTAGAGGTGATCTCCCAGGAGCAGTCAAGGGCCAGCCCTTTCTTTGTTAAGTGCAGGGTTTGAACACCCCAGACCTGCTGTGTCAACCCTTTATTGTGCAGGATCAAAGGAAGATAAACTGCACCATAGGTGCATGTGCTTACCAATCAAAGGGGTTTCTAAGCAAGTCTTGCCTAGTACTAAGCCAATTTAGCCAATCTCTCAATTTCAATGAGAATCAATTCTGGCTAAGGATGGAATCCATGTAAATAGGAACAGATAATTTGCTAGTGTTAAACTTTTAAAACATTCTATTTAAGAAATAAGCAGGCTGGGTGCAGTGGCACACGCCTGCAATCCCAGCACTTTGGGAAGCCAAGGCAGGTGGATCATGAGGAGTTCAAGACCAGTCTGGCCAAGATGGTGAAACCCCATATCTACTAAAAATACAAAAATTATCCAGTCATGGTGGCGGGTGCCTGTAATCGCAGCCACTCAGGAGGCCGAGGCAGGAGAATCTTTTGAACCTGGGAGGTGGAGGTTGCAGTGAGCTGAGATCACACCACTGTACTTCAGCCTGGGCAACAGAGTGAGACTCCGTCAAAAAAGAAAGAAAGAGAAAGAGAAAGAAAAGAAAAGAAGAGAAAAGAAAAGAAAAGAAAGAAAAGAAAAGAAAAGAAAAGAAAAGAAAAGAATGAAGCATATGCTGCAAAACGATGTCTTTCACCTTAAGGCAAACTTTAAAAAGAGATGAGGGCTTACATTTCAATATGGTGGACACACTAATGCTTTCTCTAAAAGCAGTGGGACTCTGCTGTAACAAAAGATTGGAAGTATAAAATGGGGCCAGGTGTGGTGGTTCATGCCTGTAATCCCAGCACTTTGGGAGGCCAAGGCAGGCAGATCGCTTGAGTTTAGGAGTTTGAGACCAGCCTGAGCAACACGGTGAAACCCTGTCTCTATAAAAAATACAAAAATTAGCTGGATGTGGTAGCATGCACCTATAGTCCTACCTACTTGGGAGGCTGAGGTAGGAAGATGGATTAAGCCCAGGAGGTGGAGATTGCAGTGAGCTGAGATTGGACCACTGCACTTAAGCCTGGGTGACAGAGCCAGACCCTGTCTGAAAAAATAAATAAATAGAATATGTATATATATATATATAAACTTTTATTTTTTTTAAAAAAAAAAGGAACTATAAAATAGAATACACCTATGTCAAAAAGGGAATATAAAATGTCTCTGAGGCCAGGCATGTAGCTCATGCCTATAATCCCAACACTTAGGGAGGATGAGGAGGGCGAATCACCTCAGGTCGGGAGTTTGAGACCAGCCTGACCTACGTGGAGAAACCCCGTCTCTACTGAAAATACAGAATTAGCCAGGCCTGGTGGTGCATGCCTGTAGTCTCAGCTACTCGAGAGACTGAGGCAGGAGAATCGCTTGAACGTGGGAGACAGAGGTTGCGGTGAGCCGAGATCGTGCCGCTGCACTCCAGCCTAGGCAGCAAGAGCAAAACTCCGCCTCAAAAAAAAAAAAGTCTCTGAAAGGAAGTGGATGGGAGTCAGGTGATGGACAAAATAGGCTAGCAAAGATTTGGCCTAGTTGAGCAGTTCTCAAAGTGTGGGCTAGAACCCCAGAGGTCCACTAGATCTTTTTGGAGGATTCATAAGTCATTATTATATTTTCATAATAATACTAATATATCATCAGCCTTTTTCACTTTGTTGACATTTGCGCTAATGGTACAAAAGCAATGGTGGGTGAATTTCATGTGCTTTCCATGAATCCAGACAGTGGCACCAGACTGTACTAGTAGGCATTGTGTTATTCATTCCCATGTACAATCCGGAAAAAAATCAATTTCACTTAAGAATCTTGTAACAGTTTTTAACTTGTTGAAACAGCAAAATTAATAATTTTATTAATTTAATCTTTATGTTTTGGTGTAGAAGAATATCCACAATTAACAACAAAAAAGGCTATTAAAATACACCACTCTTTCCCAGCTACGTATCTGGGTGAAGCCAAATTTTCTCTCTATACTCCAACCAAAACAACATATCTTTGAAGAGTGACTGCAGAAGTAGACATGAAAATCCAGAAGCCTTTTATTAACCTAGATATTAAAGAGATTTGCAAAATGTAAAACAGCGCCACTCTTCTCACTAAATTGTTTTGTTTTGCTTTGTTTTGGAAACTGGAGTTATTTTTCAGGGGGGAAAAAACTACTTTTTTCCCAACCAGCATGTAATGATTCTATTATTGTTAATTGAAACTAAATGAATACATAACTTTTTTGTAATTTCTTAGTTTTAATTTCTGATGTAGTCAATATTGGTAGATATAACCCAGATAAATAAAATCTCATTGGGGTCCTCAAACATTTTTAAGAAGGTAAAGCTGCCAGGCATGGTGGCTCACACCTGTAATCCCAGCACTTTGGGAGGCCAAGGCGGTTGGATCACCTGAGGTCAGGAGTTTGAGACCAGCCTGGCCAACGTGACAAAACCCCGTCTCTATTAAAAATACAAAAATTAGCCGGGCATGGTGGCACGCACCTGTAATCTCAGCTACTCAGGAGGCTGAGGCAGGAGAATCACTTGAACCCGGGAGATGGAGGTTGCAGTGAGCCAAGATTGCACCACTGCACTCCAGCCTGGGGAAAGAGGGAAACTGCCTCAAAAAAATAAATAAATAAAAGAAAGGAAGGTAACGTGTCCAGAGACCAAAACATTTGAGAGCCACTGGCCTAGGCCATGCTTAGAGAAATATGCAGTCTGTCTGACAGCCTTGGAGGCTTTGAAGGCTGAGTCCACTAAGATAACAAAGGGTGACACTGAGAAATGGACCTGAAAGCCTGGGATAATCTGTGTGTCAGTATGGGGGACAATTGTGTCTCTGCTCCTACTCCTTTCCCCACAAAGCACAGGAGTGCACCTTTCTAGGGTAAGTAACTGTCTAACTTTGCCCAGGACAGTCTTGTTTCAGCACTGAATTTCCCATGTCCTGAGAAATCTTTCCTGAATGTAAAAGGTCCCTTTTTTTTTTTTTTTTAAATCATGAGTGGAGAAATTGGGAGAAAAGTACAGAAGCCCAAAAAATAGGAGCTGCAAGTGATACTGCTTTTAGTGTCAAACAGATATGGCCCATATTACTCACCTTCCAAAGACACTATCACTGTCATCTCCCCTGACCACTGATGCTGCTAACAGCAATCTGTAGTTCACAGTACTGGATCATCCATTGTTAGCTCACTCTGAGTGATGTGACTTCAGAGTGCAAGTTAAGTGCGTTGTAATTTTTTCTTTGTCTGTGTAGTAACTGTTGAGCTTTGTATTAAAATACTGCTATTTTAGTTTTTTACATTGTGAATACTGTGAACATGTTTTCTAAGAGTTCAGGTCATCAAAATGAGAATGACTACAACACTAACACCAGCATGACCCAGATATCATCAGACAAAAAGGCAAAACAACTGTGCTATGTTAGTATCAGTTGGAAGGACACAGGTAACTGGATTAGGAAGGTAAATAATCAACACAAAGCATGCTGCACAATATGCCAGAAAGAATCTGGGATTGGGCACAGTAGAAAAGTAGATGTGGAAGCACCTATGGACACCACTTCTCAAAAGTCTGGGATGAGACAGGCAAGTACTTCTCAATCAACCAACTTTCCTTGTTTTCTGTTTTTGGATTTTTTTGGAGAAAGCATCTCCCTCTGTCACCCAGGCTGGAGTGCAGTGGCATGGACACAGCTCACTGCAGCCTCGGCCTCCCTTACACAAGCGACCCTCCCACCTCAGCCTCCTGAGTAGCTAGGAGCACAGGTGTGCACCATCACAATGGCTAAGTATTTTAAATTATTTTTTTGTAGAGATAGGGTCTTGCCATGTTGCCCAGGCGGGTCTCGAACTCCTGGGCTCAAGAAATCCTCCTGCCTCGGCCTCCCAAAGTGCTGGGATTACAGGCGTGAACCACCATGCCTGGCCAATCAAAAGTTTTTGTTTCCCAAAAAGACAGCAATGCTCAGTTAGAAGTAGTGGCTGCTGAATTACCTTGGGTATTCCACACAAACACACATTATCGTATCCTTCCCCTGATTGCTCTATGAAATTGAGTAAAGTAATAAAGTCACATTTTCTGATTCAGAAAACGCAACGAAAATGCCCTGTGGGCAAACAAAAGAGAAAATTGTGATAAATTCTGTGGTAGTCCATGGCCTGTTAGGAACCAGGCAGCACAGCAGGTAGTGAGTGACAGCAAGCGAACAAAGCTTCATCTGTATTTACAGCTGCTCCCTATTGCTCACATCACTGCCTGAGCTGTGCCTCCTGTCAGATCAGCAGCAGCATTGGATTCCCATAGGAGCACAAACCCTATTGTGAACTGTGCACGCAAGGGATCTAGGTTTCATGCTCCTTTGAGAATCTAATGCCTGATGATCTGTCACTGTTTTCCATCACCCCTGGATAGGACCATCTAGTTGCAGAAGAACAAGCTCAGGGTTCCTACTGATTCTACATTATGATGAGTTGTATAATTTTCTCATTATATATTACAATAAAATAATAATAGAAAAAAAGTGCACAATAAATGTAATACACTTGAATCATCCTGAAACTATCCCCACCCTCCAGTCCCTGGAAAAATTGCCTTCTACAAAACCGGTACCTAGTGCCAAAAAGGTTAGGGACCGCTGCCATAGCACTCATTCCATAAATCTGACCAGTGATTATGCTTTTTATGGTATATCAAGTGAAGCACTGAATCGCAGCAACAAAAAATACTCCCCCTAACTCTTAGGTACTTTGAATTTAAGAATGCAGTGTCAAATCATCTTGATCAACAGTCTTGCCCAAATAAAACTAGACTTTGCTCATCTATCTGCATAATTGGCAAACTGTACAAATCTAAATTTTAGCAAATCCTACTCAGTCTACAAACTTGTTACCAAAGAAAATGAAAATATCTGGAAGGACATGGTGGCTCATGCCTGTAATCCCAGCACTTTAGGAGGCCGAGGCGGGTGGATCACCTGAAGTTGGGAGTTTGAGACCAGCCTGACCAACATGGAGAAACCCCGTCTCTACTAAAAAAACAAAATTAGCCGGGTGTGGCAGCACATGCCTGTAGTCCCAGCTAGTCGGGAGGCTACAGCTAGAGAGTCGCTTGAACCCGGGAGGCAGAGGTTGTGGTGAGCTAGATCGCATCATTGCACTCCAGCCTGGGCAACAGAGTGAGATAAGAAAGAAAGAAAGAAAGAAAGAAAGAAAGAAAGAAAGAAAGAAAGAAAGAAAGAGAGAGAGAGAGAGAGAGAGAGAGAGAGAGAGAGAGAGAGAGAGAGAGAAAGGGAGGGAGGGAGGGAGGAAGGAAGGAAGGAAGGAAGGAAGGAAGGAAGGGGAAAGGGAGGGAGGGAGGGAGGGAAGGGAGGGGAGGAAGGAAGGAAGGGAAAGAAAGAAAGAAAAAGAAAGAAAGAAAAAGAAAGAAAGAAAGAGAAAGAAGGGAGGGAGGGAGGGAAGGAGGGAAGGAGGAAGGAAGGAAAATGAAAATATGAGCTGGGCACAGTGGCTCATGCATGTAATCCCAGCACTTTGGGAGGCCAAGGCAGGAGGATCACCTGAGGTCAGGAGTTCGAGACCAGCCTGACCAACACGGAGAAACCCCGTCTCTACTAAAAATATTAAAATTAGCCAGGTGTGGTGGCACATGCCTATAATCCCAGCTGCTTGGGAGGCTGAGGCCGGAGAATTGCCTGAACCTGAGAGGCAGAGGTTGCAGTGAGCTGAGATCACACCACTGCACTCCAGCCTGGTCAACAGAGTGAGACTCTGTCTCAAAAAAAAAAAAAAAAAAAAAGAAAGAAATAGAATGAAAATATCTTACCTGTTAAATGTCCACCATACCGTGTACATTAACACTGCCCAAAAAAAGGGAGGATATGATTTGCTTACCTGTGATACTGAGGTTTTCGTAATGAAAGTCTTTGATTCCTTTTCAGTTTCTTTGAAACGTACAGAAGCACTTAATGAGATTTTTAACGTTATAAAAATAGAGGTGTCTTACTGCCTGGTAGGATGATTACCTTGTTGCTGGCCATAGGAAACATGTTAAAGGATGGCTTGCCATAAAATTGCCGTTTCTAAATATAGGACAAGAAGAATGTCCTTCTCTGTTTGGAAATATGTTGGAGATGAGAATGAGAAAAGGATTATAGTAAAACAGATTTATATGCTCTTTCTCCAAAATAGTGTTACGGTCTGTGAAGAGGTCGAAAGGATGAACTGACTGTACCTGATGTTTGAAGTCACATGTAGGTTGCAATAAAAAGTCAAATAGCGGCCGGGCGCGGTGGCTCACGCCTGTAATCCCAGCACTTTGGGAGGCCGAGGCGGGCGGATCACGAGGTCAGGAGATCGAGACCATCCCGGTTAAAACGGTGAAACCCCGTCTCTACTAAAAATACAAAAAATTAGCCGGGCGTAGTGGCGGGCGCCTGTAGTCCCAGCTACTTGGGAGGCTGAGGCAGGAGAATGGCGTGAACCCGGGAGGCGGAGCTTGCAGTGAGCCGAGATCCCGCCACTGCACTCCAGCCTGGGCGACAGAGCGAGACTCCGTCTCAAAAAAAAAAAAAAAAAAAAAAAAGTCAAATAGCAAAAAACAAAACACAAAACTCATTGTTTTGGAAATAAGACTACTTCTGTGCTCAAAAATTTGTTACCAGGAGAGAGCAGCCAAGTTAAATAAGACTTTTTCATTTCTTTACTAAAACTACAACTTATTTGGAATCCAGCTTTAATTTCACAAGTTCAAAATTACTTCTGTGCTTTAAAACCATTTTCCTTGAGAAATAGAGATTTAACTTATAATGACATCAGATGTGATTCAGGGTCTGTAAAAATGGTGGACATTTTAGACATGGATAACATAGATTATGAATTTATAGATATAAAAGATCCAGTTGACAAACAGATGGTTTACTATCCTATAGATACAAAGTGAGTGGGTGGTTTTGGTGAGGTGGAAACTAATTATTAAAAGTCTAAAAACCTGCTATTTCTAGTAATTAAAATCCTAACCATCATATGGCCAAATGCCTTTTTTGAGAGGATAATTAGCCTGATGTTATCACATTGGCCTGACACCAGGAATCAATATAATGTGGACTTGATAAGAGAAGAGCTGCAAGTGGGTGAATTTTATTTTGATTGTGTTCAGTTTTACTA
This sequence comes from Homo sapiens, assembly GCF_000001405.40. Lineage (NCBI taxonomy): Eukaryota > Metazoa > Chordata > Mammalia > Primates > Hominidae > Homo > Homo sapiens. The sequence goes on from NC_000008.11 coordinate 41,065,208, forward strand.
CTACATGAAAGAAAAAAAATGCTATTCCAAAAGCTGCTATCAGGCTGGGCGCGGTGGCTCACGCCTGTAATCCCAGCACTTTGGGAGGCCGAGGTGGGTAGATCACTTGAGGTCAGGATATTGAGACCAGCCTGGCCAACATGGTGCAACCCCGTCTCTATTAAAAATACAAAAATTAGCTGGGTGTGGTGGCGGGAGCCTGTAATCACAGCTACTAGGGAGGCTGAGGAGGGAGAATTGCTTGAACACGGGGGGGCAGAGATTGCAGTGTCCTGAAATCACACCACTGCACTCCAGCCTGGGTGATAGAGCAAGACTCTGTCTCAAATAAATAAAAATATAAATAAACAAACAAACAAACAAATAAATAAAAGCTGCAATCGGCCTAAAGAAGGATTATTGGAGAAGGAAACAGAAAGAGTAAAAATATCCAAATATATCATTGCTATTTTCTATTAAATATATATAAAAACTGGGGTTTTTGTCTAAGATTTGCTTTTGTTTGTTTGTTTTGTTTTGTACTACTGCGTTGCATGTTGGGTCTCTTAAATATTGATCACCCAAATTTTTCCACCAATACTGTGCTATCCAGATCTTCTCTAGATAAATCAGATAACTCGAGCGGAAAGTGAGGTTTTTTGTTGGAATATTGGTGACCCAGAATAAGGCCTTCTTCATTCAAGCATGGAGGAGGAGGAGCCCCCGTTGGACAGTTCATGCCCCTTTCACTCAGCTCATGCAAATCCTGCCAGTTAAAGATCCCTGCTGGCCCCATACAGTTTCAGGTCAGAATCTTTCCTGAAAGGAGAGTCCTCACCAGAAAACAGCTACTTACCTAGCTCTCAAGGAAACCCAGCTGGCTACACAGTCCTTTTACCTTAAATGTGAACAGACTACCAGAGGTCACCAGGAAAATGAACAGAATCAAATATCTTCATTCCAAACAAAATTTTAAAAGAGGGGGTGGCAAAAAGAACCATAAGAAATAGAAATAACTTAGGAAGCAAGGGAAAAATTTTAAAGTACCCTCTTCAAAAAGGTATTTTACATCCCTAAAGAATAGGAACATGCCACACACAAAAATAAATAAATAATTTTTTTTAAGCCAGATACAGTGCACTTCTGTAATCCCAGCTACTTGGGAGGCTGAGGCAGAAGAATTGCTTGAACTCAAGCATTTGTGTCTAGCCTAGGCAACATGGTGAGACCCCATCTCCAAAAAATAATATGATAATAAGACACTTTAGAGATTCAAAGTATGTTTGATAGCACACTATCAGGTACCAGCGACCAAAGTTAAATAAACTTCTTAAAACATAGAGTAAAAAAAGAAATTTTAATAAGAATCTAGGGACATAGGGATTGATCCAAGAGAGCCATGTAACAAATGTCCCAGAAAGAGAGTACAGAGAGAGTCTGAGAAACCATCAAAAAATAAAATAAGGCCAGGAGCAGTGGCTCACACCTGTAATCCCAGCACTTTGGGAGGCCGAGGCAGGTGGATCACCTGAGGTCAGAAATTCAAGACCAGACTGGCCAACATGGTAAAACCCCGTCTCTACTAAAAATACAAAAAAATTAGCCGGGCGTAATGGTAGGTGCCTGTAATCCCAGCTACTTGGGAGGCTGAGGCAGGAGAATCACTTGAACCCGGGAGGCAGAGGTTGCAGTGAGCCGAGACCATGCCACTGCACTCCAGCCAGGGTGAAATAGCAAGACTCCATCTCAAAGAAAAAAAATAGGCCTGGTGAGGTGGCTCACGCTTGTAATCCCAGAACTTTGGGAGGCCAAGGTGGGAAGATCACAAGGTCAGGAGATGGAGACCATCCTGGCTAATAAAGTGAAACCCCATCTCTACTAAAAATATAAAAAATTAGCCAGGCATGGTGGCACACGCCTGTAGTCCCAGCTACTCGGGAGGCTAAGGCAGGAGAATCGCTTGAACCCAGGAGGCAGAGGTTGCAGTGAGCCGAGATCATGCCACGGCACTCCAGCATGGGTGACAGAGCGAGACACCGTCTCTAAATAAATAAATAATAGTCTTCTCCAGATGAAGGGAAAGATTCTTCAGATTGAAGAGACCTACTGAGGATAAACTCAATAAATGAAAAAGACCTAGCCCAATCCTCCTAAAATTATAGAACATCAAGGACAAAAAGAACATCCTAAGGTCTTTTACTGAGGAAAAAGAAATTACGTACAAAGAAACACAAATCAGACTAGGATCAGACTTTCTCTTCAGCAACGTTGGTGGCCAGAAACTATGTGAACAACGCCTTCCAATGTCTAATGGAAATCATTTCAATTCTAAAATTGTATCATCCAAGAAATAAGTGACCAATTGCAATTAGATGATAAAGATGATTTGAGATGTGCAAGGACTCAGGAGGTTTATATCCTATGCACACCTTACTACAAACTTCTAGGAGGTCTCCAGGAGAAAAGAAGGGAGGGTAAGAAAGTGAGGATGGGGATTCAATAAAATAAAATATATTATCATGAACTTAGAGAAAACTTAGGAAGTAGCAAAAAAAAAAAGAAGAAAAAAAAAGAAAGAAAGAAAAGAAAATTAGAAACTTTAGGGGGAAAATCTAAATACAAACAAAGTCCAAAAAAAGAGACAAAATAAATTAGGAGATAACATGAAGCAACAGTAAAGTGTAAGGAAAATAAACCATGGATGGCTTTAGGAACATTCTTTTTTGAATGACAATGGAATCTGTGGGTAGGAACATATCTCCTTCCCGAGGATCCACTTGTCATTCAATGGAGACACATCACTTGCCCTAAATTTAGTAGCCTTCACCTAGTCATAATAATTTAAGAGCTGCTTATTGCTTTTGAACTTTTAGAATCAACTTGAACTGTGGTAGCAAGAGAGAAAGTCAATGTGAACAACCTGAAGGTGGTAAAAATACATGCAAATGACAGCATTGGGAGTCAAAATGAGTCAAGGAAAGGGTAGAAATCCTGATACCTTATAGAAAGTGGGCAGTAAAGAGACGGTATTTAAAGTTGCTAAAATAAGAAGTACATTACTCAAAGTTGTAAAGCTAATCAGTAAAAGAACTAAAAATAATAGCACAAATATCAAACAATAGAAAGTGGCTGGAGAAAAAAAGGTGGAGGGTAAACCCCCTGGTGTATCCCAGTGAGATTAACAGCCCACCAAAGTGGCATGAAAGTTACTTCAAACTGAAAACATCTAAGCCCTCAGCAGCCCCCAAAAGATACATGATCCATACTTAAGCAGAGCCTCCTGAAAATACAGATGCCGTTGACCCCCCTCCAAAGGAATTTCCTGTTTGGGAGAAGACTGACCCTCAGCAGTGATAAGTGCAAATTCAGCTGCCTGCCAGCATCACAAAGACCAATGGAACCTTCCTTCTTCTCCCACTGAAGCCCTAAACCATCCCTTCTTTGTTAGGTTGGTATGTAAAGCTCTATCTCTGGCCTTTCAGTGAGTTCTTAACTACTGAATACTCCCACAATGCATAATGGACTTTTCTCCTTTTATTCTGTCTCTTCTCAGTTAATTCATAGATCATCAACCAGCCAGACCTAAAGAAAAGTTTTTCTTTTTTTCTTGTTCTATTAGAGACGAGGTCTTGCTCTGTCACCCAGGCTGGAGTGCAGTGGTACAATCATAGCTCACTACTGCCTCAAACTCCTGGGTTCAAGTGATCCTCCCACCTCAGACTCCTACAGGTGTGCATCACCACAACTGACTAATTTTTAAATTTTTTGTAGAAACAGGATCTCACTGTATTGCCCAGGCTGGCCTCAAGCTCCTGGCCTCAGATGTCTTCCCTCCTTGGCCTCCCAAAGCACTGGAATTATAGGCATGAGCCACTGTGCCCAGCCTCATGGCTGAAAGTTTTTGAATGAAAGCCATACACTCTCTATTTGCATTTGTCTGTATCTTTATGTATGTATATATGTGTGCATATGCATGTTACGTATATGTGATATTTTCCTATCTGCAGATGCTATTGGCAAATTGATTTATAAATCCCATGATATAGCTCTATTCTAATTCACTTAGAGGAAAATAAGCACTTATATAAATAAAATATTCCTAAAACACCCAGAAGTATAGAAACTAATTCAAATGCTTTTCAAGTTCATGTAATTTTGACAACGAAGAATAGCCTGATATTCTAAGTTTACTAAAAACTGGTATATATTCAGGGTTGTCAGCCTTAAATATAATGCAGTCATATATTTTTCTTCTACCTGTATTTGCAAATCAAATATGCTAATATTATATATAGTAGATGTTTAACATAATAAAACTTATAGATTTGAATTTAAACAAATGGAGTCATTATTGTAACAAATTATATTTAAACAATTTTAATCATGTTTTATGTCTGCCTACAGATAGTTTCCAAAATCTTTTTGGTGACTTGCAACCTTACTGTTATGATAGGTAATATATATTCATTAAAAATCTAAATAATTTCAGGCCAGGTGCCGTGGCTCATGCCTGTAATCTCAGCACTTTGGGAGGCCGAGGCAAGCAGATCACCTGAGGTCAGGAGTTCGAGACCAGCCTGACCAACATGGAGAAACCCCATCTCTACTAAAAATACAAAATTAGCTGGGCATGGTGGCGCATGCCTGTAATCCCAGCTACTCGGGAGGCTGAGGCAGGAGTATCACTTGAACCAGGGAGGCAGAGGTCACAGTGATCCAAACCGCACCACTGCACTCCAGCCTGGGCAACAAGAACAAAACACCGTCCCCAGACGCACACACACAAAATAATAATAATAATAATAATTGAAAAATTTCTAAGTAAGAAACTACTGAAATATTTATTAGTAAGTAAACATAATTTAAGTGTATATACTTTTGGCTTCCTAGTCTTACAAAGAGACTAAAAATATCTGGGTCTCTCTCTCTCTTTTTTTTTTCTTTTGAGACAGTTTCACTCCGTTGCCCAGGCTGGAGTGCAGTGTTGTGATCTTGGCTCACTTCCACACCGCCCTCCAGGGTTCAAGCTATTCTCCTGCCTCAGCCTCCCAAGTAGCTGGGACTATAGGCACATGCCACCATGCCTGGCTAATTTTTGTATTTTTCGTAGAGACGGGGTTTCACCATGTTGGCCAGGCTGGCCTTGAACTCCTGACCTCAGGTGATCCTCCTGCCTCGGCCTCCCAAAGTGCCAGGATTACAGGTGTGAGCCACCACGCCTGGCCTGGGTCTCTTTATAAACATGTCATTAATATTTTGCCACCTTGGAAAATTTTCTTTTTACTATAAAGAAGCATATACCTCTAGAAATTATGAGATGATATATTCATAAAATGTGCTAATCTGCTACGAAATGCCAGCATATGACAAACAATTCACAACTGTCTACTCCTTAGTTTTCTCTGCAAAATAAAGGTTACAAATAGATAAAAATTATAATGTGTAAATGAAACTACTAGAAATAAGGGTAAAGAGAAACAAGTTTGAGGCCAGGCTCAGTGGCCATGGTGAAACTCCGTCTCAGTGGCTCATACCTGTAATCCCAGCACTTTGGGAGGACGAGGAGAGAAGATCACCTGAGGTCAGGAGTTCGAGACCAGCCTGGCCAACGTGGTGAAACCCCATCTCTACTAAAAATACAAAATTAGCTGTGCGTGGTGACCCACAGCTGTAATCCCAGCTACTTGGGAGGATAAGGTAGGAGAATTGCTTGAACCCAGGAGGCGGAGGTTGCAGTAAGCCAAGATCGCCCCATTGCACTCCAGCCTGGGCAACAAGAGGAAAACTCCATCTCAAAAAGACAAAACAAACAAACAAAACAATTTTGTATGTTATGCAAAGGATACAAAGGATGTAAGATGGGTTTTTTTGTTAAGGGAAAAAGAGTATTTTTTCCTAACGCGGTTGTATAGTGGTTATTTAAATGTTGTTCTAGAATGAGAAAGAGAAAAGTGTACAACTGAATGGATATAACAAGCTGTAAAAGGTCCATGGAAAAGAGAAAGAGAATCTTATCTCACGTGGTCAAACTTGTCAAGATGAAATGGATTTACTTATAAGGTATTAGAATGAGCCTTAATGTCAACAGTGCACTGATGCAAAATTAGAATTTGGTTTTCTCTCTCTTAAAAGTGACAACATTGGCTGGGCGCAGTGGCTCAGGCCTGTAATCCCAGCACGTTGGGAGGCCGAGGTGGGCAGATCACGAGGTCAGGAGATCAAGACCATCCTGGCTAACATGGTGAAACCTCTTCTCTACTAAATATACAAAAAATTAGCCTGGCGTGGTGGGGGGCGCCTGTAGTCCCAGCTACTCGGGAGGCTGAGGCAGGAGAATGGCTTGAACCCGGGAGGCGGAGCTTGCAGTGAGCCAAGATGGCGCCACTCACTGCACTCCAGCCTGAGGGACAGAGCGAGACTCTGTCTCAAAAAAAAAAAAAAAAAAAAATGACAACATGGCCCAGGCATGGTGGCTCATGTCTGTAATCCCAGCACTTTGGGAGGCCGAAGCAGGTGGATCACCTGAGGTCGGGAGTTTGAGACCAGCCTGGCCAAAAGGATGAAACCCCGTCTCTACTAAAAATACAAAAAATTAGCCAGGCATGGTAGTGGGCGCCTGTAATCCCAGCTACTCAGGAGGCTCAGGGAGGAGAATCACTTGAAACTGGGAGGCAGAGGTTGCAGTGAGCCAAGATCGTGCCACTGCACCCCAGCCTGGGCAACAAGAGTGAAACTATGTCTCAAAAAAAAAAAAAATGACAACATATTTTTGAATTATTGGTCTGCTTCTAATAAAAGGTCATAGTAGGTTTTTCTTTACTTTTTAAATAATCCATCTAGGAAACAGATTCTGTGTTTCATCAGAATAATTTGTTGTGTTATCTTTATCATCTCCTCAATTATTTAAGAGAAGTGAGTTTTCTTCCTTTTAAAAGCTAGGCTTTGGGGCTGGGTACAGTGGCTCACATCTGTAATCCCAGCACTTTGGGAGGACAAGGTGGGAGGGTTGCTTGAGGCCAGGAGTTTGAGGTTACAGT